>NC_000015.10:33276874-33579904 GCF_000001405.40 Homo sapiens | reverse complement strand
CCACTCCTAACAGCCCCCCACGGTGCACCATGAGTTGCTTCCTTGGGCGGCCACTGTACCAGCAGCTACAAAATGAAGTTTCCCAGATATCAGAGCAACAGAAGGAAATATTCACATTCAAGTTTAAAGCTATTTTCATAAACAAAGGGAAGTGACTCCTTTTAGCACATTTATTTTCAAGCAACTTATAACTCATCCTGTTAATATTACTGTAATATTTCAGCACATAGCGTCAATGGGTATTCACTGAATGTCTAACCATGATTTCCCTGTAATCTAAAGAGGTAATTTCAACTGTGATTTTGACAGTGACTCTTCTATCTATAGCAGATGCTTCCCCTTCCATTTACCCCTGGTTGTCTGTCACACATTTTTTTTTAAAATAAAAACATTTAGAAAAAATAAACTTCTTAACCCATGATTCTTTTAAACAATCACACCTTCTTGGCATTGATTAATCCTAAGGTGGAAGGATTTCTATCACTGGGTCTTTGCCTCTATCTCCATGTTAATTTTGTCTCTCCTCTTGCACCCCCCTCCACGTCTCTATGTGTCTTCTGAGATCTCTGCATGTGTTTTTCTCATCACGTTTCTCTGTGTACATGCCTGCTTTCCTTCACTCCATTTGTTGATGGTTCCTTTACTTTCTGTATCTGTGGTCCTTTCATCTGACTTTCCTCACCCTGTGTTCCCTCTCTGAATATCACCCTCCTTTCTCAGTGTCCCCTATCTCTCAAACATCCTTCTTCTCTGCCTTGAGGTCTGTCCCTCTTTGTTTCTTGGTGTTCCCCAACCCCATGTTACCTGCCCTTCCATCTCTCTCTCCCTGTTGTGTTCCTCCTATTCCGCAAGTTTCTCTGTCTCTTTTTCTGTTTTAATCTCTGCCAATTTTTTGTAATTAAACCCCTTCAACACAGAGAGAATACAAAGCACCACAGATAACAAAATGACCCTTCATTTCCCCATCTCCTTGAGGAGTACACCTGGGAGCCTCTCAGAGGGCAAAGGCTATGAAGAGGAAGGGGAAATGGACCTATCTCTTGTGGGTTTGCATCATAAGGCCCTGAGTGATTGAGAATTGGCTCAATGTGCAAGTAACATCACGAGGAGTTTTTTTTTGTTGTTGTTTTTTTTTTTTTATTCTAAGTTCTGGGATACATGTGCAGGATGTGCAGGTTTGTTACACAGACGTGTGCCACG
This sequence comes from Homo sapiens, assembly GCF_000001405.40. NCBI lineage: Eukaryota > Metazoa > Chordata > Mammalia > Primates > Hominidae > Homo > Homo sapiens. Next base: position 33,578,704 of record NC_000015.10, on the reverse strand, counting down.
GTGGTTTGCTGCACCTAACAACCCCTGACCTAAGTATTAGGCCCGGCATGCATTAGCTATTTTTCCTGATGCTCTGCCTCCTCCTACCCCCCACCCCTCGACAGGCCATAGTGTGTGTTGTTCCCCTCCCTGTGTCCATGTGTTCTCATTGTTCAGGTCCCACTTATAACTGAGAACATGTGGTGCTTTGTTTTCTGTTCCCGAATTAGTTTGCTGAGGATAATCGCTTCCAGCTCCATCCATGTCCCTGCTAAGGACATGATCTCATTCCTTTTTATGGGTGCATAGTATTCCATGGTGTATATGTTCCACATTTTCTTGATCCAGTCTATCACTGATGGGCATTTGGGTTGATTCTACGTCTTTGCTATTGTGCCTAGAGCTTCAGCGAACATATGTGTACCTGTATCTTTATAACAGAATGATTTATATTCCTTTGGGTATATACCTAGTAATGGGATTGCTGGGTCAAATGGTATTTCTGGCTCTAGGTATTTGAGGAATTGCTACACTGTATTCCATAATGGTTGAACTAATTTACATTCCTACCGATAGTTTAAAAGCATTCCTATTTCTCCACAGCCTCGCCAGCATCTGTTGTTTGACTTTTTAATACTTGCCACTCTGATTAGCATGAGATGGTATGTCATTGTGGTTTTGACTTGCATTTCTCTAGTGATCAGTGATGTTGAGCTTTTCTTCCTATGTTTGTTGGCCACATAAATGTCTTCTTTTGAGAACTGTCTGTTTATATCCTTTGCTCACTTTTTAATGAGTTTTTCTTTTCTTGTAAATTTAAGTTCCTTGTAGATTCTGGATATTAGACTTTTGTCAGATGGAGAGATTGCAAAAATTTTCTCCCATTCTGTAGGTTGTCTGTTCACTCTGATGATAGTTTCTTTGGCTGTGCAGAAGCTCTTTAGTTTAATTGGATCCCATTTGTCAATTTTTGCATTTGTTGCATTTGCTTTTGACATTTTTATAATGATATCTTTGCTTATGCCTATGTCCTGAATGGTATTGCCTACATTTTCTTCTAGGGTTTTTATAGTTTTGGGTCTTACATTGAAGTCTTTAATCCATCTTGAGTTAATTTTTGTATAAGGTGTAAGGAAGGGGTCCAGTTTCAATTTTCTGCACATGGCTCGCCAGTTCTCCCAGCATCATTTATTAAATAGGGAATCACTTCCCCATTGCTTGTTTTTGTCAGGTTTGTCAAAGATCAGATGGTTGTAGATGTGCGGTCTTATTTCTGAGTTCTCTATTCTCTTCTATTGGTCTATGTGTTTGTTTTTGTATCAGTATCATGCTGTTTTGGTTACTGTAGCCTTATAACATAGTTTGAAGTTGGGTAGTGTGATGCCTCTGTCTTTATTCTTTTTGCTCAGGATTGTCTTGGTTATATGGGTTCTTTTCTGGTTCCACATGAATTTTAAAGTAGTTTTTTCTAATTCTGTGAAGAATGTCAATGGTAGTTTAATGGGAATAGCATTGAATCTATTAACTACTTTGGGCAGTATGGCCATTTTCATGATATTGATTCTTCCTATCCATGAGCATGGAGTGTTTTCCATTTGTTTCGGTCATCTCTAATTTCTTTGACGAGTGTTTTTTAAGTTCTCCTTGAAGAAGTCCTTCACTTCCCTTGTTAGCTGTATTCCTAGGTATTTTATTCTCTTTGTAGCAAGTATTAATGGGAATTCATTCATGATTTGGCTCTCCACTTGTTCGCTGTTGGTGTTTAGGAATGCTTGTGATTTTTGCACATTGATTTTGTATCCTGAGACTTTGCTGAAGTTGCTTATCAGCTTAAGAAGCTTTTGGATTGAGATGATGGGGTTTTCTAGATACAGGATCATGTCATCTGCAAACAGAGACAGTTTGACTTCCTCTCTTCCTGTGTGAATACCCTTTATTTCTTTCTCTTGCCTGATTGACCTGGCCTGAACTTCCAACACTACGTTAAACAGGAGCTGTGAGAAAGGACATCCTTGTCTTGTGCTGGTTTTCAAGGGGGAATGCTTCCAGCTTTTGCTCATTCAGTATGATATTGACTGTGGGTTTGTCATAAATGGCTTTTATTATTTTGAGGTATATCCCATCAATACCTAGTTTATTGAGTTTTAACTGTGAAGAAATGTTGAATTTTATCAAAGACCTTTTCTATGTCTATGAAGATAATCATGTGATTTTTGTCTTTAGTTCTGTTTATGTGAAGAATTGTGTTTATTGATTTGCATATGTTGAACCAGCCTTGCATCCCAGGGATGAAGCCAACTTGATCATGCTAGATAAGCTTTTTGATGTGCTGCTGGATTTGGTTTGCCAATATTTTATAGAGATTTTCACATTGATGTTCATCAGGGTTATTGGCCTGAAGTTTTCTCTTTTTGTTCATCTCTGCCAGGTTTTGGTATCAGGATGATTCTGGCCTCATGAAATGAGTTCGGGAGGAGTCTCTCCTTTTCAATTGTTTGAAACAGTTTCAGAAGAAATGGTACCAGCTCCTCTTCGTACCTGGTAGAATTCTGGTAGAATTCAGCTGTTAAGTCCATCCTGTCCTGGGCTTTTCTGGTTGGTAGGCTATTTATTACTGCCTCAATTTCAGAACTCATCATTGGTCTATTCAGGAATTCAATTTCTTCCTGGTTCAGTCTTGGGAGGGTGTATATGTCCAGGAATTTATCCATTCTTTCTCAATTTTCTAGTTTATTTGCATAGAGGTGTTTATCATATTCTCTGATGGTTGTTTGAATTTCTGTGGGGTCAATGCTAATATCCCCTTTATCATTTTTTATTGTGTCTATTTGATTCTTCTCTTTTTCTTCATTAGTCTAGCTAGCAGTCTATTTTATTAATTTTTTTTTTTTAAAACCAGCTCCTGTATTTGTTGATGCTCTGAAGGGCTTTCTGTGTCTCTATCTCCTTTAGTTCTGCCCTGATCTTGGTTATTTCTTGTCTTTTGCTAGCTTTTGGGTTTGTTTGCTCTTGGTTCTCCAGTTCTTTTAGTTGTGATGTTAGGATGTCAATTTGAGATCTTTCTAGCTTTTTGAGGTGGGCATTTAGTGCTATAAACTTCCCTCTTAATACTACTTTAGCTGCATCCCAGAGATTCTGGTACATTGTCTCTTTGTTCTTACTGGTTTCAAAGAACTTCTTGATTTCTGCCTTAATTTCATTATTTACCCAGGAGTCATTCAGGAGCAGGTTGTTCACTTCCCATGTAGTTGTGTGATTTTGAGCGAGTTTCTTGAGTTCTAATTTGATTTTGCTGTGGTCTGAGACTGTTATGATTTCATTTCTTTTGCATTTGCTGAGAAGTGTTTTACTTGCAATTATGTGACTGATTTTAGAGTAAGTGTCATGTGGCACTGAGAAGAATGTATATTCTGTTGTTTTTGCGTGGAGAGTTATGTAGACATTTATCAGGTCCACTTGATCCAGAACTGATACTGAGGTCCTGAATATCTTTGTTAATTTTCTGTCTCAATGATCTAATATTGACAGTGGGGAGTTAAAGTCTCCCACTATTATTGTGTGGGAGTCTAAGTCTCTTTGCAGGTCTCTAAGAACTTGTTTTATAGATCTGGGTGCCCCTGTATTAGGTACACATATATTTAGGATAGTTAGCTCTTCTTGTTGAATTGAACTCTTTATTATTATGTAATGCCCTTCTTTGTCTTTTTTGATCTTAGTTTGTTTAAAGTCTGTCTTGTCAGAAACTAAGATTATAACCCCTGCTTTTTTCCACTTTGCATTTGCTTGGTAAATTTTCCTCGGGCCTTTATTTCAAGCTTATGCATGTCTTTGCATGTGAGATGGGTCTCTTGAATACGGCACATGAATGGGTCTTGACTACTGACCCAGCTTGCCATTCTGTGTCTTTTAATTGGAGCATTTAGCACGGCTTCTTCTTGATGGCCAATTTCTAATGAGCTCTCCTAGGCATTTACAGTATATTTGCTTATTCACCAACTGCTAAATATTAATCTGCATACATGCTAAGGGAAGATTTTCATCGGGGCCCAAAGACTCAAAAAGTTCTGAAAGCAATCAGGCTGTGAGGTGATCATTCCAATTTTGTATTAAAAATGCCAAGTGCATGCAATGGGGAAGGAATAATGGGGGACTGTAAGCTTCTTATAGGCAGGGAGGCACATCAGTGTGTATTCAACTCCTAGCAGTGCCTGGCACATTGTAAGTTCTCAGTTAGTGTTTGCAAATGACTACCTGGGCTATTATTAGACACAAAAATAGTGGGGAAGAGAATGCCATGAGTACATGAGATGAAGGCTCGGCAGTATGAAACTCAATTTGATAGAACTTCCCACTTCTGAATTCAGTGAAGGAATGAATACATTTTCCTCAATATTTTGGTCCAGTTCCAGGGCTTACGTTTTGCTTTTTGTTTTAAAAACACTTTCATTTTACTAGAAACACCGAGGGTGGTCAAGAATAATTCTTTACATGATAGGAAAAGATGACAGCAAGAGGTTTATAGACATTTTTGTAGCTCGCTGAGGCAGCAAATGCACCACACAGGGAGTTGGAAATCTCAGGTCTCAGCCTTGCCACTGCCATTATCAGTGTGATATTTGGGTTGCCACTAAGCCTCTTATGCTTCCATATAGCACCTGGAAAATAGGAAAGGTGCACTCTTTGATTGCCAGGGTACTTCAGGTCTAATTTTCTGTCTGTTGGGTTCTCACTGCTGGACTACTTCATCTTGCCCCTTGAAGAAACATGAATATTATAGTCCTCCACTAGACTAAGGCAGATTCATTCTGTCCTCAAAAAATAAGACATATCACATGCTTGGCATGGGGAACAATGGTGAAAACAGACATTACTTCTGGAAAGCATCATGGCATTCATATTCTACCCTAGAAGAACCTCAGAGAGTAAAGCCCAATGTATAGAGATAAGTCAGAGCCTCAACTCAGAAACAACTACAATTATCACCTATCCCTTCCCACCTTCTTCAACTCCCTATAGCCTGTCCCACTATATTCTTAGGCCTTTGCCAATGAATTCTTTTATTAAATTCAAGTGAGGTCCCAGGTGATTCTGAATATTTATCATAACATAATGATTTATTTGTTGTCTCTCTTCTAAGGTTAAACTTAGAGGACAGCTGACAGTATCTTTTCCTCAGCAGAGTTTTTCAGACTCCTTAATCGATCACACTGTTCATTCTACTGGACAGTTCCCAGCAACTCTACAGAGGATGATGAGATAGCATGATGAAATTTTAACCTCTTCGTCTTCATTTTTCTTTCTTGTTCCTTCCCTATTCCCTTAGCCTTAATGTGCTCCCAGAAGGCCACCCCTCCTCCTGGTTTCCGTGTGCACACAGCATACAAAGTTGGTTTCTCAAAAGAGATGGGAAAGAAGAATCTACTTCAAAATGTTTTTTTCTCCTTCACTTCCTAGCTATCACAAAATCCAAACACTGTAACTTTTGCAGCCCACACCCCCTCAGCATTGATATTTTTTCATTAGTCCTTTTTTTCTAAAATATCCTGTGCCTGGAAGAATCAAGAATTTCCCTCTTGAGGGTGGGACTTAACAGCTGAATAAAGAGCTCAGTAAATCTTTTCTCACACAAAATAATAAAAAAATTGGGCAAAATCATTCAAAATAACAATCTCTGGACTCTGGAAATTGACTAGAGGCATACAAAAAATCAAGTATTTATTTTATCTTATTTTTATTTTTTATTTATTTTTTGAGACAGAATTTCGCTGTTGTTGCCCAGGTTGGAGTGCAACGGCACGATCTTGGCTCACTGCAACCTCCACCTCTTGGGTTCAAGTGATTCTCATGACTTAGCCTCCTCAGTAGCTGGCATTACAGGCATGCGCCACTATGCCCGGCTATTTTTGTATTTTTAGTAAAGACGGGGTTTCTCCATGTTGGTCAGGCTGGTCTCGAACCCCCGACCTCAGGTGATTCGCCCACCTTGGCCTCCCAAAGTGCTGGGATTACAGGCGTGAGCCATTGTGCCCAGCCCAGTGTGTGTGTGTGTGTGTGTGTGTGTGTGTGTATATATAGTTTTTTTTTTTTAATTTAATGAGCCTTAGGAAGAACAGTTGGAGTCTATGGTGTTTCAGCCTGTTGATGCTTCCATCTCCCTCCCCCCACCGCCTCATGGCAAAACAGCTCCAACAGGGCAGAGTAGGCAGTGGGCAAGGCCACACACATGCTCGGGAAAAACTGGAGAGGACCCTAGCTATCTATTCATTCCCGCACAAGCAGAAGACAAAATCCAGGATAGAACTCTAAACTGCCTGAACCTCGAACTGTCATTCAGCCCACACACACAGGTCCATCAGCAAATAGTCACAGGCTTGTCTTGTAAGAAATACTAAGGGAAGTCCTTCAGGCTGAAAGAAAATGACACCAAACAGTAACTGGAATCCATGCAAAGAAATAAAGAATACTGGTAAAGGTAACTATGCAGGTAAATACCAGAAACAATATAAAAACATGTATCTTTCTTTTATGTTCCTGTAATTTATTCAAAAAACAACTTCATAAAATAATTATAAAACTGCGTTGCTGAGCTTATAACTTATGAAGATATAATATATGTGGCAATATTATCACAAAGGAGTAGGCAAAGAATGGAAAAATGTTAATGCAAAGTTGCTTTGTTAAGTTAGTATTAATTTGAAGTGGATTATTTCAAGTTAAATATATATTAAGTTCCCTAGAGCAACCACTAAGAGAATAACTCCTCAAAAAAGTATTTTTAAAAACCCAAATTAATTAAAATGTTACACTAGAGAATATCTATTTAACACAAAAAAAGGTAGTAAGGGAGGAATAGAGGACCAAAAAATAACAAAAGAAACATAAGAAATAAATAGCAAAGTGGCAGACATAAATCCAGTTATCTAAATAATTACATTAGATATAAATGGATGAAGCATACCAATGAAAGGGAGAGATTGTCAGACTATTTTAAAAAATCAAATATGTGTTGTCTACAAGGGACACACTTTATATTCAAGGACACAAATAAGTTAAAAGTACAAAGATTGAAGACAATATGCCATACAAACAAAAAACATAATCTGCACATTCAAGACACCTGGAATGGCTCTATGAAGTAGACTTAAGACAAAACTGTTCATAAAGAAAAAAGAAAAATAGTTTAAAATTACAAAAGGGCAAATTTATCAGAAATATATATCTATTATAAACATATAAGCACCTAACAACAGAAACCAAAATATGTGAAGCAAAAACTGATGGAATTGAAGTAGAAGATGACAATTCAACAGTAACAGAAACATCAATACCCGATTCTCCACCAGTTAATGTAATAAACCATATTAACAAAGGACAAAACTATATGATCATATCGATAGACCAAGAAAAAGCATTTGAAAAAATCTAATGCTCATTCAAGATAAAAGCTCTCAACAAACCAGGAATAGAAGGGAACTTCCTCGACCTGATAAAGGGTATCTACAAAAACCCTACAGTCAATATCGCACTTAACGGTGAAAAATTGGTGTTTCCCACCCTGTCCCCACCCCCACCTTAGATCAGGAACAAGACAAGAATGTCTGTTCACATCACTTTTATTCCACATTGTAGTGGATGTTCCAGCCAGTGCAATAATGCAAGAAAAATAAATAAAGGGCATCCCTATTGGAAAGAAAAAAATAAAGCTCTTTTTATTCACAGATGACATAATCCTGTATGTAAAAAGTTCTAAAGAATCCACCTGCTCCCCAAAAAGCCCACTGAACTAATAAATAATTTCAATTAGGTCAATGACATAAGATCAGTATTTTTAAAACTTAATTTCTATATACCAGAAAATAATCTGAAATGAAATCAAAAAAATAATTATATTTGTAGTAGCACCAAAAAGAATCAAATACATAGGAATACATTTCATAAAAGAAGTGCAAGACTTATATAATAAAAACCACAATATCTTCCTGAAAATAATTAAAAAATAAATAGACATTTTATGTTTGAAGATTGGAAGACTTAATGAGGATAACAGTCCTCCAAAACTGATCTCTAGATTCAATTTAATACCCATCAAAATTCCAGCAGAATTTTTTTTGGACAAAAATTAATAAACTCACTCTAAAATTTACATGGGAATACAAAGGACCCAGAAGCACCAAAATAAATTTTGCAAAGAAGTAAAAAATTGGAGCATTCACTGTACATGATTTCAATACTTACTATAAAGGCACATTAATTAAGACAGTGTCATTTTGGAATAATGACAGGCATATAGATCAATGGAACAGAACTAAGCGTCCAGAAAGAACTCTTATATTTATGATCACTTGGCTTTTGACAAAGGTGCCAAGGTAACTTGATGGGGAAATATTCTCTTTCCAGAAAACTGTGCAGGGGAAAATCTGATATCCATATGGCCACACGCAAAAATATTAATTTAAACCTTTACCTCATACTATGCACAGAAATAGACTCAAAATAGATCACGGACCTAAATGTAAACGCTAAAATTTTGAAACTTTTAGAAAAACACAGAGGAGAAAATCATGATGATTTTGAGTAAGGTAAAGAGTTCTTAGATATGACACCAAAAGCAGAATCCATAAATATGTTAAACTGAACTTAATCAAAAATTAAAACGTTTGTGCTTCAAAAGACACCATTTAAAAAAAATGAGAAAAGCCAAAGACCAAGAGAAAATATTTGCAAATCATAAATATGGCAAAAAAATTGTAATCAGAAGGTACAAAGAACTCTCAAATTTTAAGACAAATGACCCAACTTAAAAAGGCAAAATACTTAATTACATTTTACCAAAGAAGATACATGAATGGCTAATAAGCACATGATAAAATGTCCAGTATCATTATTCATTCTGGAAATTCAAACTGAAACCACCACGATAATACTACTTCATAGCTACTAGTATGGCTACAATCAAAAAGTCAGATAGTAACAAATGTAGGAAAAGATGTAACAAAACAGAAACTTCAGACATTTCTAAGAGAAATGTAAAATGTTACATCCACTTTGGAAAACAGATTTTCAGTTTCTTAAAAAGTGAAACATACCCAATTGAATAAACAAAACATGGTATTTATATAGAATGGAATATTATTCAACCTTAAAAAGGAATGAAATGTTACATGTTACAACATGGACAAACCTTGAAGATATTTTGCTAAGTGAGATAAGCCAGACACAAAAGGACAAATATTGTGTGCTTCCACTTATATGAGGTACTGAGAATAAACTCATAGAAGCAGAGAGTAAGTAGAAGTTATAAGGGGCTGAGGGACAGGAGAATAGGGAGTTCTTGTTTAATAAATACAGAGTTTCAGTTTGGGATGATAAAAACATGTGGAGATGGATAGTAGTGATGACACTGAAACTAAAAATGGCTAAAACGATAAGTTTTATGTGATGTATATTTTACCACAATAAAAATACAACAAAAAGTTATACAAATTTATATGTGACTCAGCAATTTCACTCCTAAGTATTTACCCAAGAGAAATGGAAACCATATCTGAAAACTTTTACACTAATATCCATAGAAACATTGTTCTTAGTAATCAAAATGGAAACTATCAACTGTTCATCAACTAAATGAGTAAAATGTGTTATGTGTGCATCTCTATCTATATAGATCTTTCACTCTACACACACATACACGCACACACACACACAAGAATACTCTTCACCAATAAAAAGGTGAGGAAACAAATGAATAAACTTCAAAAATATAATGCTAAGTGAAAAGGCCAGATTCAAAAGACAACATATTTTATGATTTATTAATTTAATGTATTAAATTGAGACAGAAAGCAGATTAGTGGTTGCCTAGGGCTGTGGGTGGCAACTAGAATAAACTGCAATGAGCATAGGAGATATTTTTGGAGTGATGGAAATGTTCTAAAACTGAACTGCAGTGATGGTTGTAAGGCTCTGCAAATAAATATATTAAAACTTACTGAATTGGCCAGGGATGGTGGCTCATGCCTATAATGCCAACATTTTGGGAGGCTGAGGTGAGAGGATCACTTGTGCCCAGCAATTTGAGACCAGCCTGGGCAACACAGTGAGGCCCCATCTCTACAAAAAATTAAAAAATTAGCCAGGTCTAATGGTATTTATGTGTGGTCACAGCTACTCAAGAGGCTAAGGTGGGAGGATTGCTTGAGCTTGGATGGCAGAAAGGCCGCAGTGAGACCCTATCTCAAACAAAAAAAAAACAAAAAATAAAGTCTCACGGAACTGTACATTTAAAAGGATGAATTTTGTAATATGTAAATTCTACCTCAATAAAGATGTTTAAAAATAATTTTCCCATTGTCAGGCACATAACTCCCACTGACTTTTTAAAATAACAACTTTATTGAAATACAGTTCACATATCATACAGTAACCTATTTAAAGAGCACAATTCAATGGTTCACTAGCTTTTGGAATATTCAGAGTTGTGCAACCTTTGTCATGATCAGTTTCAGAATGTTTTCATCAGCTCTCCAAAAAGCTTTACACAGTAGCAGTCACTCTCCCTTTCCCCCAAGACACCCCAGCCCTAGGTAACTCTTTCCACTTCTGCCTCTACTTTTTTCCTCTACAGATTGATCTATTCTGGACATTTTGGCCATGTGAATGAAAAAACATCCCAGGATAGCAGTTCTCAACTGAGGTTGATGTTACAATCACCTAGGGAGCTTCAATAAAATACTGGCATTTGAATCCAACATCTGCAGATTCTGATGCAATTGGTTTAAGATGTAGCCTGGGCATCAGGGTATTAAAACCTCCCCAGATAAATCTAGCATGTGGCCAAGGTTAAGATCTCTATTGTCAAGTTTAAATTTTAGCATGCATCAGCATTACCTGGAGGGCCTATAACAATATGAGTTGCTGGATCTTATTCTGAGGGTATCTGATTCAGTGGGTTTGAGGTAAAACCTAAGAATCTGCATTTTTAACAAGTTTGCAAGTGATGCTGATGCTCTGGTCCAGGGATGAACTTTAAGAATCTGTGGGAGATGTCAGAGCAGCAAGATGGAAGGAACCTGAGCCCTAGTAGCTAGGCCACCTATTTTCCCTAAACCACCTACCTACTTTATATTATTACTTAAACAAGAAGTACAAGTTTACTCTGAACTGCAACAGCAGCCTATTCTATTTCCTAATACACATCCCTTGGACTGCAGTCCTTCAACAGCAAGAGAAGTCAAGATCTGAAAAAAAGTTACCATTTCATGCAAATTCACACACGTAATTTATACCCCTTGGCTTTAGAGAGATTTTCCTACAAGAGAAGAATGGTCTTGGAACACTGCACAGTTCACAACAGAATCAGTTTCTCATGGTAATTGGTGAAAACAATTCACAGAGTTCTGTTTTGGAAGCATTATTTAGACTGGAGGGATTATGATCCAAGCAGACAGTTCCGTTAATTTTCCCATTTAAGCCACAGCCACAGTTGGGTAACCCAAGGCTTCCAGTGAGAAGTTACTTTGATCCAAACCATAGCAGCAATTCTGAATGATTGTAGAAACCCTTTCTACATAACACATGGGGGAGTGTATCAGTTCCTCTTTGCTCTTTCTCTCTTTACACACAAACATAAAATGGACCTATGCACTCCAACTCTTTTCACTTAATTTTCATGCAAAGATCTTGGATATTCATCACTCCAATCTGAGTAACTAATGGGGCTTGGGCATCTGTTGAACAAAGGGTGAAGCTAGTAGGAGTTCGCCTATGTAGGAAATATGTTTCAGTCTCAAGCTCTTGATGGTAAAACTCTTTGCTGGTGTATCATTATTTCCTGAAAACATTCACAGTATCAAAAGGAGGTGGGTGGTGGTGTTGGCAGGCCACAGAGTCAAACTCACTAGGTAGAGGAGGAAAGGAGCTAACATACCTGACAAACTGGCTGAATAAGGCTGTAGTGTTCCGGATGATCCGAGCAGCCTGGGACTCCTCACGCTGGCATCTCTGCAGTGTTAATCCATCATCCATGTGGCCTTCCTGATGGAGTATGACCTACCCACAGGGCAAGGGACGGGAGCTCTAGGTTACAATTATTCCACATATGGGCAGTCAACATTTCCCGCAGTATTGCCCTCATCCCTCTTATTCCTTTCTCCAAATAAGCTCTCTTGGGTCCATTTTGAGAATGGGACATTAGCGAAGCTATTGCACCCATACGCCCTATTAGTGACATGTGAATCATTCCTTAGACACAGCGCTTTGATGAAAATGAAACTTTATGTGCCACCATGGTATGAGTTACCACATATTCCTCAGGCCTAGATTTGAAAGGGCGATAACATACCTCATGATTGATTTTCCTCTTAAAATGAACATAGAATCTTACCCTTGGAAATGGGAAAAGTCACTGTGTTCAAAGCCTTTTCCTCCAGAGATGAATTGAAGAAAAAGACAGACAATTTAAAGCAAAATTCTGTACTGGGATTAGGCTTGGTTTCTCAACTGAAGGCCAACTACACTGAGTTAGTTAATTGCAGGGCTGGGGAAAGCAGCTCAAGGTGGTAGCTGGCTTCTCTTGGAGGCTAGAGAGTAAATTTGAAAGCATGGGCTCTGATATCAGCAGACCTTTGTCTAGTCCTGCTATGCCACTTACCAGCCGTGTGACCTTGGGCAAGTTAGTTAACCCCATTTGCTTTGGATTTCACCATCTGCAAATAGACTTATCTTAGAGGGTTGGAAGATTCAATGATTTACATGTAGGGAATTGGCATGGCACCTAGAATCTAATAGGTGCTCAATGAGTGTTTGTTATCAGAGGCAGTATAGTACTGATCTTGGATCAGTTGTCTGGAAGCTAAGAGTATCTACTTGTCACTAAGGATATCATGACACAATTTTTTTGGGACTACCAGCTTTTTGTGTGGAGGTCAGGGGCTTTTTCCCTTAAAATGATCAAGTATGTGAAGATGTTAAGTGAGGTAGTTTGATCCTGGTTCAAGTCAAGGTTAGTTTGATCCTGGTTCAAGTCAAGGTCAAATCCTGATCCAAGTTCACTGGCATGGTTTCCTCTTGATGGAAGCAAGCAAAGAGAGACAAAGTGTAGATCCTGGAAGTCTACATGTCAACATAGACAAAACATGTGGCTCTAGAAAATATCTATAGAATAAAGATTGTTGGTCTCTCTCATTTTTAGCATAAAGAAACAACTTACTTTCCTTTCCATGTGAAACATCTCTTCCTTTTTATTATTTTGAAGGTACTTCCTGATATGATGAAATAGAATACCGGCTTGTTCATTTTTGAAACAAGACTTTGCATCCCATCTATATACTGCAGTGTAAGCATCAGCAAAGGATACTGTTACCATTGGAATCACTAACTGTTAGAAAATATTACTTTGTGAGAACATCTGAGCAACTGGTTAGCAATGTTGCATTTGGGTTTAGCAATACATTGCCACTATGTTTACTTTGGCCTGGGTCCCAGATTTCTGGTCCTTAAAGACCGAAATTCTTAGGTTTTGCTTGCTCAGATAACACATTTAAAACTGGCTGGGGGAAATGCAGTTGTTAGAATGTTGTTATGAACCCTACTGATCTCAGCAGCCAGTTCCTAAGGTCCTTCCTTCTCTGCGAGAAATCTTACAACTGAAGAGCAGGGACAAGAAGCCTAAGATAGGAATAGGAAAGAGGGTGCTTTAAAGTGGGTACTCATCAGGTGTTTCATTCTGTTTGTGCTCGATTGGTTTTTCTTGATTACTGTTTTGTTCATTTCATAAAACATAACAGATTTAGACATCCTTTGTATTTTTAGAGAGGGCACTTAACATGCTTCTTAGGAAATGAAGCAGTGTAGCCCTGTCAAGGGCTGAGCACCATCACACCAGCTGGAGAGAGTTTATAAAAGCACCTCCCAAATTCACACATACATTCTAACAGTTAAATGAATCTGCGGGCTATGGTCCTAGAAGAGAAGGCATGGCCAGGCACAGTAAGTCAACAATGCAAAATGAGATCTCTCCACATTTACAGAGTCCTTGGAGTGTGTTCCTGCCCACCCAGAGTTACAGCCAAGATCCACAAATTCCACTTTCTTTAAATGCTGCCATTGCCTTAGTAGGTTTGAAAAACTGTAGAGGCTCTAGATGGTATTACTGCACTCTATAGAGGATTTAAGTTTCTTCTGATAGGCTGGTAAGAATAGAGGATGGGTTTGTGGCATTTATTTTTGATTTGTTCTTATTCCCAGCGTGCAGCCCTCATTCCCAGGGTGTAGCTCTTCTAAAGATCAACGGAAAGCCTACTGTATTTTCCAGGGCAATTCCAACTTGTCATACCCCGAACCCTGACTTGTATATCCCTAGTACTCTCATAATGTCAACATCTCTGCTTTGCTCTTCATTATCACAGCAGTTTCGCTTTACTATTTTGGCTTCACACCCCATCCACGGTCAGCTTAGGATTCTAGAGGAAACGGCATGTAGAATTTTAGGCTCATGTTTTTGCAGTTCTCTCTACTCTGGACTCTTGGCACCTCGAGTCCCAGAAGCCCTGGCTGAACCTATGTCCAATCTGACTCTTTAGCACAACTGAGCTAATGCAAGATCCCATGCCCTAGTTCTGCAAATCAGCAAATGTGCTGAAGGAGAAAACAAAGATCAAGGTGGGCTCACCTTAGTGCACTTACGTTCTATGTGCAATATTTTGTGCTTATGTTTTGGGTGGCTTGGTTGTTGAAACCTTCCATTTTTTTTGAAGGTACTGTATCCAGCCTTTGCGGTTGTTTTCAGAAGAAGGGTTGGTCTCATACAAGCCAGATTATGTGGTCTCTTATTTATTGTATTTTCTATCCCCTCTTGATCATTTCATTTCCCCTTTTCTGGATATTTTCCTAGTCTGTGTTGCCTTAAGGTAATAAGGTATTACCTTATGTTCATTCTCAACATCCTTTCTTATCATAACCTGCATTCTGGAAAACTGTTCATCATGACTACCTTAGGCTGCTATACCTCAACTACAGAGCACAGTGCCTCCTAGCACCTTATTCTGGGACTAGTTGACTATTTAAACCCATATTTTATAAGGGTATTTCAGGAATAAAAGCATCACATCTTTGACATCCATTATTTGGTTCCCACCAAAAGAAACACTGTTACGGCAATTGACTTTCTGGTAAATAGATGCTGCATGCACCCAAGCTAGTTTTTCTCGCTGGAGCAGGCTGTGATGCACCACTCAAATCAAGATACACTCTGTGGATACAGTGTCATTCCACAACATCCCTTCTTTCTGCCAGTGGGTTCCTGCGGGCTTGTTATTATGCAATCTGCATTTTCTCTGTAGAGATCTATTTAGTCTATTATGAAAACTGCACAATAACTCAATTATCCACTGAAATGAAGGCAGCAATGATGTGGATAATCCCAAGACAGCACATCACCAAAAGTCATTTAGATCAGGCTTTAGAGTACATTAAATACATCACCTCTTCCTCACAGATTTGCTGTGTATTTGTTTTTTCCCCCATTGAACATGGGGTCAAAGTATCCAAATTAGGCTGAAGTTTTGGAGAAACTGTGTACAATCCATCACAAAATAACTCTTCTGAATAGTAAGAAGTAAATCACAATCATGTCCACCTGGTTCTCAGAATCACTTCTATTGCCTAGTTGCTTCCAACTCAGGGTAAAACAATTGTAGACAGATATTCTGACTCTCACCTTTCTTTTTAGAGGTCCCAGGCGGGAAGTTTTGGCGTCTTGTGCTTTGTAGGTCACCCACAGACCACTGGCTATATGCTGCACAAAGCAGACAGAATCTCCATACTTGATTTCTGGAACTCCCATGCCTTCTATGTCTCGCTTGTGACTGGAGTCTAATTTCTCCTTGAGTTCCTAATTCATACACAAAAAGAAACAAACATAGGCATAGCTGATTAAATTAGAAGCTCAATATACAAAACGAATCACCTATGAAGAACCTGTAAGCCAGGCAACTGGTTACCAAAATAATCATGATGTGCCTGTCCAAGCCAGGATTTCAGAAAGACTTGTTTCCCTTATCGCTTGTTAATTGTAAAATCAATGGCTTTCGAGTTCTGGTTACTTCAGTGATTATTTAAATCCACGGGAAAAGGGGACACCTAGTAAGCTCTTCTCTTCTGTTCTGATTTTGTGTAATTCTTCACTATATTTTCTACTTTCCTCATCCTGATTTATATAACTTAATAAGTAATCTGTTACTAGCCAATTAACTTATTTCCAGCGAGTGACATCTTCCATAATTGTAATGGTTATCTGTCACAAATGCACTGACTCAGAGGCTTTCATCATATCTATTGATTTCATGTAAAAATTTCTTATAAAAACCTGCAGAGAAAGGAGACCCTTTGAATACGCAGGGGTTAATACCGTGGCTTAAGCTAATGTAGTAATTTGTGTATCAGTCTCTTAGGGCCTCCTCAGTGGTGTGTTGTAGTCAAGCGGTTTCATTCTTCAGTTGTCACTGTTTCATTGCCTATTCTCCAGTGTGGAAAAGGGACTTCCTGTGCACCAGGTAACAACTCAGTGACAATCTGAAGTACCTGTCACAATAGCGTGTCATGAGGTAGACCTCTGATGCATGGTAACTTCTTCCCCTCCTCATCAATCAGGGCCTCCGTGGTTCTATTCTGAATGGTTATACCCTATTTCCATTTCTTGTCTACATCTTGCATTAAATTGCTCATTTGTAAAAGCCATTAAGCAGGCAGCAATTTGAACTTTCACAGAATAAAAAACGGCTGTTGCCTATTTGCAAAAACATTTCTCTCTCTTTTTTTTTTTTCTTTTTGAGCCCAGGGTCTCACTCTGTCACCCAGGCTGGAGGACAGTGGTACAATCTTGGCTCACTGCAACCTCTGCCCCCAGGCTCAAGTGATCCTCCCACCTTACCCTCCCAAGTAGCTAGGACTCCAGGTGCAGGCCACTGCACCTGGCTAATCTTTTGTATTTTTGTTGTTGTTGTTGTTTTGTGTTTTGCAGAGACAGGGTTTCCCCATGTTGCCCAGGCTGATCTTGAACTCCCAGGCTCAAGCAATCCACCCACCTCGACCCCCACATTCTTCTCATTCTTAATAGTGGAACAAATAGCAGCATATGTATTGCGTCATTACCATGCTCAGTACAATGTTCTAAGTTCTTTACGTGGATTAACTCTCCATAGTAGCCTCTGATGTAGCTACAAATGCCATTCCAATTTTACAGAGGAGAAAATGAAGGAGGTAAATTTGCCCAAGATCATTCAGGAAGTAATGACAGGATTTAAACCAGGAAGTCCAGCTCCAGAGTCTGCACTCTTCTCCTACTCTAAACTACTACTCACCCTTCAAAACCCTGCTCAGAGGTTACCTCTGTAAAGGAAGAGTTAGTCTCTCCTGCTGTTCTTCCCCAGCACAGTCTAATTGCTTTATTGGGCACTTAGCACATCATAATGTAAAATGTGTTTGTCTATACGACATTTTCTTTTTGTCAGGCTATGAAAAAAATCAAGGGCACAGGCCAAATTTCAATTAACTTTGGATTTATAACAGAAAGTTCAACACCTATCAATTACTTAATAGACATATATTGAGAGAATATATAGAGCTGAGTAATTTTTCTTTCACATTTATTTTTCATTTCAACTCTTATTTTCCTTCAAGCTTTCATAAAAACAAAATTATTTCGCACAGCATTTAAAGGATCACTTGGAGCAATATTAGTACTTTACAAGAAATTTCTTTTTCTTTTAAATGTGTGTGTTGAAACATTGGCTGGATTATTAAATATGACTTATTTTTTTCAAGCAGCAACATAACATCCAAGGATAAGTATGAATTTTTCTTTTTTAAAAAGATTATTTCCAGAAAAACATATTTCTGATTTTATAACATTAGCTAATAGGAAAATAGTATTTGATAGATGAGATTTTCTTTATAGGCAATTCATCAAGAATGCATTTATCCTATAAAACAATGGATACTTGATTTTCACTGCAGAAATATTCATAGCTCTAGAGACACTCAAGCCAGTAACAGGACTGAAAAGATGCGAAAATTCTCATCTCTAATCTGCTCTCTAACCATAGCTAATGCAGTGCTTAAAAATTATGCACACCACAACTGTTAAACATGAATAATTACATTGATTTCTAATAGCTCCTGATTAAAATAATTCATATTATCCAACTATCAATGAATACGGTAACTTCATTACTTTCTTGCCTTTCACTTATTTAAACATGGCTTTGCAAAAAAAAAATACAAAGATCTGTTTTTCTGGAATTACTGAAATAAATGAATCATTATTCTGTATAGAAAGGAGTGTTTCTGTGTCTTTGTTTTTACAAAACAGCATCGGCTTCCAAATTCTACGGCAGTCACTGCAGTGGGCACTTCTAATGTAATAGAACAGCAGCAACAACAAACAAAGATCTAGAGACAAAATCCATATGAAAAACAACCCAATGCAACCCTAAACAATAATGATGAATCAGTAAAGGAAATTAAAGAGCTCGGTGATAGAGAGGCTTGATTTTATTGACAGCACATTGGTGATTTTCTTTTGACTTGAGTATGAACTAATGCTCCCTTCTGTTTTTACTTGAATATGGTCCCAGCTGCAGTCACCCTACTGCTAGAAATGGAAACTTTCTAAAAAATAGAGCTAATCCAATCATTCTCTTTCAATAACTCCCAAGTTCCTATGGAATACAATTATTATCTCTAAAGTTCTTATATCCCAAATGCTCTAACAAAATTGGACTAAGAGTACTTCTATTTATTTACCAAATATTCCCCTTCTCTGGGCCTTTACTGACATTACACTTTCTGTTTGGAATTCCCCAGCCTCACCTTGGCATCTCTACATCTGTATTGTTTATATTTCGTATCTTCTGTATATTACAGTATTTCAGTATTTTTAAAACCTTTCTGGCTGGAGAGAGACTGCCCTTCTTGTTAGAGGCAGCAAAGGGCTCAGCTGCATGCCTTTGATATGCAATCTAATCAATTCACAGCCAGACCTCCTCTAGCTGGCTCATACATTCCAGGAGGCAATATTCCTCTGCCTTCCCAAGGCCAGGTACTAGGCAGATAAGGACCACCTCTATAGCTTACAGCCCCCTGAAATCACTCAAACTAGCAAATCCCAAACTGTTTACCCCAGCCTTGCCTTGCCTTAACCATGGAAACCCCAACAAAAGTGGTAGTGTAGGCTGTCACCTTGCTTCTGCCCCTTGTCTGCCTCCTGACCAAAGCTGGTGCTTTCCTATGTGACCCTGCATGGTGTGGCACGTCTCCTGTTGCTAGGACCTGTGAGTATAATAAACTTTGTTTTCCTAAGCCTCTCCTGTGTCTCCTCACATGGCTGCACCTGACTGATGATCACATAAAGGAACATTGCACAACATCTCATCCATCAAGCCTTCTCTACTTAGCCAAAGCTGGAGGATACCTGTACACATTCTCTGATCTCATGGTTTTGTGGACCCTGAACGGACTGTCCTTTCCAGGGCTAGCCAATTCCTAAAATGGTCAAGGACTCATCTGGGTATGCAAACCCAAGACTCACCTTTTATATGCAAACCAACTCAAAGCGCATAAAGCCAACCTCCTCCTTTACCCTCTGGACCCCCATTCCCCTAGACTAATCTCCCCAGGGCCGGTACCAGACAACTAATAGCAACTCCCATGCTCCAGAGCCTGCTGAAATTATTCAAAGTAGACAACCCTATGCCCATTTATCCTGCCTAGCCAGCCCATCCCTTTCTATGGAAACCACGAAAAGGCTTTCCCCCAGCTTCCCCTCACTCTCTCTGCCTCCTGGAGGATGGCACTTCTCTATGTGGCCCTGTGTGGTATGGCGTGTCCATTCCTCTTGGGAACTGTGAGTAACAAGTGTTCTTTTTCAATGCTGATTGTCTCCTGATTTATTGGCTTCATCATACCTGAATAATAAAATCTACATTTTAAAAACATGTCTTGTTGTTGGTATACTAGCTGCCCCCTGCCAGATTGAAAATGCCAAAGGTGTAAAACTGGGATTTCTGGGTCAAATGGTATTTCTAGTTCTAGATCCCTGAGGAATCGCCACACTGTCTTCCACAATACCAAAGGAATATAAACCATCCTGCTATAAAGACACATGCACACGTATGTTTATTGCGGCACTACTCACAATAGCAAAGACTTGGAACCAACCCAAATGTCCAACAATGATAGACTGGATTAAGAAAATGTGGCACATATACACCATGGAATACTATGCAGCCATAAAAAATGATGAGTTCATGTCCTTTGTAGGGACATGGATGAAGCTGGAAACCATCATTCTTCAGCAAACTATTGCAAGGACAAAAAACCAAACACCGCATGTTCTCACTCATAGGTGGGAATTGAACAATGAGAACACCTGGACACAGGAAGGGGAACATCACACACCGGGGCCTGTTGTGGGGTGGGGGGATGGGGGAGGGATAGCATTAGGAGATATACCTAATGCAAATGACTAGTTAATGGGTGCAGCACACCAACATAGCAAGTGTATACATATGTAACAAACCTGCACATTGTGCACATGTACCCTAGAACTTAAAGTATAATAAAAAACAAATAAATTTAAAAAAGAATGTTCTCAGAAAAAAAACTGGGATTTCTTTGCATTTCATACGATGCTTAAAACTGGTTGCAAATCATTTATTGTTTTATTGTTCTGCAGGCATTCAATCTGTATCTGTTTATCTGCATCAACCTTGTTTATGTTAGATGATAAGCTGATTCTAAGAAGGAAGAGGTTATCTGGCCTACTATGTGTTGAAGGGCAGTAATCATTATCCTCTGCCTCCAATGACAGCTTATTAAGGAAATGCTCATGACCACGTCATAATTGTCATATTAGTATTTGGCTGAGATGATCAAATTGCTACGACTGGTTTAATATTCCTGGAATATTAAATGTTTGGCTGGAGATGATCAAGTTGCCAAGATTGGTTTAATATTCCTGGAAGGATGAAGAAAGGAATTAGAACCCGGCCGGGCATGGTGGCTCATGCCTGTAATCCCAGCACTTTGGGAGGCCGAGGTGGGTGGGTCATGGAGTCAGGAGATCAAGACCATCCCGGCCAACATGGTGAAACCCCATCTCTACTAAAAATACAAAAATTAGCTGGGTGCGTTGGTACGTGCCTGTAATCCCAGCTACTCAGGAAGCCGAGGCAGAAGAATTGCTTGAACCAGGGAGTCGGAGGTTGCAGTGAGCCAAGATCGCGCCACTGCACTCCAGCCTGGCAATTGAGCGAGACTCCGTCTCAAAAAATCAATAAAAAATAAAAAATAGAGAAACTAGAACCAATAGTTGCCCCGGTCTGGTTCAAACTAGGTATTGCGCTAAGTACTTTACAATGAAAATGCCATCACGCGAATTCACCAGGGACCCACAAAGTGGTATGTATCACACATGACACTTTACATTTCCTCTAAATCTTTCAATGGCCCTATGGCTTGTATTATCCTACTTTATAGATAACACTGAGGCTTGCAGAGTTTGAGCAACTTGCTCAAAGCCACATAGTTGTAAGTAATAGAACATAATCCAAAATCAGGTACAATTCCAAAGCCAGGTATAATTCACTTGAACAGAATATCTGAATGGTTACCATTACCAGTAGCACAGTTAACTAATGAATTGTACCAATAGTTTAGTTGCTTAAAGGTTAACATGAAGAAAAAGTTGAAAACATATACTACTATTAGAAAATGGCTTTAGGTTCATACAAATTTTGAGTTATACATATAAATCAACAAGCACAGCAAGGTGGTATGGTCTATATTCAGAGTACAATTGGAGTTTGGGGAAAAAAAACAACTCTACCGGGGAGTTAGGGATGGTTTTATACAAGAATTTCTACCTGATGTGAGTGCAGCCAGGGGAGAGAGGAGTGAAGGGCAATGAGGAAGGGATTGGCTTTCTAGTAAAAGGGGCACCGCACGGCAAGAAGAATGCTGGAATCCAGAAAGAGATGAGAGCAAAAATTAAGGACTCTGAACTCTATTCTACAGGTTCATGTTTCTCAAGCTCATATTGTTAACAGACTTCGTGTGGGAAAAATATGACTGTGGACAAATACTGAATCTTCTTCTAAGAGTCAAAGGGAATATCATGATCGTATAAGCTCTTGTTAGTCCTGTGGTAAAAACAAAACATCAGCATCAATGAAAACATCAAAATGACCTTTTGAACTCTAATGCAGCATTTTGTTTATTTCCTCCCACTATTATCATTGTTTGGAATGCCTCTTGGGAAAAGCTAGTGTAAGTAATGGAAAGCCACTGAAACACAGAGTTGCATCTTAGAATAACCATTCTGGCATCAATGTGAATGATGGGCTGAAAAGAAACATGGCTGGAGATGGTTGAGTTGTAAGTTACGCCATCAGTATCTAGGATGATATGTGGAATGGAGTAGCTTCTAATTGATGCTTATTAATTAGAGTGAAATGTGTTATTTAATACAATTAAGCCACCTGTGTTTACAGATGACAAGAAAGTACCTTTTACAATACAGGACTGTAGGCACCCTGAAATGTTTCAGAGGAAAAGTAGATATGGGAAGGTGGAGCCCATTCATGGATGCTGGGGTGAGCCTTCAAGAAACTCCTGGTTAGCCCACTATTTCCACGTGTCTCTGGAGAAACCTTGAGGAATCACCTTTGGGTTTATTTCTATATCAATACAGCCCCCTTAAGACTTTCTCATCTAGAATTTGAGATCTTCGTATTGCCCTTAAAAACCACACACTACAGGACATTGATAAGAGTCTAGCTGGCCTCAAGCTTTGTGTGGGAAGAGGAGGAACGCCTTCCTCTGTTTACTACATGCTGGGAAGCAGATTCATCTGCCTTATTGGGGAAGGCATATTTCTTCAGCAGAAGTCACTGTACTGGGCTCTTTTCTCCGTATTTCTCATTTAACCCTTGCACCACCACCTTGAGATAAGCAGCACTACTTCCATTTTATGGATAAGAAAACTACCAGGTCATCTTCCTGGTCTCATTTAATTTTCACAGCTATCATTCAAGACATACTTTTTTTTAAATCTCTATTTTTTACAAAACATATGAACAGCATATGGCAGAGCCAGGGTTCAAACCCAGGCTTCTTCCACTTCGAAGCCCAAGGTTTTCCTTGACTGACTCTCTATTTGGTCCACTTTGAACAATAAACACTAGAGAAAGCACATCAACTTAAAGTTTAAAAATCCTTTGTAGATTTTATTTAAAATGAAGCTGCAGTAAGTGATGTTGTCTTCAGGCATTTGAATCTTACTATCCGTATTTTCCTCTTTCCCCTTCCCTCCTTTGCTCCATACCCTCCCTTTCCCCAGTGGATAACTTGGTGAGAAAACGGAGCAAGCAAGGGGACTGGCAAAAACAGCGCTGTTTCTGCACCAGAGTTTCAGAGACAGGTGCACCATGAGCACAGCTGTCACCTTGGTTAGGGGTGCTGTGGCTGCAAAGGTTAAAGGGCATGTGAAACGTAGGCAGGGAAGTCACATTTGGCCAAGAACACCATGCTTAGCACATAGATGTTTCACAAATGTTTACTAAACTGAATTTAATGTTTTTATACTGTGAGAAAAAATTTCCTCTAATTGGGAACAGTGATAGCTCTATACCCTTACACTATGAAATAGGCAACATTCGAGAATCTATCCCAATCATTCAAGATGTATGGTGTAGTCATTTAAAGTGGCTATTTAAAGCACTTCTAAAGTGGCTTTACAAAAAGCGGCTATATATATGGCCTGCTTTAACATTATTAATTCACCCTTCCCTGAAAAAAATTCAATGCTGTAAACTGACATTGAGTCATGACATCTAAACAGACAATACTGCCGTGCAGGAGTAAATATTAAATCACATTATCTGAAATCCTTGTGGGAATGGCCTTGCAATGTCAAGACCATGGAAAAATGATGTGAAATCAAGTTCATAGAAATTTGACTTAGATGTTCAAAATAAAATGAATCTCTCTCATTGGGTGTGTACTGGGAAGAGATTACAGTAGCAAAATGATTACACAAGGATGGCAGGATGTTTCTGTAAAGATAATGGAGGTTGGCCAGGCACAGTGGCTCACGCCTGTAATCCCAGCACTTTGGGAGGCCGAGGCGGGCGGATCACGAGGTCAGGAGATCGAGACCGTCCTGGCTAACATAGTGAAACCCCGTCTCTACTAAAAATACAAAAAAATTAGCCCGGTGTGGTGGTGGGTGCCTGTAGTCCCAGCTACTCGGGAGGCTGAGGCAGGAGAATGGCGTGAAGCCGGGAGGCGGAGCTTGCAGTGAGTCGAGATCGCACCACTGTACCTCCAGCCTGGGCAACAGAACGAGACTCCACCTCAAAAAAAAAAAAAAAAAAAAAGATAATGGAGGTTAGAATGAAATGGATTTCACTCTATTTCAAGGTATGACCACACTGATGTAACCCTTCAGCAAGCATTTTTCAAACTTACTACAAGACGTTCTGGGATGCAAAAATAAAGCAGGGTGGGGTATGTGTGGTCCTTGTCATCCAGGGCCTCCCAGTCAAGGAAGTGATGGCCTTAATAATGCATGAGCAGGTTTTCCTCTCACAAAGAGCACTTGACACTCGCCTGAAAGCATGAGAAGGCGCTCACTGTGGTAGAGTGCAGAGGGGCAAAAGGCGTTCAGGCACAAGTTTGGTGGTGGTTAGAAAAAAACAAATATGTTCCAAGACTGATAAATAGTATGCCGGAGCTCAAGGCAACCTCAGGCAAGTGGCAAGAGACGCAATGGAAGGGCAGGCAGCAGTCAGGTCTGAATGATCTTTTATGACAGACTTCAAATGAGGTGCAAATTGATGAAGAATTGTGTTCCAGGTCTCACAGAGAGCAGATGAGAATCAAGGCCCGATCTAGGCTAACTTTGAAGCCAGGCTTTGTCTTACACAACACCACTCTCAGATCAAAGGGATAAGGCTGGGATGCTGTATTTTGGAAGTAATACTACATCCTAGCTCTCCAATTTGAGTTGCATCAGCTGCTGAAGTTGGGGGAAGGAGGACCTTGATCAAGATCACATCCTGCTCCTTGCTCCTTATTCTATGTGATTTGTATAGCCTGCTCAAAGTCTTCAGTCTGATTCCATTTGAGCCAGGCCCGGCCAATAACTGCAGCTGGTTGGTTCTTGGACTTGGTCACCTTTCAGCAAGGCTCAATCACACCTCCATCTTATGCACATACAAGATGCACTGGGGCACCTGCCATCTTCCTGCTAATGGCAGGCTGCTAAGGATGTTAGCACGCACCTGCAGCTGTCCAGTGGCCCCTAATTTAGTAGTCATAACTGTCACAAGCTAATGCAACCTGACAGAAAATGTGGACTGGGAAGCTCGTCATTACCAAATGACTCACGGCCCAGCACACCCAGTGTCCTCCCAAAACACATGACTAAAGCCCCAGCAGTGCTCTTCCCAAGAGCCTCTTTTTCTCCTTTTTCAGATTCTCCAACATATGGAAAGGATCAGATGAATACCCTGCTTCCTCGCCCTCTGCCCCAGTCCCATAGAAAACAGATGACTGTCTCCACCACTCCCTCAGCCTTCCCAACTCCTATGCCACCACACAGATCCTGAACCGCTATCTCAGGCTACCATTTGCCACCTACTCTGTCACATAACACCTGTAGCAGGCAAGGGCTGGCGAGATGATTCAGTGCCCTTACATTGTTGAGAAACAGAGCCCCAAACCTCTTTCTGCTGGGTATTGTCACTAGCGCCCAGGGAGGGGAAGCACAGAGAATGCATTTAAGGAAAGCCCGTGCCAAGCAAGGCAAGAATATGCTTACTAAGCAGGCACATGGAAGCCCAGGAAAATCAGGGCCTTTCTACCGCCCTTCCCCCACAGTTATTTGGATGGTGTATGACAGTTATGTGTTCTCCACATGCTCTTCCTTATTGTGCAGCTTCACAGTCTAAGGTGCCAAAGCCCTGCCCACACAACGTCCCAAAGAAACCCTGACATCCAGTGGGAACACAGCCATATCTTGGCCTGCCATAGAGCCTAAGCCATTTTAATTTCAGTTCCTTTCAAATTGAAATGAAGGTAGCTAGGTTGAATACTACCGCATGGAGACTTATTTAAAATCTCTAGCATAGTGACTCCAGTGAAATGTAACCACATTGCCAAGTGCACAGGACAATGTGACTCATGGGTGACTTTTGCCCCCAGCTCTGCTATGCCGATGGCCCCCGTGGTACCATGACGACTTTCCACCCATGCGCTGCTTGCTTCTCCATACGTGGAAATGGAGGAACTTGGGGAGATGAGCAATGGACCCTTTGAAGGGAAATGTATTCAGAGGCCAGAAGTGATGCCAAGTGGAAGGAGTGTTACAAGGTCTCTATGGGGCTCTGAGCTTTCCTTGCTTCCCCCAGAGACCACAGCACAGTGCTGACCCATGCTCCACAAGGCTGAGCCAAGAATGGAATATAATGGAAGAGTCCCCTTGGAACAGGATCCTGCCAGCTGCCTGGAAGGCCGCCTGATCCTGTGCTGGAAGAAAAGCCCCTTTTTGAAATGGTAAAGACCTCGAGGTCATTGCTCTAACCCTGGCAGCATATCCCGAGTGGGTCAAGGAGAAAGGGGGTAGAAGGCTCAAATAAGGAAAGGGCCAAACTGGCATTCTTAGGAAAACACTTGCTTGGTCATTAGCCACGATGAGTCATTTCTTATTTTCCACCTCCCTCTTCTACTGCCGCCCACCTTCAGCTCCCACTCCATGTCCCAGTCTCTGTTCTTACGACTTTCCTGTTGCTTTGTTTCACTGAATCTTTCAGAAAGTTGCACTGCTCTAAATCACTTCCTGGAGGCAAAAATATTCACTAAATAGATATAAATTTGAATTTAAAGAATCCCTCTTGTGCTGGGAATCTAAAAAAAAATGATAGCAAAGTGAGGAAGATATGCTCAGAAAACCAGAATGAAATCAGAGTCAATAGCCATTGGAAGAGAAGCAGAAGGAAGATGACATTTGAGAGACGGTTAGGAAGATGTGAACAGGAAGCTCATGTCTTTTAATATTTGAAATAAAGATATGAAAAAAGCCCAATTCTGATATAGGGCAATATTAAAGAGAAAAAACTACATGCCAAAGAGTTTCTCTGCCTAAAAAGACCACAGGAGCACAAAATGAGGGAGAAAACAGACTCCGAACCCCTGCACCAAAGAAGGGGACAGTGCTGACTATCTTCTTCAGGTGCATTAGGAAGCAGAGATGCCCCACAGAAAATTCAGCTGTCAGCCTCACACCTAGTCCTAGATGAACAGAATCCTCAACAACCCTTGAGTGAAGTCATGGTGAGAACACATATCAAGATTTATTTCTGGAAAAGAGCAAAGAATGAAACTAAAGGTGACGCTCCCAAAGGAGATATTGAGCTATACTCTTAGGAAGTGCAGACTTCCTGCTAACTGTGCAAGCATCTGTGCAGAGCCCTTCTCATGCTTGGATGATCTTTCCAGAACACTCATAAAGTGACAGACCATCCAACTGTCTGTCAGAAGTTAGCTCAGCATGCAATTCTGACCGTTCAGCTAGATCCAGCACTGAGTTAGACAGAGTAGAAGCTTGGCTGAACCTTAAAGGAGGCGGTTTCTAAAAAAGAATAGTTGTCTACATACACATCAAATGGTAAAGCAATTAATTCGAGGTTAACCTAACTACCAGAGGATCCATCCTTAATGAAGGTTTGGGATGGATGGGAGAAAACTAAGAGATGTGGGGAGTAGGGATAGTTAAGGAAAAGAACGAGGAAGGTACTAGTAAATTTTATCATATAGATATTAATAACTGCAAGATAATGTTATGTCCAGAATGTCTTCTCTGCATCATTAAAAAAATTTAAACAAATATAGCACTGAAACTCATGCTTTTTACATTTAAATCTTTTTTTTGTTTAACAAATTACCTTTTTATTTAAACAAATGTAGCTCTGAAACTCATGCCTCCATGTTACTATTGCTTTAAAGGAGTGAAGAATATAACTTGGAATTTATCAAAGACAACTCAGAATGCATTAAACAACAACAATAGTTTCCGTTAGCCTTTGAGCAACACTGTCCATTCCTATGCTCCTTGCACTTTCCAGGACTTTCCACACTCTCCTTTTGCTCAAGACTTCAACCTTCATCCAAGGTACATATTCCTCCATGAACTCAATTCAAAAGATAAAAGAAGAAAGTGTTTATCTATCTTAGGGCAAATTTCCAATTTCACTTTGTTCCAGCCTACTTTCTTTTCCAGTTATAGTTCTGCCTGGAGGTTTCTGAGTTTTCACTTTTAGAACAGGGTCAAAGTCCACTTTATCACACCTTACCTTTGATGCCCGGAAAGAGAAAGCTGTGGACTTGGTGTCTGACTTTGCCCGGTCTTGCAGTATAAGGCCTTGGTCTTCTGTCAAGGCCAGGTAGTGGCCTGTGGTGAGATGCCGGAGTCGGAAAGCCTGGCCCCATCTGATGTTACTGCCACTCCAGCTGGGCAGATGAAACAGACAAGAAATTGCATTTATACAAAAATAAGTCCTTTTCAGTATTTATCCTATGCTTTCTTACACATGCTAGCAGACTTATAACCCTTCTGGTGTCCATCCTTAAGGGAAAACGCACCAGGCTGCTGGCTTGCTGTAGGATTTCATGTCTGCCTACAACCCAGCATAGTGCTCTTTCTTGATGACATCAACAAGGAATGATCTTGAAGGCAGGTCAGTGGCTTCATACAACTGGAAGTCCCAGGTTTCCAATTTTTCCTTTACTCCACTGAAAGTTCTTGATGCAAATAACCACAAATCAATGGGAAGCTTGTCTTTGAATGGAAACTTGTTTCTGGGAAAGCCTTTCCAAACCTGCCATCTGAACTAAAACGTATTACTACCACAAAGAGTCCTATCTTCAAGGGAAATAGTAAAAATACCTGCACAGCTTACACTTGCCAGACAAAGAGAGACAACAAACAAGCATAATAAGTCAACAATGAATTATGTTAAAAGGATAAATTCTATGGAAAATAAGTAAAGCAGGATAAAAGGATTAAGACAAGTGAGAACTCATATTGAATACTGTCCTCTTCATGGTCCTTCATCAAAAGATCAGCACTCAGCAAAAGTTATGGTAAGTGTTATGGGAGAAATTATCCACTGAATAATCTAACTCAAAATTTATCTTTTTAAAATATTTGCTCATATGCAAAATACTTATCTCTTAAGAATATAAGGTTTAAGAGAGATGTGTGAAATTTTGAAACCACTCTCCACTTTGTCCAACTTTTTGAAGCATCAATAAATCCAAATCGCATTGATAAAAGGCTTGAATTCTTCATGTTTAGGTCTCTGGGGAAATGAGCAAGCAATCATAACCAGAAGTACGCATACATACTTATTTTGACCTCTTAAAAAGTCCATTAAGCAAGAACTAAGGCCTAATGTCCTGAGAACAAGAGTATGTTACTCTCAGATTTTTAATGGGTTTGGAAAGAGGATATAAATGACTCAAGCCAGTTAGTAAGTGCACGCTCCTTAAAACCGGTGTTCCTTAAACCATCAGCCGCCAATTTATCAGAAAAAAAAAACGTGTGCATATGTGTGTATGGTGTAAGAGAATTCCTAACATTCCCTTCTGATTGCCAATGGATTATCTTCAGGAGCCCTTGGGGGGCATATACCCTGCGTGAGAGAGACTTATTTTGAACATATTTTCGGGGGGAGACTGAGCAGAAAGAACTAGAGGGAAAGGCAGAGAAGGAAAATCAGAGGGCGATGCTTAACCCTCCTCTCTCATTCCAAGCAGTTTAGCTCTAGCCTAACTTGCAAATCCTCTCAGCCCAGTAAAGGTCCTGCATTGAAAGTGATCCCCCTTCAGTAGTTTGAAGTTAACCGACCACCTGAGGTTATTCAAAGCTTGTGGCTGGAAAGTCTCAGCCTCCTGTTCCTTCCACCAAGGGACAAAACTGTCTCTGAAAAGTTCTAGTAAGTACCTTTTTCTTCACACCTACATTTCCAGTGAAGTTTACATCTTCCTTATCTTATGCAATCGCGACCACCTGTCTGTGTGCCATTTAAAGCTAACTGTCCACTGGAGCCAACAAAGCTACTGAGAGGAGACGGAAGACTTATCTGGGTTCCAGAGAACCTGTTTAAGAAAACAAATGGGAGAACTTGGATGGCTTTCAGTGGCCTTGTCTGAGCTTTCCTTTTATAGTCAGCTACTGCAAGGGCAGAAAAGCCTGCCAGCCTCAGAGTCAACACAGTGGCTTTGGAGATTGTGTGTGTGTGTGTTCTTTAAAAACAAAGTCACAGAAATATCAGAACTTAGCTCTAGACAAAGGACTTGAAGGAGTTTGCCAGATGATGTGGAATGAATGAAATATTTAAGAGAACGGCCTGTACTGAAAAAGAAAGTAATCTTGAAAAGGGCATTCCCAGGCCTTCCATTACCTTATCCGAAGGGGTTCCACTCTCCAAAGAGACCTGGCTCGAGTCCCAGCTCCCCCAGCTTCGTAGAATATCCTCCTGTGAGCAGAGTTGGAGATCAGCTCCTACTTGCATGACACTGATCAGCACCCGGGTGAAGAACAGCTCCCTGCAGAGGCTGTTCAGGTACTGAGCTTGTCTAAGCCCTTTTGGAGTCAGCAGAATGCAAAGCCAGAATAAGAGGGAAGACAGTTTCCCAGTCTCTCTCTCTCAGAAAGGGTCAAAGCAGCTAGAGGGGAGGGAACTGCTCACCATATCCATATCATGGGCATTTATGCATCATCAGGTATACAAGGGAAAGGCAGGAACAAGAACATCTCCATTTCTATATCAGGAGTCACAATAGCCCAGTTACACAATGACGGCAGACACAGAATGCTCCAGTTCCTTCAGGTCAAGCTCCCTGATGTAGTTTTATTATATCTTTAAAAAATGTATTTGTACTTTAAAAACACCTATTCGACATAGTGTGAACTCATTTCCATCATTCCAGGGCAGTTGGAACAAAGCTTTATGCTCAGTTGTTACACTGTTCATGATTTTATTACTGTACTGTTGCTTCCTTTCCCGTGTTAAGAATCATCTTTTAATGTGTTTTGAAATAAAATTTTTATTTTAGAAAAATGTTAGGTTTATCAAACAGTTACTAAAGATAGTCCAGAGAGTTCCTGTATGATCTCACTCAGCTTCTCCCAATGTTATCATCCTATATTACCAGGGTACGTTTGTCAAAACTGAGAAACCAACACGAGTATGTCATTACTAGCTAAACTCAAGACTTTATTTGAATTTCACCTTAATTTTTCCTGCAAACTTTTTTCCAGTTCCAGGATATAATCCAGGATACCACACTGCGTTCAGCTGCCATGTCTCCCGTTTCCTCTGATCTGCTATGCTTTCTCCGTCTTGCCTTGTTTCTCATGACTTTGACAGTTTTGTGGAGTACCGGTTGGGTATTTTGTGAAATGTGTCTCAACTTGGATTTGTCTGATGTTTTTCCAGTGATTAACAAAGCCTCAGTTTTTAAAGTTTTATTTTAAATAAATTCTGTATAACCTGTGATCGGGGCAGGTTGCTCCACATTATACAAAATTCACAGTTTAAGAGCATGTCTCAAGAACAGCAGTCCCCAGATTACCTGGTATACTGAATCCAGCCACTTTCTGAGAATCTTGTGACCTCTGATCAAAACTGATTATTTAACTGCATTTACATTCACTAACTTAAAATCCTACCTCCACCGTAGAGAATTTGTATGGATCACAATTGAAGTGGTCAAACCCAAGAGGAATCCTGATTTAGATGTTAGAGACAAGAGTTAGTCAATAGTGGTGAAAAGAAAATGTATACTTATTTTTTTTTTCTGGAGAAGTAGTATAATTATGAGTCGATTCAAAATATGAGCTTGGAAGTTAAGACAGACCTGGGTTTGAATCTGGTAGCTGTGTGATCTCGGGCAAGCCCCTTCAACTCTCTGTGTCTCAGTTTGCTTTCTAATAAGGGTACTTATAAAACAATGTTGTGAAAATTTAAAGGACTTTTTAAAATGTTTAGAAAGTGTTTTTTATAAATGTTTATAAACATGCATAGAGGAACACATTAATCATACAGCAATCAATGAAACATTACATCAACAATGGTTACCTCTGGAAGGTGGGATTACAGAGGCTATTTCTCAATCTTTCTCTAATGTACATGTTATCGGGAAATGCCCAATAAATATTAGGAAGAAAATCTGACGTTGCTTTAGAGTTCCTACACCCCAGGTGTCTCTGTACCAGGCCTAGAACGGAAATGATACTGCACCAACCTGCTAGCCACTTAGGAAAATTTGCTAAGATTCTCATTTATGCTCCTCTTTCTCTAGTGCAAGCTGAAAGGATCCCTTCAGGAGAAGAGGGTGAAGTGGCTCACCCAGGTCACAGGTGAAACAGCGCTGGAGCTGGAACTAGAAGATTCTCTACCCCTGACATCTGAAGGATTTGTGAAGGTTTGTTCTTCCCACCTGTGACATTTGGGCGGCTTGCTCCATTTAATCTCACAAGGTTACTGAGGTTGAAACAACTTGTTCTTGTTCTCTAAAACAATTCCAAGGAGAGGAGTATAGTGGGCGGCAAGCTGAGGTGCTTTTGAAAGCTTGGCTGACAGCTTAGCCTTAGCTTCAATAGGTTAAGTAACTTATCCCAGGGTGTTTGACAAGCCAGAGGCAAAGCCAAGGATCAGAGCTCAAAATGTTAGACTGTTAATCTTGGGTTTCCACTCTGGGTCAGACAGTCTTTCCACATAGCCTGGCTGCTCTCAGGATTTACAGGGACTGAAAACGATTTCTTCTGGAGAGTCAGCACCATTGCAATGGAACACCTGCATGCCTTAGTGGCTGCTGGAGTCTTTTAGTGTGCTGTTTCCTATTCTATCATGCTCCCCAGATTTTGGTGCTCCTGGCCATGCTGGACATTTCTGAGGGTTTACCTGACAATAGAAGACAAAGACAAGGCTTATCACTCACTTCACCTAGACATCAAATAACACCAAGGCATCCTGTTTTGATTGAGACTAGTTGACACAAAGATTCAAGTTCCAGTGTGCTGAATAGCTGCTCACTTACCCCAGTCTCAAACCCTTCACGCTTCCTTATAAAATAAGCCTTCTTATTTTGTTTGATGATTTTTTTTTCCAAAACACAAATTAGAGCCTATGAAATCCTGGGCTAAAGAAAGGTCACCTTCATGTTTATTTAAATGATGGCATGCATGTCTGCTCCAGTGTGCCTATTGTGAAAATCCCCCTCCATCTACTTCACTCTTCCCATCACCTCCTTTCAAACACTTGCTGAGCCTTTCCTTGTAAGCAGAATTTTGCTGAATCACTTGAACAAAATGCCCACCAAATGACTAACCTAAGTAGCAGTTTCTGTCCAGCTGTTTCTAATTTGGCTCTAATTTTGATGACAGGTGTGTGCATGTGGGTGGGGGCATGCCCATGGTAAATACTTCATTTTTTCCAGTTCCCATCCTTAAAAGTAGAACAGGAATAGAGAGAATGAACTAGGAAAACCCTGATGTATTCCATCTTAGATACAGACAACCCTGCAAAACTCATAAAATCTTAGTTATTCATCTACCTGCAAACCTTCCCCTTGATGCAGCAGGATATGATATCAAAGGGACAGTAAATGGGCTATTGTATAGTTTCAATATTGAATAAAAGGCAAATCACAAGTGAACAGGATCACACGACAGGGTAGAGAATCCTTACTTCTAAGGAAAATAAGGTCGACCTAACTTCCTAATCGAGATAACTATCAACCGCCGGACCAGTGCCAGGGAGGCAACAAGTGAATTAAGCACAGCACTTTACATAGGTCTGTGCTTTATGTGTCCTAGGCACCCTTCTGGGTCACATCTGGTTCCTATGAAAGGGTATTCAGAGTAGATAGCAAGTAGGAAGAGACTCAGAACTATAAGGGATACACATTGCCAATGGGTGCTTTCTAAGGTGCATAATAATACATTCAAGCACATTGCTTCTGCGGGGGTCCTTGAGTACATCAATTAGGAAATGGTCCCTGATGGAGAGTCAGCAGCTCTGGCTTCTAGGCTTGCATCTGAAATCAGCCAGTGTGTGACCTGTGGCAGGAGCCTGACCTACATATTCTCCAAGATGTGAAGACTTGTGAGCCCACGTTTCTAATGAAGCAAAAGAAATGCAGTTGACAAGGTTCCTGTAGGCATTACACAAAAGGAAAAGAAAACATGATCACCGGATCAGACTCACTGCTGTCCCAAATTCA
Organism: Homo sapiens; assembly: GCF_000001405.40. NCBI lineage: Eukaryota > Metazoa > Chordata > Mammalia > Primates > Hominidae > Homo > Homo sapiens. Next base: position 33,544,378 of record NC_000015.10, on the reverse strand, counting down.
ATCTAGTTTGGATCTGAGGTTTGATTTTTTTTTTAAATATCAGATTTCTATAGTTACAAGGCCAAGCTTTTTATGTTCTGTTCCTTTGATGATAGAATACCCAAAAAAAACTCTTTAGTATGCGTTTAAGACTTGGATTCATATCCTCCATGTCATGGTTTTGAAACTTTGAAAAGCATTCATGAAGGGGTCAAGTATAAGGACAAGAACACATCGTCCTTGGCACAGCGCCCTCTAAATGCACCCTTGGCACTACCCCCTGCTAAATCCAGCTCCAGCTGGACATCAGTTTCTCTAATGCTATTTAGTCATAAAACCAAATCAATGAAGTCCACCTTATTTACTTAGCACATGAAATGGAAATAGAGATGATCTGTCTTTGAAGAGCCTGGTGAATAATTTGTTTAAGTGCAGAGCCAAAGAAAATGAAGGGATCTGGAAGCATTACAGAACTGCCTAAGAACAGCATGTGTACAGAGCTCCTCCTGTAAGCAAGCTGAACTGCCATTCCTGTTTTACAAACCGGAACCCATGGCTGGAGGAAGGTTTGTCAATGGACTGACATGTACAGAGTTCATATATGGCTAAATACAATGTAAACTCTTTAGTTTGAGTCATTTGAGACTGGAAACAGCTAGTGGAAGAATGCAGCTACTGACTTACCTGTGCTGGGAATCATTCTGGTCTGTAGATGGTATCGTCAAACATTCATCATGACCATGGAAAAGACGTACTACATGCCCACCAAGTAGGTATCCTGTAAGAGAATTATATTCTACTGTGAATGATGGGAAGTTTAATGAAGAGAATGGCATATTTAAAAAGGGTAAATTCACACAGGTCTGAGCCAGTTACGGTAAATACTGAGAGAGACACATTTTGATAACTACATATTCCATGAATGCAGGCCTCAGGCAGAAAAGACAGGAAAGTCAAAACAATTCTAATGTTGAAAGTTAAATAGGGCTTCAGAGGTGAGCAAGTCCAACATCAAAAGGTAAGGTGAAAATAGTGTGCCAATTGATATCATTAAAAATCAAAAGGAAAATTAAGTTGCTAATGTTAGGAGTGTCCAGTTGCTTAGGATGTAAGTACACCCAATAACAAATTTCTGGATAAATATCCACAATCTCACTGTGTACACTTTGTAAAAAAAATCCAAATCAGATTGCAGTCATGGGAAAGAAAGGTGCTGAGAAGGGGGTAGCAGACCATTCTTAAGACCCTTTAGGAGAAGGCAACATTCAAATACATTTAACAAACAGATCAAATCTGGTTGCTACTCCTACAGCACAAAGGGAAAGCAGAACTACTCTCCAGCATCCCTGAGTGAACAAGTGTAGACGCTTTCATCAACAAACACTTAGCCTTCAGAATAAGGAAAAGAATCTCAATAGTCATGGAGTTCAGAGATGGAAAGGAAACAATGAACTTCAAAGACATGATGACCCATTTGTCTTCAAATAAATGCTGAACCTTAATTCAAAGAACATAGTAGCAGGAGAGGGGCTCCAGTCCGAGCTTTACCTTGCTCCAAGAAATGGGATTTGTTATTCCTCTGAATTAAGAAATTCTCCAGGTTAGTCTGTTCTCAGGAGACATATGAACTTAATATACCCAATGTCTGTGTCAGAATTTTTAAAGGAAAAAAAATCACATAATTAGATCACTTTAGGGGCTGTCTTAAAACTATTTTGGGTGCTGGATTAAAACAGTAAGAATGAGCAATCATGCCAGAGGAGAAAAGGGTATTATTAGTGAATTTTGTACAGTGACAGTCTGTTATGAGTTCAGTTTTTTTACCTAGACAAGGCAAGTTTTTCTAAAATTCCCTCAAATATTCAGAAGTCTCCTTCCAATTTTCCTGTATCTTTTTGTACTGCTAATCTGAGTTATAACCTCCTTTGCATTAAAAATGATTCATGATATATTATAGGGGATTCTTAACAGCTAATTTATTTAGAAAATTAAAGCCCTCCATGACCAACCTCTTGATTAAGCTCTCGTTCATCTCATGATGGAGAGGCCATGCCCTATTTGGAGTTTATCCTTTATGGTTTTTGGGCTCCTTCCATCAATATCCTACTCACACAGAGAACACTGCCAAGTGCTGGTGCATCATGACTTTTCTTAACTGAAATCTATCAGGGCCATAGTCAGGAAAGCAGCATCATGATGAAGATCACTTACGTTCTTAAGGGCTGAAGTGGGTTTCTCACCAGTGGATGCTGGAAGGACATTTTTCTACAGAGCAAGATGACTCAAGTGATGAGTTATCCAGACTATATTACAACGGCACTCAACACTTCTATAAGGACCTTTTGACATGATTTGCAAACACTCCTTAATTAATTTCCACAAGCCCTCTGTTGGGACCAGGAAATAATTTTATTCCTATGGTGAAAATAAAAAATTTAACATGGAGAAGATTGAGCCAAAACTTTCTTGAGAAAGACTTAAACCCAGAGCTTCTTGATTCTTAATAGAAAGGGATTGACTGACAATAGACCCAGGAGGGTGGGTTAATTTTGGCACAAAGGAAGAGGGCTAAACACATCCTACCTTTTAAAGCCTTCCACTTGTTGCCAAAAGAGTTAAGAATTTGTCTTTTCCTGAGTCTTCAGTTTAGCTATCATGCATTCTGAAACTGGGGTATCACCTTGACAACTCTGTTTTCCTTCTTTTTTCAAACATGATAGAATAGACCGGCATTCCCAGTTTGAAAGTACTAGACTTTAATAGGGCTAAAGCCTGTGATGAGTATTTTTAAAAATTCTGATCTTGCTATAATGTGCCAAAATGTAACACAATAGCCCATAGGTCACTGACATTTGATTATTCTTCTCAGCTGTGGTATTACCTATGAGTGAGGTAAGGCCAGTACATTTATTACACAACTTGAAAGGTGTATTGATTTTTACCTGATTCTATGAAATAAAATACATTGAACAACGTTGGATGACTTTATTTCCAAGGGAAAAATAATTTCACCTCTTATGTTAAAATGGCCTTCCATAAATACAAGTGAAAACAAATGACCAAACACTTTTATAATAGAGTAAGTGCTTCGCCTGCATGGAGAGATGCATAAGGAGAAATATAAACCATGTCACCTTCTTGGCAAATAATCTCTTCTAAAACTGAAGGTGCTGAGGTCTTTATACTTACAACTAGTAAGCAAAAATAAAATTGTGGAAACTCAGGGAGAGAGCAAAGGTGCATATCCAAGTCCTGAATACACGTAGTGCTAAAACAATAGTGGGCTCCAAGGGGTTAAAAAAAAAAGTTCAGGGATGCTCATGTAACTGGAAGTTAGAATAGAAAATAATCTGTACTGAATTCAGAGAAAGAAACTCAAGTGAGCTAAAATCAGGCTACCTGTGTACCAAGACATTCAGGTGAGATCTGGGAAGTAGCAGAAAATGTCAATGTATACAGCTCAAGAGAGATAGGCAGGCTCAGGGCTAAATGCATTTAAAGAAGCACACCTTCTTCGATGCTACTTCCTGAGCACGTAGGATGTACATTCCAGAGTGTTTGCATAAAGGAGGCATCCACTTGTATGTTACCATTTGATACTGAGAGATGCTGCAGCAGAAACAGAAATGAGACATCTTTTAAATCACCAGTCCAGTGCCGACAGAAACAGCTCACCTAGAACTTCAAGGATTAAATTAAACAGCCTTACTGTCATCTGGTTCTTTCTATACAGCCTGTGGGAGATTTCTCCACCTGATCTAGAAGCAGCTTCAAAGTGGGACACTTTATTCTGGGGTGAGGAATTATTCAGCTACAGAGATGGCAGACATGTGTTGACTTCATCCCCTCAGCTGGAGCTGATTCAACACCAACTCATAAAATGTCCATTCTTTGTAGGATAAGATAACTCACAAATGGGAAAAATTACCCAACACTTGGCCTAGGCAAAGTAAAATCTGCCCACAGATTTTACTTCAGTTGACTCCGTGAGAAGCTTCTCTGACGTTTCTCTCATCTTCAGGCATCCCCACCCCCAGACAAGTGCCTGACACAAATGGTGCTTTTTATTACCCAACCCCAGCTGCAAAATCTCACTGGCAACTTCCACTCTCTGTGATACCCCATGTCCTGAAACATTGTACATTTTCTTTCTTTCTCCAACATAAACTTATTTTCCTATATTCGATCCTTTCTTGTTCTTCCCTAAACAAGAGCTAAACAACGTAATAAATTCAGAATAATGGGAGTTAATGTGCATATAGCGCTTGGGGCATTTTAACAGTTTGCTGGATGCAGCACCATCATCTAAAAGAATAACAGGTTAGTTCCGGACACCATGATCACGTGGCAGCAGACAGTATTTAATCATCCCTCGAGTGCAGTTGACTATTGAACAACACGGGTTTGAACTGCACAGGTCTGCATATACATGGATTTTCTTCCACCTCTACTCCCCCTGAGACAGCAAGATCAACCCCTCCTTCTCCTTCTCTTCCTCCTGTTCAACGTGAAGATGACAAGGATGAAGATCTTTAGGATGATCTACTTCTACTTAATAGACAGTATATATACTTTCTCTTCCTTATGATTTCCTTAACATTTTTTCTGTCTTCCTTTATTGTAAGAATGCAATATATAATACATATATCATATAAAATATGCTTTAACAGGCTATTCACATTATCAGTAAGGTTTCCCATCAAAAGTAGGCTACTTCTTATCAAAAGTTAAGTTTTTAGGAGTCGAAAGTTACACTTTAATTTTTTATTGTGCCAGGGGGTCAGCATCCCTAACCCCTACATTGTTTAAGGGTCAACTCTATATATGTAAAAGCATCTTATTCTATCCAACCTGCTGTGGCTCAGTTCTTCATGGCCATCTATTCCTAAAGGAAAAATTTCTGAAAACAGAAGACTCTTATATTATGAGGTACTTACAAGGTATCTTTCAGAGGACACGCTGACGAGGATGAGGTCATCGCCAATTCGAACTTTCTCTCCTTCGGACCTCTGTTTGGAAGCAGGATGTATAGTCCACCAACAGGCTTCTCCTACATGAAGGCTCCTTGAGTTAGTCATTGCTTCACAGAAGCCAGTGTCCCTAATTTTGCTCCTTGTTCTCCTTCCTCTTAGGACAACCCTTCACGTGCACACAACAAGTGCACATTCCAGACCTCAACTTCTGTTGGTCTCTAACCGTTCCAGACAGCCCCCCATCTGCTCTTGACTATGTCTGTCATTTTCATTTTCCCTAGAGACAGAAAAACAGTGTATGGAAAGGAGTATTGGAGGCCGGAAACTATAGCGGCCTTTGAGTATTTTTAATGCAAATAGGAAAAATGCTTTTTATAGTCTTTCAAATTTCTGTTTTGAGAATTGACTCCAATCAAGACCACCAAGAATAAATAAATAAATAAGAATCTATGTCATTGGTCTACTGCACACTTACACACTTTCATCTTTGTCTCCCCCTGTCCTAAGGGAAGCTTTTTTAAAGGCTTACATCTGCAAGGACTCAGACAATAAGTGAGAAATTGATAGCAAAGAAGATAAATTGACATTTTGGAAAAAGGAAAGCAGGTGGAAGCTTTTAGCCAATAAAAAGTGAAAACCCAGGTCTTTCAGTAAGAAAATGGAGATGAAGAAACCATCAATAAAAAGCCAATTCCTGCTGCAGAATCTCAAGAAAGTCCCTGGACTTGGAAGCACCAGCTACCTGCGAAGGCAGAAAATGGGTTGAAAACGGGACTGGTGGAAAGGTTGAAAAGGACATTCAAATCCCTGATGCCTTTCCCTGCCCTGAACAGCCAGAAGACCTCTCCTCCTCCACGCTATAGAAGATTAGAAGTTTAATCCATGGAAAAGCCAACTACCAAGGGTGGTCTGGTTTTGGAAATACCAGACATTGTCAAACAAAGAAGTAGAGTCTTGCTGAAAACAGAATTCAAACTTTATACCCTGATTAGTAAAACCCCAGCTCCTTTCCCTCCCTCCCTCCACCCAAATTTGAGGATCACTCTTTAGGGAAGCCAAACTAGCTAAGATAAAACATACTGTGGCTTTAGGTCACCAGTGAAATGCTCAGGTCTCTGCCAGATGACCTAAAAGTGAGGCTTAACAGACAACAAGCCTCAGCCAGCTTCTAGTCAGCTTTTACTGCCTTGATGAGAACATGAATGAAGACCAAGGACCACCTGACAACCGAGGAAGGTCTCTAACAGGAACCACAGAAACAAAGTGAAAAGAGAAGAGACTTGGAGAAAGCAAAGATTATAAAGAACAAATGAAAACTTAAAAAATCTTATAATTAATAATCTCAGAGGACATTCATGAAACAGCTATATTAGTATCTATGAAGGATCCCTTCCAAGGAAAAGAAAAATACTCACTGATCCTGGAAAAAAAAAGAAAAGAAAAGAAAAGAAAAAGGTGGTGGGATAAAGCTGAAAAATTCTTCCAGAAGGAAGGAAGACAAAAAACAGAATTATCAAAAAACCAACCTAGAGGAATTCCAGAGAGCAAGAACTGAAAAAGAGAGAGGAAATTAACAAAGAAATACTATTAAAGTTTTTTCAAAGCTGAAAAATGAGCATTTCCAGATTGAAAGAACCTACAGAGTCCCTAACACAGTAGAGATTAGAAACCCACTCTAAGGTGCATTCCAGTGAGATGTCAGAACAGAAAGAGGCCACGCCAAGACACATCGCTGTGGAATTTCAGACACCAAGGCACAAGAGACGCTCTTAGCTGCTTTCAGAAAATAAAAGCAAGTCACACACAAAGGATAAGAAATCAGAATGTAGACTTCTCAACAGTCAGACCACTGGCTAGTAGAAAGCCTTCAGGAAGCTGAGGAAAAAAAATTTCCAATATAGAATTACAGTAAAGTGTGTATGACTTGTGAAGCTGTAATTAGGAAATTTTCAGACAAAAATTTAATCCACATGCATCTTTTCTGTAAAAGTTACTAGATAATGTGTTCCACCACAGTGAGGTGGTAAACCAAGAAGGCAAAAAACAAACAAACAAACTAAAAAACCAGAAAACAAAAACCAACCCTGTCAGATCTAATAAACATGGAATCTAGGGCAAGGCAACAGAAATTCCCTAGATGATGGCTGATGTTTCTAAGAAGATGAAACTGAGAGAACAGATCATGCAAGCGAATCTAACCAGATTTTCACTTCTATAGGAAAGTTTGAAAATGAATACATGATTGGGTCACAAAAAAACTAAGCAAACAAATAAGGCAGTTATTAACTATTGGAAAACTCTAAAGTAATACAATAAATTACCTGGTCAGAATATATTATGTGGCTCATTTGCAAATAAAAGTTACAGTTATAGCAGTGAAAGTAGTTAATATTGATTTGATAGTTAAATAAAATAGATGAAAATCTATTGGAAGGATGGGAAGAGTGGAAGAAAAGACAGGGAAGAGTGAAATAAAAGCAAAATTTTTATCAGGACATCCACAGTTAATGCATAATCTAGAAAGAATTTTAAAAAGCATTGTTTTAATATGTATATTATAAACAAGTGGTAAACAATACTAAAAGAGCTGAAAGTAGATGCCCCAGAGAGGCAAGCATCCAAAGGAGGGAGGGCAGGAGACTGGTGTTTATAATAAGCTCAGGAGCACTATTTCTCTCTTTAATCTATGTGTGAGTACTACTTCAATTAAACTAAACATGACATGACAAAGAGGTTGAGCTCTACATTTGAAGGGGAAAATGTTGTATGCATCTTTAATGTTCTCTGAGACCACCGAAGGGTGTCCATGATGAAGGGGGTCCTGAAGAGGAACACACAGAAAGAGTACTTTGCTTCCCTGCCCTCTCCCACACTCTGGAGCCAGGGATGGAGCTGTCCCTGAAGCAGTGGGATGGGCCAGTCCAAAGCCGTAAAATACAAAATAACACTTTTAGTGTGGGTATGCTTTAAACATTTCTTTCCTCCTAAGTCTAAATTCTAAAGCTATATCTAAATCCTAAAAACAAAACAATTAAACAACTTTAAAAGGAGACCAGAATAAGTAATTTTACCCAAAATCAAGGATAAAATGATCATCAATTCTGTGTTAAGTGTGAGAATGTACAATTCAATGTGTTGGGGAAAAATGCTAGAATTGTTCAAGAAACTGCCCCCAAACTTTCTCCTCATATTCTCCTATAGTTTCAACTCCACTACTGGGCAGTTTACTTGTTTACAACTCTGAAGGGGTTTCTGAGCCAGAAGTGCATTCAGAGAACTAGCCAGACAGGAACAGGGGACCCTTCTGTTGGATTCCGTGTGAACCTCCTCCTGCAGTGAGGAGAATCTCCAGGTAATGCTGAACCTCATCTGAGTTGGAGGTGCATCCTCCTTGTCCCTCACAAACGCCAGCTAGCTTTCTTCAAGGAGAATATCACATGAGTTTGGGTGAGAGATGCAAAACAAACGTAAGTTAGTTTAGGCTCTAGGTTTTCATGAAGACCTAGTCAAGCCTTCTCTCCCTGTCTTCCGCCACAGGTAGCTTCTCAACAGCCAGCTTGAATATGGGTTAGTTCTATGTGTTTGCCTTGTCTGTCAACAGAATTCACACCTAGTCTGATGTGTGAATTTCATCAGTTTAAAAACTGATGAAAAGAGTAATGTTGCCGCTGTTGTTTCCCTTTATTTTTATTTAAGGCTCTAACAATTAAAATAATTCTCTGAACACTTGACTAAAAAGCGGTGTTTCTCAATTTCTTTCCAATCTCAAAAAGTATCAAGTTATTTTACTGATATAAATACAGTGACCATATTTGACTTTTCTGATCATATTCTTCAGGATTGACAGTTGGTCTATATTTAGAAAGAAGTGTATATTCAGAGTGTGGCACTTCACTCACTTTGTAATTTCCAGCAAGGTCGACAACACCTTAGAGGAAATTATATTTTAAGACTAACACTTTGGCTGAAAACAAAGAAACTTTAAATCAAATTCAAATCTAATATTATTTTAGGAAAAAAGCCATAATGGGCAAAGGCGGGGCCACTTTTTTGCTTGGTACAAAAACAGGAAGAGGAAGAAAAGAGCAAGAGGTTCCCTCAGGCACTCTCAGGACACCATTGTGCAAGACATGGAAACAGCAAGTACACACGGTTTGGATGCTGGATTTTTTTTTCTAGATCTATAAAATTAGGCAACCTGGATCCTTCCATTATGAACTGACCTAGCTTTAGAATAACAACATAGGCTCTTGTCTTTCTTTGGCTACCCAACATTGGAACCCTCTTCCTATTTAAGGGAGAATGTCATATTACAGACTGTATTCAAATTAGACTTTTCCTGCAGTGTGCCCTAACCTGTTTTCTCTTCCTTGGTCTCTGTTCCTACCCAATTTTCAAGCCTGAGGCTCCAGATTTAGTGAAGGCTCTACCAAACATCCTTCTAGTAAATTCTTATTCTTACTGAGTTAACCTGAATCAAGTTCTCTTGTTTGCAACAAAGAATCCTGTTTGGTACCTAGCCCAACCTCTAAATGGAGCAGAAATTCCACATGTAATGCCCTTGACGGATGGTCAGATTGTTCATGAATATTTTTAGCCACAGGGAGCACCCGATATCCCAAGGCCGGCTGTTCTCCTGCTCATTAATTGCTGATGTTCCGAAGTAGTTTTCAAAATTGATGTGAAATGTGCCTCCTTTCAACTCCTACCCACTGCTCTGTTGGTCTTTGGAAGAACCCCAGCAAGTCAGCATCTTGTTTGATATTACAACTTTGAATATCTGTAGATTATTATCTTAGTCCTCGGTTCTTTATTTTTGGTTTCCAGTGAGAACCTGTGCCATCCTGGTCAGCATTTTCAGCACCCACCTTTTAACTGTCAATATTTTTGACTATACTAAAAAAAAAATAATAATAATCCATTGGTTCCCAAAGTATATGATGTATATCATTGGTGGGAGGCAATTAAATGACACTGACAAATACAGTGAGAAATTTATTTTCAGTTTTACTACTTTTTTCTTTCGAGACGAAGTCTCGCTCTTCTCCCCCAGGCTGGGGTGCAATGGTGCGATCTCGGCTCACTGCAACCCCTGCCTCCTGGGTTCAAGCGATTCTCCCACCTCAGCCTCCTGAGTAGCTGGGATTACAGGCGCCTGCCACCACACCCAGCTAATTTTTGTACTTTTAATAGAGTCGGGGTTTCACCATGTCGGCCAAGCTAGTCTCAAACTCCTTACATCAGGTCATCCGCCAGCCTCGGCCTCCCAAAGTGCTGGGATTACAGGCATGAGCCACCGTGCCCGGCCCATTTTTACTACCCTTTTAAACCTTCTGATGCTTTCAAATAAAGTTTTACATTTGGAACTAGTGTATCATTAACATGTTATAATATTTGTCAACATCTCTTCAATTACTTAATGACATGGTTTTCATTATTTTACTTTTATGGCAAGCAAAAACAGTTTATACTTACGGCAATAAGTTTTGTCTGTAAAATTTTAAGTACAAAAGTAATTAAATTTAAATAAAATCATAAAGTAAATGATATTATAAAGGATACAGTGGAATGGCAAAATCACGATTATAGATGTCAATAACATTTGGAAAACACTACTTTAGACATAGCTTGTTCATTGCAGAACAAAATAGGACTACTCCTTTGATCTAGACACTATATTTCATTATTTAAGCCTTTATTACGACACCTTTATTTTTTGGCAGTCATTTAGTATCATTGGTTCTTATCACAAATGATTTGTTCACTTACTTTCAATACCTAACAACGTTAAAGATTTGTTTTTCTTTGAGATTCTGGCTGACTGTGGTAAAAACATTATGTTCTCCTTCATTCTTAGTTTCCGTGTTTCCATTACACATTCTTTCTCTAGTTCATTATTCTGCAATTTTTTTTCAGACCTATTTCTTAACCAGGTTGGTTTGGAATCCCAAATGAGTAACGCATTCAGGGTCCTTCTCAAAAGCCCCTTAGCCCAAGACCCCCGCTGAGCTCAAGAGATCTGGGAATGCTGACTCACCTGTGGCATGTTCCCGTAGACCTACATCAAAGGCAAGTTTGTCTGTCTGGGATCTTGATGTAGTCAAGCATGTTAGATACTGTGAAAGAAGAGCAAATACTAGTGAAGTCACACTCTTCCATTGAGTCTTGGTATCTTACCACTAGTTAGCTTCTAGTTAAGTTCAACAATGAGCTACTGTGAAGACAGCTCTATTTATCTTGTTCATTGGAAAGTTAATTGGTAAATGCCTTAATACAATACTTTCATTTTTAATTATTATTATTATTTTTAGAGTCAGGGTCTCATTCTGTTGCCCAGGCTGGAGTGCAGTGGCACAATCCTAGCTCACTGCAGCCTCAGACTCCTGGGCTCAAGCAATCTTCCCACCTCAGCCTCCCAAGTAGCCAGGACTACAGGTGTGTGCCACCATGCCCAGCTAATTAAAATAAATTTTGTGGAGATGTGGTCTATCTATGTTTCCCAGGCTGGTCTTGAACGCCTGGCTTCAAGTGATCCTCCTGCCCTGGCCTCCCAAAGTGTTGGGATTACACATGTGAACCACCCTATGCCCAGCTGAAAATACTTTTACAATACACTTAAAACCTCAAAGATGCTCTTATCTGATGACTCAGTAGTTAAATGTATAGAACTATATGTTATAGAAATGAGTTAGAAATATTAAAGATGCCTTAAAGATGTTGAGAAACTTTTAAATTAGGAACAATACAAATGGAACATAAATGACCAACAATAATAATAAAGCTAGATAACCTTTGATACTGCTATTTTATATAATATTATGTTATTGAGTATTTATCAAGAATGTGTAAGAGCCTGGAACATTATTTACAATACATGAAGCTAAAAAGTAATATATAAAATAGTACAATTATAAGTTAACCTGTACTCAAAAATTTAAATGTGTAGCAACCAGACTAAAAGGAATTACACAAAAATGAAACAGAAGTTGATTTTGGATAGTGTGGAGGGACATGGATGACCTTCCCATGACCATGGGACAGAAGGTCCCATGACCTTCTGTTTTTGGTTTTTCAAATTTTCTATGAGCTTTAAAACTCCTCAAAATAATGGTTCTTTTTCTTATTATAAAGATACATGGGCAGGTAAAACTTAGAAATGACTGTTAAACTAACTTAATAAAGCATCCCATGGCCTCCTTCACTGATGGGCATAGCTGCTCATCTTAGGATTAGACTGAGAGGCAGGTAAGCTCTTGGGATGTGCTTTCTAAGCCACAGTTCTACTTCTCTGCGAGAGGAAGATGGAAAATCATTGCAATGTAGAAAGCCATATCTTATAGGCTTTATTCCCAGAGCTGTACTTAAAAGGAGCTAGCCAGTAGAGAGTATATGTTCACTGTGAGTAGAACTTTTTTTTAGGAGGGGTAAACTTAATGTAAATAATGCAAGTCTTTGTGTCACTACCATGATATTAGCTTGTTTTTGAAGCCATAAGAAGTATGCTTTTGAAGTTCTGTTTATTACATTTAGGTAAAGACAAGTGTTGGAGTTTTATTTACCCTATAGATAAACACCAGATTCTGAAAGATAGTATCACCTTCTCAATTCCAGATATTATCAGGGTTCAAAGTTTCCCTACTCTCAAAAACATCTCCATCTCCTACTTGGATACACTTCCGTTTGGACATTTTTGTTTTTCGTCTTTTGCCATGAAGGACTACAGCAGACGAATGTTCAGGCTGAAAAGGTCAGCCTCTTACCAGTGCTCAGAAAAAAAAATATATATATATATATGCTGCAGCAAATGAATTATTTAACAGGCAGCTGTTGCTCCTGTTGTCAGTTTGATAGTTCAAGCCTTGAGATGAACTTTGCATCATGCTGCTGGTATAAATGTGTGGAAATAGTCTTGAATTAACGTATCAGTTTTCCACTAGGGCTAGAGGAAAATGACAAGCCTTTCTTACACCGAAAGAAAGTGAGGATGATACACTATTGGAGTGGCATATAGTTGATTGAGTAATAATATTCTCCTTAATACTCCCTGCAAAACTACAATATCTGCCTTTTAAAATATTGTAAAATTATATTTTTTTATAAATTATAAATAAATTATATTTAAAATGTAGCAATTTTTTCAAGTTACATTGAGGCATCATCCTTCTGTCGATTCTGGTTCTAGATCCCTGATTAGTAATAGCCATGCAGCTTTCTGTGACTACCTTGCCTCTTGTCTTCCTCCTGGCTCTGGATTAGCATCCCACCTGCAAGTTCTTCCAGGACTGAAAACAGTGAGTACCATTCTATTTCTCTTAGCTAGGTAAAGGAGGAGAACTGTCACAAAATTTCCATTTGATTGGTTTTTCTTCTATGCTGGTTATCCTTGTATACTAAAGCGCTCTGTTACTCCATAAGCCATTTGATCATGTGTCAATTCAACAAATATTTATTGAGCATCTAGTATATCAAAGCACTGCATTTGGTGGGGTTATAGGTCTAGCAAAATAAGAAAGAAACATGGCCCTCTTCCTCAGGGAGTTGGAGGTGGGGTATCAGACATTGATGAAACAAAAAACACAATTGCAATTATTGCAAATTGAGGTAGGTCATATGTAGGAAATGCCAAGAGGATAACGTGCTAAAATTAGTTATGTTCCAATTGTTCCTGCTGTTACGTTGTTATTGCTGGCTTCCTGTATTTCCCCCTCTTCAGTTTTTCCTTCTCCTTGAATGATGAAAGTGGGCACCAGAGCTGCTTACCATTCCGCTGAAAGAGTGCCTCAGGAGAACTGCATGGCCGTATAACAGGGTCCTGTGGCCACCTCCTTGTGCTGCCTGTGGGAATGAGGAAGAATAAGGTCAGCACATGCCCGTTGTGGCTTCTCCGGGAGCCAAGCAACACAATAATTCTGGGAGACAGACTACCAGGAAAAGACCCATTGCAAAGCTCCTAAGGAATTCATTCCAGAAGCAAGTGGCTGGTCTACGGGCAGAAAGAGACGTGTGACCACAGCCATGCAACATCCTTGGGAGAGGGTGTGTGGGACCAAATCTATTCCCAGAAATGGCCTCTGCCCAGGATCAGCAGAAACCCAGAGCTGTTCTACCAGAGAAGCATGTAAGTGACATAGGTACTGCTTACCTTCCTTTGAAACTTCTCAGAAGCGTTCAGAGTGAGAGAGAGAAACAAATGTGATGTAGCCATAGCCTAGCAACACAAAGGCAGTGTGGCAGGCGGCACATGGTCACATTCTGTGCCATGCAGTCTTTTCCCTTCAAGGCACTTATGCCTTCTGCCCACTCCCTTAAATGGGTCCTTTATACACAGATCTCACCAACGAGAGATGGCTCTGAAATCCAGGACTTTAAAAGGGTAACCAGTTATGCAGAAATAGATCCTTCAGTTGAGAGACCATCTAGGTATCTTCTCTGCCTCACCAGGCAGTTCCACTTTGGCTATTTGCTCAGTGGCTGCCCAAACAGTGGGAGAGGGAGGCATGAGAGGGAGAGATGGCCCGACATAAAGCCACTGGTGTCTGTTTCTTATTCTTTCCCTGAATCTGATTCACACGTCACCATGCTGAACTGAATGGTACATGATAGGAGACAAAACTGTAATTTATTATAGTTAGAGGTGAGTAGGTCGCATGGAAAATGGAAATCTACAGAAAATTCTAGGAGTTTTTGGCATCAACATTTCCAACCTCTCACCTAAGTATCTCTTCATCATGCTAACCAGCAATCAAGTTTTTGATCACACACCCTTTTTGGAGAAAATATTTGAGCATAAGCCCTCCCCTCCCCAAACATGCACAGAAAGAGAATCTAAAGCTTGAGATAAAAATTAATTATGAAGATAATTCTAGCATTTTTCTTCAAGGACACCTCTTATGCAGTCCATTTTATTCAGAGTTACAGACTGGCAGCCCAAGGACTGGTTTGAGGCTCTGCCCGTCTCCCGTGTCCACCTGCAACCACACCAATGAGCAATGCAGAGGAAAGGGAATCAGGTAGTGTGGAGGACAAAGCCTGGAGTAATTTTATTTCAATTCTATTTGGATTAATAGCATCACTCTGTCAAAAAGATGATTTTTCATGTCACATAATGAGCCTAAAGAAGAGAAAAAAGATAAACGTGGTATCATGTTCCAAAAAAGCCGGTAACTAAATATAAATGCGGCTGCGCTTTTTCCCACAGCTACAGAGATTATTTAAGTGTTCTCCAGGCTTTAATACTGTGTGGAATTACAATGCTCTTCACAATATTTTAAAATTTCTTGAAATCATCTGCACTAACTTTAGTTTCTGTATTTATAAATGTGTCAACAGCTAATGTTAAAATTAGACATACCAAATAATTTTCACATCTTGCCAATCTACCAAAAATTGATCTTATCCACTTATATTATTACAAGTTAATGGATGGCTCCTGATGGCTTACACTGTGGGTGTGTCCTCCCAAAACAGTCCTACATCTCAAACGGATCCACTGACCAGCTTATACTTCCTACCTTCCTCCAACTCTTCTTTGTCCCTACCAACTCTCTAATCATAAGAAGAATTAAGAGTCACTGATCCCCAAAAGCTGGGGGAGGGGGGTGTCATGTTTTGAGAACCATTGCTTTCAGGGAACAAGCAAGCTTCAAGTGCTAGAATGGCAAAAGTGGTTTTCCTACAGAGCTTTTGATAATTATCATCATGGTGATTACTACCATTGGGCACACACTACTGAGGTTTACAGAGATTAAGTAGCTTGCTCAAAGTCATATAAGTTCCAAGTTCACAGTCAGGATTTAACAAAAGTGAGGGCACTTAACTATGTGCTATACTGTCTCCTTTTCTGAAGTTTGATGATGGGGGATGAGATTTGTGTATAAAAATGATGTTACAAATGGAAACACCTATTAAAATAGGTGAAGGCAGAGAGTATTGAAATAGACTAGGAGGATAAAGAGGTATCATGCAATGACCTTATTGTAAAAGTAGGCCACAACATTCTGGTAGGACTGTTGACACACCTCCATAGTAAGAGAGGAGCACATGTGGGCAAAGGTCTGGAAGTGGAAAGAATAAAGCACATATGGGGACTTGCAGACCATTCGCTGGTTTGTGGTGGGGTGGATGAACAGGAGTAAAAGGACATGACACAGGATGTAGGTGAGGGGTGGCCAGATTATGGAGGGCTCAGACTGACTGGCTCAGTGGATGGACTTTGTTCCACAGCTAACAGGATACTGGAGTAGATTTTTGAAAGGACAGTGTCACAATCAAAATTGTACCTTAGAAAGGGAACCCTGACTGCAAAATGGTGGAAGAAATGGGACGGTCAAGCCACAGAAGTAGAAAAAAAAATAGTCTCATTCCGTTTCCATGAAAGCATTACGAGGGGTGAGCAGACCAGAAATCTTGGTGTCATCCTTCACTCCTTTCTTCTTCTCATACTCCCCCATTAGTTCAAAGCATCTTTCGGTGCCACCTCCAAAAGATACTCTGTATCCCACTACTCAGCACCTTGCGCCTGCCAGTCTAGTCCATTCTATTGCCACCAGGTCTCACCAGGGTTTTGTTAATCACCGACCTTCCAACTGTGCTCCCTGCTCTGCCCTTCCTCCTTTCAGTCACGGCAGCCAGAGACATCCTTTAAAAACTGTCAATCACATCATGTTACTTTCTTGCTCAAAAACCCACA
Source organism: Homo sapiens (assembly GCF_000001405.40). Classification (NCBI taxonomy): domain Eukaryota; kingdom Metazoa; phylum Chordata; class Mammalia; order Primates; family Hominidae; genus Homo; species Homo sapiens. The sequence goes on along the minus strand of NC_000015.10, from coordinate 33,527,737 downwards.
ATGGCTTCCCACCATACTTAAAATACAAGTACAAAGTCCTCACTGTGGCCTCTAAGGCCGTGCATCAGGCAATTTTTTTTCTGTAAAAGGGCAGATAGCAAATATTTTAGGCTTTGTGGGTGAAATATGATACGCCTTTTTTTTTTTTTTTGAGACAGAGTTGTGTCCCTCTGTTGCCCAGGCTGGTGTGCAGTGGTGCAATCTCGGCTCACTGCAACCTCTGCCTCCCAGGTTTGAGCAATTCTCCTGCCTCAGCCTCCCTCCTGAGTAGTTGAGATTACTGGTGTGCACTGCCACACCCAGCTAATTTTTGTATTTTTGGCAGAGATGGGGTTTTCCCATGTTGGCCAGGCTGTCTCGAACTCCTGACCTCAAGTGATCCACCTACCTCAGCCTCCCAAAGTGCTGGGATTACAGGAGTGAGCTACCATGCCCGGCCTTAATGTATTTTATTTTATTTTATTTTTTAAAGAATTTGCCCTTTAAAAAATGTTTTAAAAACATTCTTCTAAAAATTTAAAAACCTCCCTTACCTAAAGGGTTGTACATAAACAGGCCATAGTCTGGATTTGGCCTGTTGGCTGTAGTTTGCATATCACTGCCCTGTATGACCTGGTTCCCTCATACCTCTCTAACTTCACCTGCCAGCAGCACGCTCTCCATCACATCCTCTGCTCCAATCATACTGGTTTTCCTCTGTTTTTCAGACACGCATGCTCCCACCACAAAGCTTCTGCACACGTTTCCCTCTGTCTGAAATGCTCTTCCAATATTCTCATGGTTAATTTCCACCCTTTATTCAGTTCTGTGCTCAAACATCTTATGAGAGAATTCTTCTCTGGTCAAGTCTTCTAAAAGAACAATCATCCTTACTCTGTCACATTTTCTGCTTTATTATCTTCTGTGGTATTATTTTTAATATGAATTTATTCTCTCTCCCCCTAGAATATAAGCTCCATGACCATGTTGTATCCTCTGCCATGCCCATGTCAGTGCCCGGCACCATAGGAGGCATGCATTAAATATTTCCTGAATGAGTAAGTAATTAGGGGAGGTGGTGTTTTGGTTTCATCTTACAGATGGAAAAAAAAAAAAGGCATAGAGAATTTAATAAACATTCCCATGACGAGCTTGTCAGCAACGTGTTTGGATTTGAACTTAGGTCTAACTACAAATTCTACTCTTTTCATTGTTTGATACTAATTCTGGAATAACATTCCAGGAAAGGTGTGATATGCTACATAGAAGATTGTGTGGGTCTGCTCACAAAGGAGGTCCAGACCTCAAGACTGGGAAGATTTATCAGGATGGCAGTCCTGTCCCTGCCACGAGTGACCTTGGCTATTACCACTGGCAGAAGGAAAATATTTGGTTCCATCTCGCAGGATGGGGGTGGATCAGGGAAATGCTGGTAAAAGGCCCTGATGCCATGTCCAGAGGAAAAATGTTCCACTAGCTCATTAACTCAATCCTCGTGCCCGTAATTTCAGAATTAATTTCCATTACTGACGTTTCTTCTAGTAGTTCCCAGAGGATATTTCTTCCCAGTCAGATAAACCAGATACGGCAACTAAGGAGGGGAGGGGACTATGCTTCTGTCCAGCCACACACAAATGTTTCAATACTGTTAGAGCTCCAAACTAACTTCCTTTAACATCTCGAACCCTAAATTCCACTTTGGGAGTCCCAGGCAATAAGAAATCTTCCAAGGCCTCAGGAAGGCTCCTTGCTGAGTTTGTTTGGAAGGTCATATTCCTAGGAGGTCTTGTAGGGGATGAAGTCATTTTCCAAGCATGGATGTGCACTTTAATTTTCTCTTCCTTTCACACCTCACTTCAGTTCCCCTCTTTTAGGCTACAGAAGAAAGAAGTCTTTCTGGAAGCTCACAGAACAATATTTCCTGAACAGGCTAGAGCCCTTTTACATTGCCTGGGAGGTTTGCATTTCCTTTGATACAAGTGACAACTAAATAGTAATGATGCCTTATAAGTAGAAAACAATAATACTTAACAGTAGAAATAAACAAAAGCAAGTCACCCAGTATATTCAGTTAGAAAGCATAATGAAAGATTCTACTCATGATTTCCACAAAATGTTAAATTTTTAGAAATCTGCTTAGGTGAAGGCAACCTTTAAAATCAAACTACAAAACCTCATTGTATAAAATAAGATTTGATTTGATGAAATGGAAAGGTGTACTTTGTTACAGGATGAGAACATTAATATTTGTAACTGCTTATTCCCCTAAATTTAACTGACAGATTTAATACAGTTTTAATTACAATTCTAGTGCGATATTTTGCAATTTCACAAATTGCTACAAAACTAATCTGGCAATATAAACAGTAAGGATTTTTTATTCTGAAAAGAACCAAGGTTTTAGTAAATGTTATGAAGCCAAGTTCATTAATTCACTCTGATACTCTGATTCAAAGAGAAAAGTGTGGCACAATACAGACAGTCCATAAACAGGTCTGACTATATGAAAGTGTAGCATATGACAAAGCAGATTTCAGTACAACAGGAGAAAGGCGGGGTTATTAAGCACAAGTCTCTGTGAGATGCGGATGGCAAATGAGAAAAGCTTTCAGTAAGATCCACAGGAAACATAAAAAGATAAGTTACAGATGGATAACATAATTAAATATTTCATTTTAAAATTAAATTCTAAAACAACTAGCATGCAACGGAAGAGTCTACATTCTTCACAGACCTAATATTTATCCATGCTTTGATGCATCAGATATACTCAAAGGCAATAGAAGACAGATACGATTGTACCAAAATTACTGAAATTCAGAACAATGGAAACACCAACATTTAATAGACTACAGAAAGACTTTGTAACACTATGACAAAAGGGTTACTATCTCGTTGAAATGTAGGGAAAAAAACTAAGCCTCATAGAAGTCGGCAAAGAATATGAATAAATGACGCATATTAGAAGAAAATTCAAACATATGGAAGAGATTCTATCTTTTCTAGTAATGAAAGGAATGACACTTGAAGCAACTTTGATATATCATTTTACATCTGCAAAATTTGCAAAAGTGGGGAAAAAAAAGCTTAATGCTATCAGAGTTGCAATTTAGCTGATGAGATTCCAGGCAAGGTGGTACGGAATACAACCCTTTTGCAAAGCAATATGGAAGTATATGAAAAGGGCCATAAGGAAGTCCATAACCTTTTCTGTAGTGATTCTGCTTCTGGGAGCAATTCAAGACAAGCAAAGAAAAGTGTGCACCCAGCTGTGATAAGAGCATTATAATAGGCGCAACAAAACAAAAAACCTGGAAAGAACCTAACTGTCCCAAAGAAAAATATTACCTAGTAAATTATGAGGCTTCTTGAGGATGTTCTATGCTTTACCTATTAAAGAAGGCAATTACAGAGGTTATGTGGAAACACAGAAAAACATTTGTGATATGCCACCGTGGGAAAAGCAGAAAACAAAATACCTTCAAGTATTACATATAGGCAAGAATAAGGAAACCTATGAAAATGAAATAGCCATTTGGCTGGCTGCCGAACCACTGAATTTTTCCTTTTCTAAATTTTCTTTAACACTATTACTATATCAGCATTTTGGGGAAAAGGATAGTGTGTGTATGTGTGTGTAGGGGGGTAGTGCAACAACATGGTACGTGTGTTTAATGAAATCGAGCATTTTAAAAGTATTTTGCCTATTCCCTGTACCTTCAGTTGCTTGTGGGTACGATTACTTTGCCAGGATCCTCAGGAAACGACTTTACCTACCTGAAAGGCAGATGGGGACACATATCTAGCATCATTGCTTTTAAGACACTGACTCCAGAGTCTTTCTTTACCCTTGGTGTTACACGGAAACGCTAGAGAGGCAGCCTTTATTGACGATACCTGACTCCCTTCCCCATAGCTCCCTCAGGCTCAGCTCCAGACTCCAAAGTAAACATCTCCTGCTGCAGGGATTCGTTGCAGTTGGGTCCCAAACCCAGTGGCTCCTCTGACTGTCCCTCTTCACTTTAAATCCCGTTCTTGTTTTTGGGGACTTGGTGCATTCCCTGCTTCTCAAGGCTGCCTCACACAGCTGTTAGATTCTAGGTCTACCCTGCCCTACTGCTATAGGCTAGCAGATCACTCCCTTAGCTGGCCAAACTCCAAAGATCCTACTCAAGCAGACTGCTCTTCCAGGAGGGGTGGACAGATAGTGTGTCCGGAACTGGTTCCTTCTGGTGGGTTCTTGGTCTCACTGACTTCAAGAATGAAGCCGCAGACCTTGCGGTGAGTGCTACAGCTCCTGAAGGTGGGGTGTCCAGAGTTTGCTCCTTCCGGTGGGTTGGTGGTCTCGCTGACTTCAGGAATGAAGCTTCAGACCCTCGCAGTGAGTGTTACAGCTCATAAAGGTAGTGTGGACCCAAAGAGTGAGCAGCAGCAAGATTTACCGTGAAAAGCAAAAGACCAAAGCTTCCACTGCGTGGAAGGGGACACCAGCAGGTTGCCGCTGCTGGCTCGGGTGGCCAGCTTTTATTCCCTTATTTGGCCCTGCCCACATCCTGCTGATAGGTCCATTTTACAGAGTGCTGATTGGTCCATTTTACAGAGTGCTGATTGGTGTGTTTACAATCCTTTAGCTAGACACAGAGTGCTGATTGGTGCATTTACAATCCTTTAGGCAGACATAAAATTTCTCCAAGTCCCCATCCCACCCAGAAGCCCAGCTGGCTTCACCTCTCAATAGGGCTAGACAACACCTCTCCAGCTCAAATGACACCAAAGGAACTGATGGGGCATTTTCCAAACAGGCCTTGAATTGTAAACATCTGGTAACACGGATATTTTTTTCTTCTTTAATGATATTAATAGTTAATGAAGGATTTTGTGGTAGTAGACTGGGAATTAGAAAGTACAGCCCAGGGGTAGGAGGGGCACATGCACAGATGAGTATGGCCTGTGATGAGGAGTCACAGCCAGAGAATGAGGCAACAGGAGCTCGCTAAGTACAGGTAGCCATCCTAACTCCCTGAAACTGGTATGAAACCCCAAAGAGCCCAGTGTGGGACACTTAACTTGTTTCTTCACCACCTTTTTTGGATCAGATAGTTAAATCCTCAACTGGCTAATTGCCAAACCCTCCTTCTCCTGAGCTGAACAAAGATTCTCTCTACCTCCTGTGGCTCTCAACCTTGGAGTATAAAGCACTATACAGCATAAGGTATCGTTCTTTTGACACCTTGATTTTCAACTCATAATGGGGTAATTAATACGAATCTAAAGCCGAGAGTCAGAGGTGCCTGAGCCATTGACTTCAGGGAACTTTGTGAAGAGGTTTTTCCCCCCTAAGAAATCTTCCAAGTGGGCCTGGACCAACTCAGCCAGAGCAGTACAGGTCCTTCACAGAAACATGCTTGAAAGGGGGCGACACCCCTGGCATCTTTCATGGGCATCTTGAGAGAAAAGTGAAAACTGAAACTATGAAACAGAATTTTTTTTTTTTTTGAGATGGAGTCTTGCTCTGTTGCCCAGGCTGGAGTGCAGTGGTGCAATCCCAGCTCACTGCAGCCTCTGCCCCCTGGGTTCCAGCAATTCTCCTGTGTCAGCCTCCTGGGTAGCTAGGAATACAGGCTCACACCACCACACCTGGCTAGTTTTTTTTTTTTTTTTTTTTTAAGTAGAGATGGGGTTTTGCCATATTGGCCAGGCTGGTCTCGAACTCATGACCTCAGGTGATCTGCCTGCCTCGGCCTCCCAAAGTGCTGGGATTACAGGCATGAGCCACCGCATCTGGCCATCAAATAGAATCTTAATGAAGTTCAGAAAACAGGAGGAAGGCACAGCATCTGAAAGTACTACTTCCCCCAAATTCAGTGATCATGGCAGTCTTACTTGGTCAGCTAGCAGTTGCCTTACTAAAAAGACAGGACCAAATGTCAAAGGCTGCAATGCACAATAGGACAGCCCTTACCCCAGAAAAGAAAGTTGGCTGCATCTGGTGGCAGAAGGACCTATGGCAGTCACTCTGTCTGCTGCTGTGCTCTTGTAGAGTGACCTTGACTCCAGGGAGCCCCACCTTCGACACCCACAGTACTGCCTTCTTCCTGTCTCCTCATATCACAGGACAAAAGAGAAGAATACTTGAAAAGCAGTGCACAGAAAGGCACTCCTTTGATTTTTTAAATACATAAACTTTGCCACTAAGCAAGGAAAACAGAGGCAAAATCAAACAATCCATCCCCCTCCGCCCACTACTGAATGTCAAATTTACCATTCCCATGGTTTATAATTTACTGAATCCAGCTAACCCTCTCTCTTGGAAGTGCCTAGAATTATTTTTCCTGGATGAGAAGGTGGCGCAATCTCCTTTTTGTTCATGTCATTAGTTTCACTGCCACATGGAAGTATTTCAGAACAAAAGGATGAAAGGCCAGAGCCTAATTTGAGAAGGTGTAAATTCTCAGTCACAGGCATCATTTGCAGCAAGAACCTGTACCCCAGTAAAGTAGTCTCTTTCAGGAAAACACCAACTTAGATTCTGCTTTGCACAAGTTTAGCACATGGAATAGGTATAATCTGCGAGATGGCTCAGATGGGTTGGAGACTGCAAACGAGATGCTATGGTAACCTAGAGTTGATTCTTTCCTGTGGGCACCTAAAGCCGTAGGAAGATCCCCTGGATGGTGCAGACTTAAACTCCAAATGTGCAACTGAAGACAACTGGGGAACCTCCTGCCTTCCAAGACTTTAAAAATAAGAGCCTTTGCCCTATGAGAATCGATGTAGATTTCTGCAACCATTTTCCTCCCCTTTTGTCCCAATCCATAATGGTTGGGGAACAAATTAAATGACTGAGTTTCCCACTAGTCCTGATACTTTTCAAACACTGCTTCTCAAACAGACAGATGAGCATTTTCCATTGAGGGGGAAAAGGTGGTCACTGGTATGCCTCCAAATTGGGCAGGGTCATCCTGTATACATCTGTGCTTTTCTTTGAACACAGATGCCATGGAGAGAACAGTGAGCCAAAATGGCAACCCTAACACATGTTTCTTATTATGGTGTCTTTTAAAAGAGCAAATCGCCAGATATTTGTCAGCGTATTAATGACATTTAGATTGATGACAAGTATGCTTTGGAAAGAGGTGAGGCAATTTTTTTTTTCCGAATTATTCCCACCACCTTCTCCTGTAGCTAATAGATTAAGAATCTGATGTTGCCAAATTTATTCTTTGCATAAAAGGAGCCTGTCAGCCAAATTTGTTTTCTAGTCACTGCTCTGGTTTCTATTTGAACCACCCATACTCCTCCTCCTCATCAGGCTTCAGATGAAACAGTGGACCAGTGACCACAAAGGGTCAATATTAAGAGCTCTGCCCAATTATTTCCATTCACCAAATGTAGCATAATGAGTATTTCCAACAAAGAGTCTAACATTCAAAAAGTCCGATTACCTTGACGTGAAAATTTGAACACTGTTTCTAATCTACTGTTTCTCTATAAAAAAACTCACTGTTCATCCTGAGGATTTATAGATAACAAAATAGGAGTAAGTTTTTTATCATAAAACCCTGCTGACTACTACTGTGTGTAACACCTTTACCCACACAAGCTATAAAGCAGAAGGTCAACTGGATTCTATTTTGTTATCTGATCCTCCTCCCCCTTTCCTGCAGTTCTTCAACTTACATGGGGTTTTTTCCCCCTTGGATGTCCTGTAACAACCAACCTTTATTTTTTTAAATCTCTCTATCTTTTTTGTACTGGTCTCAACTATGATTTTCCTAGTTGGAGATCGATTCTTCTTGTTCTCTCTATATCCACATAATGAGCATGGGGCCAAGTTTATATTACCCAGCAAAACAAACAGCGATCTTGCCTTTTTCTTGAAGTATATGAAGTAGCCTTGGGTGGAGAGGCTGATTCTCCAGGGTCCTGTGTATGTGGGCCTGGGGATAGACAGAACGGATGCTCCTAATACTTAGCACCTGTCCACGGACCAGGGGCTGTTCTGAAGGCAATGACATCATTCTTCTGAACCTCTCATGATTTCATTCTAGAAAAGTGGCCCTCAATCCCAGCTATAGACCGGAATAACTAGTGGAGATTTAAAAATGAATACAAAAGAAGAAAAAAAAAAAACAACATAAAAGCTGGGTCATTTTCATAAGATTCCAATTTGGTGGGCCTATGGTGAGGTCTGAGCTCCCAGGTAATTCAAATGCACAGTCAGGCTTGACAGTCACCCCTCCAGGACTTAGCCACATAGGACCCTTCATGTATGATGCATGCAGTCGGCAAGCACTTCTGTGTTCTCGGAAGCATCCTTTTGGACCAGTGATTGACTTTCCTTTTAATATTTCTCCGGAACTCCAAAGAAGCAAAGAACAAACATGATTGCTTGCCTTTGCTAACTTTAGGACTAATGTTTGACTCTCTCTGCTTCTCTCTCAGCTTTGCTTCTATATATATGATAGATAGAAAGACACAAATCCCTACTACAAAATCTATGTGTGGTGAAGACTGTAGATAAGCTTCTCAGAAGAAGAGTTTCCAGCCCACCATTGTCAACCCCAGATCCACCTGTCTTTACCACATCAAAGGTCAGCTGGACACTTCCTGAACTGCCCCCCATGCATTCTAGACCTCCCTCCCCACTGGTGTGGATGCTGCAGGGCCTGGGAAAAGATGCAGTTAATGGCAAAGCACAAAGCAGACTGGGGAAAGGGACTTGCACTATTGCTTCCCTTACTACTTGGTCACCTCCCTCTGGAATTAGTCAGCTCTGATCTTATGTTCTCACTCCGGTTTCTGTGCTTTGCAGACCCCCAGAACTTAAGGGTACGCCTCAGCATTCATTCTGCATTCTTAGAATTGCATTCTACATTTCTCTCTGTATCTGCAGGACTAGTGTGTCTCAGAGTTGTTTTGAGTTGTCTAATGCTTGGACAGTGCTTTTCGCATGGCTGCTTTCCAAAGCCCACCTTTCAGAGGCTAGCTTAGGTCCAAGCATTCTTCTCATCCACTAGCTTTTCTGACAACTGGAAAAATAAAAGTTAAACAAAAAAACTCCTTTGCTGATCTATGAATGGAAGCTGGGACCCGGACAGAGCGAGCACCATCTGATCTATTTTCTCCCATTGTGCGGGGAGCAAATTTATCACACTGACAATGGGAGGATAACCGACTGGGGCTGACAGTAAAACCTGACTTCCCTTGAGCTGCAAGACACTGTGGCAGGCTTTGCAGCAAAGAAAGAAGGCGTATTAAAAGTAGCACCTGCAGAGCTCCTGCGAGAGGAGGGGGAGCGGCCAGCTCAAAAACACCAAGTATGGTTCACAATTTGAAAAAAAACAACTCCACAAAATTAATAAAATTAGTATCAGTTGTGTTGATGTTTGCCTCCTCCAGTGAAGAAAAAAAATAATAATTCAATCCATTTGCAGCAAGTTTGGTGGTTACCATTAATGTAATGTGACAACTTGGCACCGAAAAGAATGTTGCTGCTGATTTCTGCTCTTTCCACTGAGACAGACCACTGCTGACTGGGAATGATCTTCAGAAGCCTGAAGAAGGAAGCATGTTATCTAAGAGAAGCAGTTTGTGATGGCCCACAGTGAGAGGAAGTGCCAGAGAAACAGACAGATTAACTGACTGACTTGAGCCAAGGCAGGCTATATAAATCACTGGAAACTCTATCATTGTCCAGTCATCAATATGCATCCACAGCTGTTTATGCAACTTGAAGAATCAAAAGAAGATTTAGAAACCCTAGAAAATTGTGCCATGAAACCAGAGAACGGAAAGAACATACAGTAGGTGTTCCATAAGTGCCATGTTCCTCATAAAAATAATAAAGTCTCATTCTATTATTAAATCATGCTGTCATCAAGGTGATTTAACCTCTTTTCTGGTATCATACTAATATCTCCTCCAATCTCAGGCCAATTGGACTTGGCCTGTGATGGGTCATAGTGGGGGTAATAAATATATATCCCTAGAGCCAGAGTTTGATCTTTAATATTCTCTCTGAAACAGAACCAGAGATATTAAAGAGTTATACAATGTCATGTCCTGGGGTAGAAAAATTAAGATGAGCCTGGGTCACTTTGTTGCTGCAAGAAAGCAGGGGTTTGCGCAAAGATATCAGCCATGATGCTGCAGAGGTTAACATGCATTCCCTTGGACCAGGCAAGGAGGATCTCAGTATCCAAGAGAAAACGACGACTGTATTTTGGAACACATTGGGTATTTTAAAGAGATGCGAATTTAAGATGATACTAAAACAGGAATTGGTGACATGTTGTGTGAAATGGTCATTGTAATGTACATTTAGGTTACATTACAGCGAGTTTCCAATGTAGTGTTACAGCAGTGATTCTCAGTTCAAATTCTAATAGCCCCATACTGAAGCTTCTTTTTCAATCACTGGATTATAAAGACAAAATCAGAAAGGTTATTTAAAAGGTAGAAGAGGCTGGGCACAGTGGCTCACACCTGTAATCCCAGCATTCTGGGAGGCCAAGGTGCGTGGATCACGAGGTCGGGAGTTCAAGACCACCCTGGCCAACACGGTGAAACCTCATCTCTACTAAAAATACAAAAATTAGCTGGATGTGGTGGCACGCGCCTGTAATCCCAGCTGGTTGGGAGGCTGAGGCAGGAGAATCGCTTGATCCCGAGAAGTAGAGGTTGCAGTGAGCCAAGATTGTGCCACTGCACACCAGCAGCCTGGGCAATAGAGTGAGACTCCATCTCAAAAAATAATAATAATAATAAAATAAAAGGTAGAAGAACACCGGGTAACATGTTTGGCTCTTGTCATCAATTCTGTAAACATGGTAACCCAGGTTATTCTTTATTGGTTCCTTATTTTTTTTTTAAGCCATTCTGAAAAATTGCAGAAGCTCCATCTGGGAGAGAATGCTGTGCAAGGTCTCATGGGTTACAAACTGGGTGGTCTGAGCCAGCAAGATCTGGTTACAGGGAGGTTCGGGAACATTAGGGATAGCATATTGTCTGACTCAGCATTCCCCTTTCTCTGAAGCCCACTGAGATTTGTAAGAAAAAATTGGATTTGGCCAGAGACTCTTTTCCTAGATCAAGTGAGTGCATTTAAAATAGATCTTACAGGCCAGGGGTGGTGGCACACGCCTATAATCACAGCACTTTGGGAGGCTGGGGTGGGTGGATCACTTGAGGTCAGGAGTTCAAGACCAGCTTGGCCAACATGGTGAAAACCTGTCTCTACCAAAAATTAGCCAGGCGTGGTGGTGGGCATCTGTAATCCCAGCTACTCGGGGGGCTGAGGCAGGAGAATCACCTGAATACAGGAGGCAGAGGTTGCAGTGAGCAGAGACTGCACCACTGCACGCTAGCCAGGGTGACGGAGTGAGATTCCGTCTCAGGAGGAAAAAAAAAAAAAAGTAGATCTTACAGATACGAGTCTTTTGGTTTAGAGGGATATACATGTATGTTAAAAACAGGATCATTTCGGGGGGGGCATGCCTCTGTTTCATGCTAGAACCTGAGGATAAATTAAAGTAGCCTATATTGAATAAAACATGGGGGAAGCTGGAATACAGAAATCTCTTGATTATTTTTGGCATGTTTTGTAAGATACAGCAACTAGGACATTACTCTTCAGGAAAAGGGATTGAAGCAACCAATTTTTAAACATAGTTTAATACAAATATCATAATAAAGGTTTTTTTGTTAGAATTTTATCTTAGTAACAAGGCGTACCATGTGGGAAAAAGAAGTGAAGTCCAAAATAGACACCCTAGAAATTCCTTTTATACAGGGATATATGTTTGGAAAGACAAGTGTAAATGTGAGGAAGTGCGAAGTGGTATCTATTATGCACACACACACATACGCAAAATACTAAGGTTTGTTAATAGCATTAAAATGAAGTTAATATATTTAGAAAATAAGTGCACATTGATGAATTTTTATAGACAGACAAATGGGGAAAGAGACTGGCAGAACTGAAGAATGTTTTGTATTCCTGCAAGCCAAAAACCTAAGGCAAAACAATAAACCAGTTTGAATTGGATCTGTTTGGACCAGGGTTCAGCCCAGCGAACTTACCATTCCTGGTTACCCTGGGAACAGCTCATTTTAATAAAATCTCACAAGAAACTGCAAATGCAATAAATAGTATTAGCAGAGGCCTAGGTAGCTCCACTTGGGGAAAGACATAGTAAGAAGTTCAGAAGGGATTTGTGCCATAGGAAAGACTGAAGTTATGAAAAGAGGAATTGGCATTCCATATACAACAGGTAGAGACTATATTATTGAGAGAGCTTGAGAAGGCTGCAGACAGACCTACAAAGGTTTCTCCCACTGACTTTCAGTGAAATCTGCATAGCTAATAAAGCATGGATTTGTGTATCCCTATTGCTCCACCTGCCCTGCACCATCAAAGTGGTTGCCTGGGAACAGCAGTTGCTCATTCTCCTGGTGACCTGGGTCAGCTGCCTGAGGTCAGAGAATTAATTGTGGCTTCGATGGTTTAGACAGTATCATTGTGGAGGTGAGGTTTTACAGAATCAGCTCCAAAGCTCTATTTCATCGACTCACAATGCCTCAGTCATTACAGCTCAGTTATTTGTACCCATCAAAAACAAATTCTGGAAATTTTCACTGATGTGGTCTTTATAAATTACATGAATGTATTAAATTATCACATGTATTCTGAAACTAGGTACATTATGTATCAACTATAAAATTGTTTAACATAACTGGAGATTTTTTTTTTTGAGACAGAGTCTCGCTCTGTCCCCCAGGCTGGAGTGCAGTGGCGCGATCTCGGCTCACTGCAAGCTCCGCCTCCCGGGTTCACGCCATTCTCCCGCCTCAGCCTCCCAAGTAGCTGGGACTACAGGCGCCCGCCACCATGCCTGGCTAATTTTTTTTTGTATTTTTAGTAGAGATGGGGTTTCACCGTGTTAACCAGGATGGTCTCGATCTCCTGACCTCGTGATCTGCCTATCTCAGCCTCCCAAAGTGCTAGGATTACAGGTGTGAGCCACCGCTCCTGGCCAACAACTGGAGATTTTTATACCCTAGCAGTGATTCTGAAAATTCCTAAAACCAAGTCATAACTTTAGAAACTAAACTATGAAGATATAAGGTGTAAAAAAAAAAAAAGTAATGCATTCAACTTACCTTTCAAATAGCTCATCAAAGACATGAAAATGAGTATTTTAAGGAATGGCTCCACCATGAATAATTTCCACCTCTGGCCCCACCCAGAGAGCAGGACTCAGGAGTCAGCAGAGAGAAGGGCGTTTAAAAGCAAACTCCCAAAGGCTGTTCCTTAGAAGAAACCTCCGTGGTGCGGGCCTCATTTACACTGGGTCAGCTCTCAATTCATTCTTCTAGAACACCCCAGTTCTCCTGCCTACCACCCTCCATCTTTTCAAGGCAGATGAGCAGCAGAGAAACGGGGTCTGGAGCACCAAGCCTCCAGCTGCACATCCTTAATAGGATGGCACCAGGTGATTCTTATCAGTGCCGGTGCCAATGCATGTTTCTCTCTCGAACAAAAACAAAAGGAGGGGCAACTGATGCCTAAAAACTCTAAAATCAAGTGCCTTTCCTCTTCAATCACAGAGGTAGTTATCCACAAAGAAAGAGGTGAATAACCACAACCAGCAAGGGAATTGACTATCCGGGTTTCAGTAAGAACATTTTTTAAGGCATTTTTTTAAACCAAAACACCTATCTGATATTTGGGCAAAACTACTTAGTACATGGAATGCGTGAGCTGTAGGCAAGAATAGGCCTTACAGAACAAGTTCAAGAACAAGTACAATTTCAACCACAGGAATGAAACTAATCATCAATATAGGAAGGGTACTAAAAAACAGTTTTTCCCATTTTCCTGATGACTTATGAATCCTTCATCACGGGTAGACACTGATCCTGGGATAGACGTTTAGGAGCCACTCATTTAGTTCAGAGTCCATGTTTTGCAGGTGGGACAGCAAGGACCAGAGAGTGGGAATACCAAGGCTAGAATGTCCACCCCCTGCCTAGTCCAGCACTTTCCTCCCTCACACCAGAGCAACATCACGGAACTCAGAAACAAGACTCAGCACTTTCCCCATCTCCCACCTCACTACAAGCCCAAGTACATGCAGTACCCACAGCAGGAAACTCTAGGTGGAAGCAGAAGCATTCTGCCTTCAGCTTTCGTCTTACTTTGCAGATAACCATTTCAGCCCTCTGCAGAGCAGAAGTGATTTTTACACCATGGTTCGCCTAAATATATTTGGTCTTATTCCCACTTTCTTTCCACCGATTCCACGTCATCATTTTAGCTCCTTCCATTCTAAAACCAGATAGTGGCAATCATAGGACTGGAGTGTTGGTCACAAGGTTTTTACTCAAGTAAGGATGAAAATGCCAGCTGAGATCAGGGTTTCTCTAGCACCAAGTTAACTTTTCTTTACCAGAATATCCAGATCGGTGCTCTTATTAAGCTTTAATGAAATGGAAATAAATTGAAGTTTGCTCTAGTTCATTCATTTCTCACTACAAATATGTAATTTAAACTCAGGTATTTATTAAAAAGCGAATTACATGATCAAAGGAAAACTCTAATAAATAAACTGAAGAGTTTCCATTCTCCTAGGATTTAAAAAACTGCAAATGTGCTTTATTTTCAAAAAGTAAGCAGGTTTCTTAAAAGATTTCCCCAAAATTCAAATATTGTACAATTAAGGATTAAAACATGTTGCCAGAAACGCAGCTGAAATTCATTTTTACAACCCATCTCTACTCCTGTCCCCCATGAAACAGTTATTTTTCTCAAAACTCTCAGCAAAATCTCTTATCAAAACATCTCCCTGAATAATAAACTGTTTACCTACAGATTGTGTCCTGGAGAAAGCTTAGACACCCCCAATCCCTCCTCATGCCTCTAAGAAACTTTCATGAAGATGTTTACATTTTTTTGCAATTAAAATATAGAAACAACCACCACCACCAACAAATATATTTAGTCCAGCCATGGAGAAGCAGCTCAGGCTTTCTAGATCACAGATACAATTATGACAAGATTATTTCAACAGAGCATTCCAATGTCCACAGCAAGGATGAACAGAATTCTAGTTTGTGTAACATTAGCAAAGCTAAATGTTAACACATTTGCAAAAACACCGCCAGGATCAGACAGGCATATTGATCTTAAACATGAGGTGCCGACTTCACAACACGCCCATTTCACCAAAGAAAAGACAGTCACACTAAAGCTGAAGCACTATATTCAATAAATGGGGGGATTTGAGAGAGTCTGGAGCTTTAAAAATCTATTCTGTGGGCTCTTTCACTTGAAAAGGCTTCTAACTCAGCATGTGAAGAAATGTAAAAAGCTAGTTAACCTGAATGGTTATTCTTAATTGTTGAAGTTCACGTTTAATTCTTCTGCTGGTTCACTTTGGAGATATGGCAGGAGAAAGAAAATATCAAACTAGCTTTTTCCATTTTTATCATGAATTCCAGCCTCATGGAATAGCAGAGCTGGAGTTGCATAATAGCACTGGAAGAGGTCTGAAGCATCGAGAAGCTGAGATGAAGGCAAAGCTACACACTTGTGTCATCTCACCAGATTGAACCTATGATCACAGGCCATCTAGACCATATTCAGAGCAAACAAGAGAGGCTTTAAAAACAACTTGCAGCCGGGCGCGGTGGCTCACGCCTGTAATCCCAGCACTTTGGAAGGCCGAGGCGGGCGGATCATGAGGTCAGGAGATCAAGACCATCCTGGCTAACACGGTGAAACCCCGTCTCTACTAAAAATACAAAAAATTAGCCGGGCGTGGTGGCGGGCGCCTGTAGTCCCAGCTACTCGGGAGGCTGAGGCAGGAGAATGGCGTGAACCCGGGAGGTGGAGCTTGCAGTGAGCCGAGATCGCGCCACTGCACTGCAGCCTGGGCGACAGAGCGAGACTCCGTCTCAAAAAAATAAAAAATTAAAAAGAAAACAACTTGCAATGTTTTGAAGAAATAAAAAATGAGTCCACAGGCAAGTCATTCTAATTGGAGAGCAGTGGTAAAACAAACTGCCTGGCGACGAATTTCTATGTGTGCAGCCACCTCTAATTTCACAACACTGAAGGGTGAGGTGCACTAGTGGTTTTTTTTTTTTAATTGCAGAGACACAAAGAATGGAAACTGCCCTGAACACTCACAAGTGAAAGGCCCAGTTCATGACAAATACAGCTTGAAGTCAGTTGTCCATGCAAAGTACATGTATATTGAAGGAGTGAATAACATACCCATTCCGAGAGATCACTGAGCTAGCAAAATCAAAAACAAAACAGTAAATGGATATTTTAGCGTGTGCAGGTTTTGCTGAAAGCTTTCAACTTATTTGAGGAGTCTACTGATGCTTACTAAAGAGTTTTTTTTTTTTTTTTTTTTTTAAAGAGAGAAAAAAGAGGGTGGATTTCCTACCTGGTAAATATTTTGTTATCTTAGAGGTTTGCAAGAGCGTTAAATGTAAAAGTTTGTTTTTCCTGTTTTTCTCTAGTACAGTGCTGATGTCATCAACAAACTATAAGCAAGCAATGTGCTGTCGCCTAAGTCAGCTGAACCACTTTTTTATAACTAACATTTAAAAAAAAAATCCACCCAAGAAAAATGGTCAATACCTACATCAGGCAATTTGGAATTTCTCATAGAATTGCAATCAATTATATCAATCAGATTTTGCTTAGACCAAGAAAGGTGCTTTCTTACCATGAAGTAAGGTCTTCCTGATGGCATATTTTAACCAAAAATCATGTCATCAAAAGGCCAGTCCAAAAATGAAATGTGAGTTATTTGCACATATCTTCATAAATATCAGCTTATCAGGGAAACATTAAAATCCATTATATCAGCATAAAATCCTAAAATCATAGCATAACATGACAAAGGACAGTAAGGAGGGGAAAGGAAAGGGGGAAGAGGATGTACATGTTTAATGACAATTTGGTCTGTGGAAAAAAACACATTGAAACTTTAGTTTGGAGGCCTCTCATTTATAATAATATTTAATTTATCAAAATGATTCCTAGCTCTTTGAGGAAAGAAAACCTGTCAAATATACATGATATGTCCCCTAAAATTCCACGAGAAAATTCACAGGAGAACCTTGTCTCAAAAAAAAAAAAAAAATTAAAATTATGTACTCAATGCTTAGTGCTTTAGGGTTGCTGTCCTGGATGGATTTTGTAAAATTCTCCTTGTCCACAGCAAAGAAGAAAGAGAATACATTTATTCATTCTACCTAAATAAATGGGAGCCGAGGTCTCAAGTAATGATTAATACAAAAAGGGGAACATTTCCACAGCTCATCAGTGATGGGCTATAGCCCACAGGACACACCAGAGGAAGTGACGTGATGACACTTTTCCAGTTTAACTTGGTACACTGCAACCATTACAGACCTGAGAAAGGACTTTGCATCTAAGTGATGTCATGTAGAGGTGGGGAACCTAAAGCCCAGTTGGTAAGATATTTGCTTGAAGTTAAATTTCCAGTTGGTGGCATTATTAAGACCAAATCTAAACCTCCAAACACCCAGCTTTGTCACCGAAACAGGCTGCCTGCCAGGAGTACATCTGTAAAATGAACTCTAACACAGGGCAGCTTTTAAAGCGCAGGTTTCGACAAGCTTTTGCACATGAGAGCAATTTTGCCAAGTTGATTTGTTATTTTGCGAGTATAAAAAAACATTATTTTTGCAGCAGGTGTGGATGGTCAGCCATAGATTTAAAAAGGGAAAGAACAGCATCTGAAACCAGAATGTTATTTTTCTCCCTCTCCAAGGAAAAAGCAGAGTCAAGTCAAGCAAGTTAAAAATTTAATGATGTGATATCCTGTTCTTACCAATCAGGTGTAGGGAGGAGGAGTGTCCCAAAGGTTAGCAGCCTGAAAGTCATCGGCACTGGGGTGGGGAGGTCCTGAGCAAGGGCACCAAGGATGTTCTTGGACAGCTTGAGGCAGTGGCTTTTTACCAACGAATACAAAGGAAATTCAGGCTTTTAACACCTAGCATGGCTACTCTGGCTGTAGGGACTTGACACATACATGGGCAAGACCTAGGACTTACATCACAATATAAGCATGAGTGACTTAAAAAGGAAATCTTATGAACTCTCCTGAAGTGTAATCAATGCTTGCTAGATTTGACTCATTCAATTATGTATTTTTAAAAATGTAATATTAAAACATGTAAAAATGGGGATGAGGTTTAGAATTATGGACGCAGTTCCTCCATCAGTCATGTTTCCTCCTCACACACATACAAAATAAATTCTATTACCAATTTTTTTCTAACATTTCTAAAGGGAAGATAAAAACCTCAGAGTGAGATGCTAAATCTGGATGGTGGTGGTTCCCCTTTTCTTCTATGGTATAAAAATGTTGGCAGGCACACAGGAACCCAGGAAGAAAGAAGTAAGGATCCTATTAGCCCTCTTCATTCTAGAGGAGTTTGCACAACATGTCTAAATCTTGGCACAGCCACAGTTCAGACTTTAAACAAGGGGCTTCTAATAATTCCCTTCATCAGTGTTTGTTTTGATGTATTTATCAGCTAGCAGTGTCACAGCAGATGCACTGTTAGCCAATTCTTTTTTAATGATGTTGCCACCTGTCACTAAATTTTTTGTGAGTTTATGAGATGAATGAATGTCCTGAACCTGGCTGCAAGGTAAATATCTCATGTATCTCATGACATGCACTCTAAGGACCTTTACACGGATATAGCATAATGTATGTTTACGCTTCACTGGCCGTTTACAAGGTCACATGATACCAGGAGACAACCCCTAGCAGTCACAGGCATGTCATCTTCAAGAAGCAGTAACATATGACAAATGTGCCACACCATTTCACTAGCAACCATGCTGTGTGTGGTATTCCCTACTGTAAAGACAAGAATAAATCAAAGGAGCCAAAAGCTCCTTTCAGAGTTAATGGGACTATCAAATCACACAAGTAATACGGGGAGATGAAGAACTTCTCAGTGAGGATGTCTGTTATAAAGGTTCTTGCAGAAATAATATCTTTCCAGGTCACATTTCCCAATCAAGGTTTTTTGTTTTGTTTTGTTTTGAGATGGAGACTTGCTCTGTCGCCCAGTCTGGAGTGCAGTGGTGCAATCTCAGCTCACTGCAAGCTCCACCTCCCAGGTTCACACCATTCTCCTGCCTCAGCCTCCCGAGTCGCTGGGACTACAGGCGCCCGCCACCATGCCCGGCTAATTTTTTTGTATTTTTAGTAGAGATGGGGTTTCACTGTGTTAGCCAGGATGGTCTCGATCTCCTGACCTTGTGATCCGCCCGCCTCAGCCTCCCAGAGTGCTGGGATTACAGGTGTGAGCCACCACGCCCAGCCCAATCAAGGTTAAAAGGCTGCTTGTGTATTAGCATACCAGATATTTTAGCATCCAAAGTCAGGCATAATCTTACGTGTTCTGGACATGGATAAAGTGTCATGTTCATGTGGCAACTATACAATTAGTTTTATATTTTTATAAATACCATTTATATAATTCATTTTATATTTATATTTCATCTCTCTTCGTAGTTGTAAAGATCTGACATTGATGAAGTCAACTTTTAGAGAAAACCGGAGCCCTTATCGGCAGGAGTGCAGCTGGTAATTGTGTTAACCAAGGCCTTTCATTCCTAGAAGCATTATGCCAGTTCATGTCAGAACCCATTTGGAGTTAAGTTTAACATGCACCTAGTTGTGTAGCACAGGACTCTCCTTCCTTTGAGGAAGTTTGAATATTCCTGAAGGATCCGTATAACAGGAGGAAGTGGACCAGGGATGAACAGAGGAACCAATACTTTTATTTTCAAACTCACAGGTAGTTGTAGGCACTGATCTCATTTAATTCTCACCCAGTCCTACGAGATAGATTGCATCTTGAAGATGTGGAAAGTAAGGTACAGAAAGGAGAAATAATTTGCCCCAGAGGTCACCTGGTCCAATATAGGCTGGACTGAAAACACATCTGCCTGACACTGAAGACTGAGCATTTTTTTCATCACAAATGCTGTTTGCTCTCACTTTAAAGTCATTTCTGTAGGATGATGGGGATTGAGGGCTTAGAGGGAGGTGGGGACATCTCTTTTGGCTCCATGTCCTGCTGAAGGTTGGTAGACACTGTAGGTCTAATCAATTGAAAATGTGAAAATACTCTAATATTTGATTGCAGGAATTTTACTTCAAACTGTAGCCATAAAATTGGCCACAGTGCCAAGCATCTATCCCTCGGTAATTTTCCCCAGAATAAAATTACATAGGATTAGATCAGAGGTAAAGTGATCCAAGGAGGAGCTGAGATAGGGCAGACCCTGAGAGGCACAAAATGTTCTCTGCTCCAGGTCCTCCTCATCACTGATTCTCCTTCTCAATATGAAGCTGGCTTCCATGTGCTACTGGCTGCAGCTAATGACATTTAAATAATAAAGAAACCTCTTTGCTGTTAAATTAGGGCATTTTGTTTTCTTTGTTAGCAAGAGAAATTGCTGCAGAATTGTAATCTTTGCAGAAAGACTTCTGTACACTCAACACGTGAGTAAACAGCTGAAGTCATTTTTAAAAATGTCCAGTAGCTACACAGCAGTGAACAGACACAGTACACCAGGACCAATTTTTGACTAGAAGGAAAAATTATACTCTTCAAAGCCTCCCATTTGGTGGCAGTCATGATCATTAGTGAAAGCAATGTCTATTTAAAAGCAGAAAATGGCTATTTCCAAACAGAATGGAGTGGCATGCAAAGAATGCTCCATCCCACTCAAACATCCCCAGGCTCTCCAGAGAATCATTCTGCTCTGTCATGTTAACTCACTTCCTTCTTTATTTTTCCTCTTTTTCTTCCCTGCTGAATATTTTCTTCTAAAATCAAATTAAATACCAATAGTAAATGTGTACAGTAATTACTTCAGAAAAGCAAAATAATCAGACTCCAGAGATGATATAAAACTTGCATTTTTCATACGAAAGACTAAGAGCCCAGACGGAATTGTGAGAAAGTTCCAAGAGGGTTCTAGTACCTGAAGCTGCTGTTCAGGTAACTATTTTGTGGAGTCATCAATGCACAGTAAAGTAATATGACTTGAAAAAAGTACCTTCCCATCTGTGTTCCATCTCTCTTCTCAAGTCTCTTTTCTCTGAGATCTCCAGTGAATACTACTCCTTATAATAGTGATAAATGTGTCAAGGTGGGAAATAACTATTAGGTCTCTCTTCTCTTTGGCAAAAATAGAACAAAAGGCAATATGGAAAATTTCAGAGTCTGACTCAACATGATGATGATGATAATTCTATAGATATTAACAAAAATGTCATGGATCATTTATTTTGAACATGAGTTTTTAAAGAAGAGTAGATTATTCAAATAAGATTTAATGTAT
Organism: Homo sapiens; assembly: GCF_000001405.40. Taxonomy (NCBI): domain Eukaryota; kingdom Metazoa; phylum Chordata; class Mammalia; order Primates; family Hominidae; genus Homo; species Homo sapiens. Next base: position 33,506,334 of record NC_000015.10, on the reverse strand, counting down.
TGGTTTCTACATGTTGTAACTTATAAATGGCTTCTGAAATATATAATTATATTAAACAAACTTCTGCTATAACATGCTTGGTAATTAAGGTAGGTCTTATTCATATATTCTAAAATGAAGAGCTCAATTTTATTAAAGTGCGTCCCTCCATTCTACTTGGAACATGAATGATTACTTATTCCCCTTAAGACAAACCAAGTTAAGACTATTAAGTTCTTTGCAACAAGGAAAAACCAGAACTTTTGAATTTACTTTCTCATCTATAGGACTCTGAACCACTCAAGCTAAATGATAAAGAAAAAGAAGTCCTTTGAAATATACTTTTACAACAAAACAGGATAAGAGATTAACCAAGAAATAATTCTCCAATTAACATAGTATGTCTTTGTCTTCTTAATTTCTATCCTGAGACCATGGTAGGCTGGGTCTAGTTTGATACTGAAAGTGGTGATATTTAAAATCAACTAGGTCTCCCTCAGCAAAGATTTCTTTATATGATACATCTTGGAAAAAGAAGAGTGATCAATTAAAAAAAAGTTTCCCGGCCAGGCGTGGTGGCTCACACTTGTAATCCCAGCACTTTGGAAGGCCAAGGTGGGCAGATCACGAGGTCAGGAGATCAAGACCATCCTGGCTAACACGGTGAAACCCCATCTCTACTAAAAATACAAAAAAATTAGCCGGGCATGGTGGCGGGCGCCTGTAGTCCCAGCTACTCAGGAGGCTGAGGCAGGAGAATGGTGTGAACCTGGGAGGCGGAGCTTGCAGTGAGCAGAGATCTTACCACTGCACTCCAGCCTGGGCGACAGAGCAAGACTCCGTCTCAACAACAACAAAGTTTCCCTAAACTGGAAGTGTTTGAGAGTATGTGGAAGATATAAGATGCTGAGGTCAATGCAAGGAACAGGGAAATGAACCCAGACTGAGGAGAACATTAAATGAACAAAAATCTCACCTTTGTTAATGATCTAAGACACAAAGCAAACTATTCTCAGTTGTCTTACTAAAGCATACTGCTATAAATCAAAAGAGTGAAAAAACACAAATATTTGGTATTAAGGGGTTTAGAGATCTAATTCACAGAACACTGTGGCCCCAAGAGATTAGATGTACCCAAGATCACATTAAGGGCTGGAGGATGGCCGAAATGTAAACATCGATTCTCTTGATTCTATGGTCAATTGTCTCTTCTATTACAAATGAGACATGTCCGTATTATGTACAACTTCAAGCGAGAACAAACTGTGCTACTAGGTAACTGCAAACAGTTTCTACCCACAGACAGTGTACTCTCCAGTAGCGAAGAAAAAAGACTTGCAATGACAGTACAGAGTGATAAGAGCTATGACAGAAAAAGTACCTAATGTTGTCCCAGCAACAGACTTGTGGGGTCAGCAGAGGCTTCTCAACTCATCTAATAACTAAACTAGTTCCTTGAAGGATACGTAGGGATTACATAAGGGAAGTGAGAGAGGAGGAGGGAAGCTGTTCCATGTGGAAGGAATAGGTGATATGCAGGATCAGAGGCAAAAGAGAACTGGCATGTTTGAGGCAGAGAGAGGAATTCGATGTCGCTGGGATACTGAGTACTTGGTGGGATGTGGTGAGAGATGGGGCAGGAAAGGTGAACAGGGCTCACCAACTCCTAAAGGGCTCTAAGCCATGTTTAGGAATTTGGAATTTATCTCAAAATAATGGGAAGACAAAGGATTTTAAAACAGGCAACTGTAATAATTGTATTTGCATTTTGGAAAGAACTGCTGAGTGGAAAAACGGGAGGAGGGGGTAAGTATAGGAGGAATCAAAGCAATTAATAGGCTGTTGCCGTAACCAAAAGGTAGAGGACAGTCATCTAATGGAGTATGGGGGATTGAGGATGGTGGAGAGAAATGGTTGAATTTGAGATATTCAGGCAGTAGAATTAAAGTATTTGATGACAAATATATAAAAATGAATGTGAGCCATTAGGAAAGGGAAGAGTCAAAAATTATTTTGAAATATCTGGCCAAAGTCTTGCCCAAAAGCCTTCTGACATAGGCAATATGGAGCTTGTCTCTTAGTTATAAGGATCATTTTACTGACAATGGAAACTCAAGACAATTCTGTACTTGCTCATCATCAGTGAAACCATCAAGTTCTGGACACATGTCAAAGACTCATAATTCTGTAGGAAATCATGTTTGAACTGTTGTAACTTGGTTGTGCTCCATTGGAGCAGTCCTAACTCCCCAGTGAGGTTTTTCCAAGGAAAAAGAAACTGCCTCACAGGCATGCTCAATCTCAAGACCCTCTCAGCCTCTCCACATTCGCTGGTGAATTCTGGGATAAGAGAGGGGAGTAGGCTTAACATCCTGTGCCTTGCTCATGCAGCATTAGTGGTGGTCCATTTTCTGGTGGAAGCTGATTAACTCAGAGGAAGCAGAAGTAGGGTTGCTGAATAACACCAACTCAACTCAGGGAGAAAGATTTACTATCTCCATATGAATCATCTCAACAGTCTTAAAATTTTTCAGTTCAAAGTTGGATGAAATGTAGAACGTATTTTGGGGATGTGGTGCACCCCAATCCCAACCTAGGACACAATTCGGGTACTCACCCCTTCGCCGCCATTTTCACCTGTGTTGGCAAGCATTTCCTGCAGGGCTCTGACAGATAGGGACTGTTCCAGCACAAAATTGCAGACGCAGAGATCTGGAGGAATGTACTGTGGAAATAAAATCAGAATGAGGATACCTACTCATATCAGTCAGAGATCAGTCACGCAACAACATCTCAAGGGCAAAGAGCCTATGAATCAAAATGACAGTTGGATGGATGAATAGGAATGCAAAAAGGTGGCTTTCTCCTGTTCAAGATGGGTTTTAAGCTGGTTTCTAAAGAATGGTAAGAAAAGCCCCATATATCAAGGGAATAGTTTCCAACATGTCAGGATCGACTTGAGGGAAGGCTGGTGGTTCATATGGAAGAACACAGATATAGCCTTGCCAAAGAAGGGAGAGGAAGGGAAGGCTGATCTACAGCCACGTCTGGGTGAGACCAGAGAAAGAAAGCCACTGGGATTTCATCCACGATAATCTGTAAAAGGGCAGTGGACAGACCATAATGTGGCTCTAGACAGTAGTGACCCTAATAGAGAATCCATTTATTTGTTAAGAAAACCTAGATAGAGTATAAAAAGAGGCCACAGAGGGGGTTAAGAGCTATATAAATATAGCATAATCAAAGGAATGTCCAGAACTTTAAGAATTGATGATCCCTATAACAATCATTCCAATTTATTAGAATCAGTTAACAGTGACCAGTTAACATCGTGACATTCATGCCTATTCTGGGACATTTCTTAACAGTTAAAGATAGCCTTCTTTGCATACTAACAGTAGCTAATATTTATTGAGTACTTTATGCCAGGTACTGTTCTAAGGGCTTTGCATAGGTTAACTCATTTAATCTTCACAACCATCCTATAAGAGAGGGACTATTAATATTCCAGTTTCTAGCCAAGGAAACGAAGGCACAGTGAGTTTAGGTCGCCTGCCCAAGGGTTACATTTGGCTGAGTCAGATACAAATCCAGACAGTCTGTCTCCAAAGTCCATGTGCTTAACCCTACACTGTTCCTGCCACTAAGAAAAATATTAAAGTTTTTCTTCACTGTGAGAACATTTTAGATCAGCAAATATTCAAATATTTCATTTACGTAGTGCTTGATATTGGAAAAGATACAAAGAAATACAAAGCAAAACCACTGCCTTTCTGGAGTTTACAATCCCATTTCAATGACACACCATTTTCCTTGAGAATACAGCTTGTGATCACCTGTGTACCAATCCTTTGTTTCCTACATGATATTGGCAGAACATCAATACCATGAGAACAACAGGAATGAGGAATGAGGGCCAGAAACTACCGACAGCCATGCCTAACACTTCAAAACAGGTAAAGCTGTTTCCATGGAGCTCCACTTTAAAAGCTAAACCAAGTCTGTTACTAAGGCTCCGACAACCTCTCTAACTTCAGCATTTAGTTTTAAAATAAAAATAATGGAATTGACCATCTTTAAGTTCCCTTTAATTTCTGAGTGTTTATTCTTCCTCCCCTCCCAACTGCAACATTCTCAAAAATAAGATAATCGGCCTGCTGGACCTGCCTACAATTTTCCTTTATTAAAGTTTTAAGCCAGTAATGGACAATCCTATTCCAAAGGCTACTGGCTCTGGGTGACGTACATTTTCAAGTACTTTTCTACTAAGGATTTGAGGGAGTACTTTTCTACTTAAATACTTTTCTACTCAAGGTCTCTATGCTGAGAAATCCTAAAAACCTAGTCTTAGAATTCTGGCAATACAGGAATTTGCCCAATCCTTTTTTATTAAAACCATTAACTAAGAAGAGATTGTAACAGAGGAGGATTACCGCCTTTATTTTGTGTTGCTCCCTTTGTTTTCAAAGTCTGTTCCCAAAGCAGGTAATTAACTTATTTGTATGGGACTTGAGCAAGCAGGCAGCTGGTGATGCAGGGCAGAGCTTCATGTCCAGGAAATGTTTGTACAGTACATACAGCATTATTACAAATAGCATACAATTATATGATAAAGCATTTCCTTAAGACCTTATACCATAAACATATATTGTCTAACTTAGCCTTCCAAAATATGATGCCATCTCAGGAGATTTTATAGAGATTTTTCTACCACTCTGCCTACCTGAATTTCATGTTCCCAGAACAGGAAGCATAAAAGCCATAGTTTGCTTGTTTCTTCCTCTTCCAATTCATCAGAATGAATGATTTGGAGATTTCCCATTGAAGAATGTCTGCAGTTATGGTTGGCCCTTTAAAGTCTGCTTTAAAGTTTAATTTGGCAAATTAAATGGTCACAACATTAATGCCCACTTTTACAATAACATATTCAGTCTATTCTCTTTAAGACAGAAACCCTCATAGCTCCAAATGCTAAAGATTCTGCCCTTACATGACATCATGTAATTCTAAGTCAGCTTGCTTTCCTTCCTGTGTCTGGTTTGAGACAGGAGACAGGAGCTCTCCTTGTCTCTGCCATCAGCCATTTTGAAGGAGAAGCACTAATAGATAATAGGGACACTAGGCATGCTATGATTATAGCTGTCCTTTCAGTCCAGGTATTGAAAGTCCCCAGGTGCTCACAATTTCATTACTGGTTTGAATGGGTATATTTAAACAGGACAATAGTGTGCATGGAGAGGAAGCCTCTCAAATGGGAGCACTGTACCTGCCACTAGTTTACAGAGTTTCCTGGCAGCTTAGTTTCTGTACCTCTGGTGTGTGGTCCCTGCCTGGACTCTCTGTACTTGGAAATAAGAGCATGCCACTCCAACAGCACCCAAAACAATGTGTGGGCAGTGGTAAGGGAGGGAACAGAGCAACTGGAATGTCTGGAGAAAAACAAAACAACGAAAAACTTGTGACATGAATGGAGCACAGAGCCATCTGACCTGCTATGCCAGCTGCCATCCTTAATTAAACTCCAAACTGGCCTGAACTCCCACCTCCACACTCCTGATGAATGAGCAAAGGCCACTCGTCCATTAAAGCTAATTTGTTTGTAGCCATGAGAGTCCCCTAGGAGGCCAGCTCATTGTGTCTGTGCTGTGGAACCTGTGGCCTCAGTCACTCTACCTGGCAGGCACGGGGCAAGTGTTTGATGACTCTCAGCATGGAGAGAAGGGCTCTGTTGACATCTGTTCTGAAATAGCTCCTCATCACTCTCCCCAAGCCCTGCCCTGAACCTAGAGAAGCACTACATTTCCAAATGTCCTACAGGAAACCTTGAGAGGCCAGGGCCCTGGATAAGCCAGGAACTAGGATTCACTTAGCCTCACTATGTGGAAAACAGTAGGAGGCAAGGTCTATATATCCTCCATGCTCCATAAATCTATATAATGGCATATTTTTCTGGGGCTTATTGAATCCTGGCTAGTAGGAATCTGCTGCCCCTGTTTTGTAGTCATTTAGCATTTCTCTATCTGGCAATCCACAACATTCACTTCGCACTGTGCTAGCATACACTAGCCAAGCCCTCAGGGAAATGAGGTAGGGAGTTAATTACACAAAGGAAGACCATCACCTCTCTCCGTTGTACTGTTAACTGCAGTCTGTTTTGGCTTATATCGTTCTTGATGCATTGAGGTTTGTCTGTTTCACCAGACTGTGGGTCCCTTGAAAGAATCTGTGCCTTATTCTATTGTTGGTATCCCAAGTACATAGAATAGTAAGCACCCAACTCAAGTCTTCTTGAACAGATCCTGTGTCCTTCAAGACTATCATCCAGGAGTGTGGTGCTGATTATGGCTGTGGCTGTAGACAGATTGCAATGACTCCTCAAGTCTCCTGCCTGTTATTCAACACGTCTTTCTTCTCCCCGTGGTCACGAGCCCCTGTCTCTTCTCTGTTAATCCATCTGGTTCATACACAGTCATGCCTCAGTGATACACCTTGTAGGTGTGTCAATGGCTCTGAAGGCACCATAGGGGATACCAGTGAAGAGTGAACACTATAGTGTAGGACTACCTGAAGTCAAATCTCTGATCGACTATTCGCTAGCTGAATGACATTATGCAGGTAACTTAGTTTCTGTTACACATGCCTTTGTTTCCTTATCTGTATAATGGAGATATAATAGTACCTACTTCTCAAAATAAACTAAGGTTTTTTACTTAAACAGCTTAAAATAGGATCTGATGTGTACAGTAAATATTTAACAAATGTCAAGCATATCCAAAAAACAGCAATGAAATCAAAACTCAGTAACTCACTTATATGTTCACTAATATATTTTTGAAGTTCTTATTTGTATAAAAATAAGGCAAAATCCCTGCCTTACAGGATTGTGTGATTTAGTGGAATGTCAGTGAAGCAAATGAATAATTTTTGAAGTATGAGACAAAAGGCCCAGAGGTAAGAAAACATGTGAGGAAGCACACAGAGTTGAGGATGTCTGGAATGGAGAGGAGAGAAGGAGACAGAGGGGAAGAAAGAGTGGCAGGAGGGAGGAGGGGGAGGAGGGAGAGATGGGGAGAAAAGGATGGAAGACAGGGAGGGAAATGGAGCGAAAAGAGGTAAAGAGGGGTAGAAAATGGGAGAGAGGAGGAGAGGCAGGGAGAGGAAGGGGAGGGAGAGAGAGGGAGGGGAGTAAGCATGGGGAGGTTAGAAGTGAGGCTGAGGAAGAAGTAGGTATTAGACTGGGTCTTGGGTACTCTTGCCAAGGAGGAGTTTGGGCTTCATTTTCAGAGAATAGGGTGCCATTAGAGCAAGTTATGTAGGAAATGATATAATCAAATTTGCATCTTTGAAAGAATTGCAGGTCCAGTGTTAAGAAGGCTAAACGGATTTTTGACAAAGGCATTAAGAACATACCCTGGGGAAAGAACAGTCTCTTCAACAAATGGTGCTGAGAAAACTGAACGTGCATATGCTGAAGAATGAAACAATACCCCACACACACCATATACAAAAATCAACTCAAAATGGATTAAAAACTTAAATGCAAGACTGGAAATTATAAAACTGTTGGAAGAAGACATCTAAAAATGATTCAGGACATTGGTGTGGACAAATATTTTATGAATAAGAAAGATCTCAAAAACACAGGCAACAAAACAAAAATAAATAGGATTATATCAAAAAAGCTTGTGCACAGAAAAGGAAACAACAGAGTAAAGAGACGGCCTGCAGGATGGGAGAAAATATTTGCAAACTATTCATCCAACAAGGAATTAATATCTAGAATATACAAGGAACTCAAACAACTAAACAGCCCCCTCCCCACCCCGCCAAAAAAACTCAACTACAAAATGAGCACATGGTCTGAATAAACATTTCTCAAAAGAAGACACAGAAGTGGGCAATAGGTATTTGAAAAATGCTCATATCACTAATCAGGGAAATGCAAATCAAAGCCACAATGATAGTAGTCCAGTTAAGATGCCTACTATCAAGATGACAAAAAATCACGAATGCTGATGAGGATGCATAGAAGAGAAAACTCTTATACACTGTTGGTGGGAATGTAAATTAGTATAGCTATTATGCAAAACAGTATGGAGGGTCCTTAAAACACAACTACCATATGATCCAGCAATCCCACTACTGAACAGAAAATGAAATCAGTATATTGAAGAGATATCTGCACTCCCATGCTTATTGCATATTACATAGCAAAGATATGGAATCAATCTGTGTTCATCAACAAATAAATGGATAAAGAAAATGTGGCACATATGTATAATGGAGTATTATTCAGCCATAAAAAAGATTAAAATCCTGTCATTCGTGGCAACATGGGTGAGTCTGGAGGACATTATGTTAAGTGAAATAAGCTAGGCACAAAAAGAAAAATACTGCATATTCTCACTCACATGTGGAATTAAAAGAAGTTGATCTCATAGATGTAGAGAGAGTAGAATGGTGGTTACTAGAGGCTGGGAAGGGGTGGGGAGAGGGAGGCTGGTTAATGGATGTAAAATTGCAGCTAGCCAGGAATAATAAATTCTAGTGTTCTATAGCACTTAGGGTGACTATGGTTAACAATAATTTAATGTATATTTTAAAATAGCCACAAGAGCAGATTTTGAATGTTTCTAACACAAAGAAATGATAAAGGTTTGAGGCTATAGATGTGCTAATTAGCCTGATTTGATCCTTACATATTGTATATATCAATCAAAACATCACACTGTACCCCATAAAATATGTACAATTCTTATGTGCCAATTTTAAAAAGACAGATAAAGAGGGCTAGGCTGAAGCAGAGAGATAAATTAGGAGGTTTTGCAGTCAACTGGGTAAGAGGTGACAACGGCCTAAATTAAAGTAGCAGCAGCAGGAATAGAGATAAGGGAATGGATTTTTAAAATCTTGAGAAGTTAGAGATGAAGCCTGGTGACTAACTGGATATGGGAGATGATGGAGCAAGAGTGGGAGATGAGCAGGTTTCTACTGGATGGGACAGAAAGCAAAAAGGACAGGACTCAGCAAGAACAAGTCATGGCAAGTGTCAGAAAGACCATGTAGACAGCATTTAACTTGGCAGATAGCCCACTGGGACCTCTCATTTGGGCCAACAGAAAGGTGACAGGAAAGCGGAGAAATTTCTGTGGTGATGTATGGGTATCTCTGCAGATGTCAGCAGAGGCAGGCTCCTCTGGGAGAAGAGGAGGAATCTGGGGAATTAACGCGTATTCTCCACAAAAGGAGAATTAGTGGAGGCTGGGCAACCAGAGTCAGCCCAATTAACCTCACTGTCCTTTCCCGTATTAGCCATGCAGGTAGTCAGTCCTTAGAGAAGGAAACAATGTACATTCGTTCCTGTACCAGCTGCTCTGGGGACAAACAAACGAAGTAAGGCATGGTTTCTGTCCTTCAAGGAATTTTTTTTTTACCTATTTGAAGAAACAGATCTACTGTACACGAGACTTTATAAAAACATTACAAAAAAAGGAAATTCAATGCTAAATTGAGAGGTTTGGCATATAAAGTTGTGCAGGAACTTTCCCAGGGATGATGTGATTAGGCAGGTACACCCAGGCAAGAGCTTGGCCTGAGGGGTGAAGACGATTTATTCATATATGGGCAAGAAGGAGTTCCTGCACATAGTAAGATCTCAAATTTTTGTTTAATGAATGATCCAAATGGGAGAGTTATTCTTTCCATTTTTTGTATTGTGTGTGTGCATTCTTCCCTTCTGTTTAAAATTTCATTAATTGAAGTAGCATTCTAAAATTACAGGCTTTACAGAATCTGTCCTTGTCTCCCCCCTTTGCTTTTTCTCTCATCTCCTCAAAGAAAAAGAGCGCATATATGAGGATGTCATGAATGAGGAATGGGTGTGAGCAAAGGAAAGAAAAAGTAGTACACCACTGCATCAGGCCTTCAATTTCCCCCTTTATGCTCTATTCATGCTACCTGAGACTGCCTCGTTCAGGAATAAATATGGGTGGTGTTCACTGTCGTGGCTCTAGATTTCAGATTGTGTAGACACAGAGTCTACTTCTCCAGGGGCATTATGTCTGCTGGTAGAAGGTGGAGATGAACTCGGTCCCCAGTGGCCTGGCTTCTATATGCATTGCATTTGCTCCGTGACACCACATCACCTCAAACAGGGCTGACTGCCATCTCCCTATGATGGTTTTATATAGTCCTACTCAAAGACATGGATGAGAAGACTTCTCAAGCTCTCCTAGGCAGAAAACCACTATCGCCTCTAGAAAATGTCCCAGGTCAACCAGGCCTCATGGGGTACAGTGGAACTGGATAAGACCACGTTTTCATGGGACAGCATCAGGATAGGTGGAGACGGTGTGTGTAGTTTGTATTTCAGGACCTTTGAGCACTTTAAAGACATTATCTCATCAACCTACAGCAAACCTGAGCTCACTTACAGACTTCCAATCAATTATCGATAACACATAATTATTTGCATTGTAGTTATACTTCAAAGGTGAAGCCAGTCATTAATATCTATACCTCATCTTAACCAGATTTTATTTATGTATTTGTGCAGTTAAATGCTTTTTAAGCCTACCTTTGTGACCTCTGGAAAGTTGTTGATAGTTTATAATGGAGAAAGTTACACGGTGAATGTTTAAATCTGATGCTGTTGGCTACTCTCTGGATTTCTACAAAAATAATCAATGGCTGTACAACCATATTAGAGGTGAGTCAATTGAAATACAAAGGAACTAGGTAAAACTTATATGGGCAAGTAGAGAAAGAAGAATAGAATCCATATATACATTTTAAATGTATCCATGAAACTATCTATACAATTGTACCAGGCATTGCACTAAGATGCTTTATAAATACTATGTCATCTATCCCTTACACCAGTGCTTTTAGAGAAGACATTTTAAGCCATTTTGCAGGTGAGAAAGACTCAGAAAGACTGAAACACTTCCCCACAATCACACCGCTGGGATGAACATTTAAACCCTAAATTTCACACCCAACTCTTTCTGACTCATACTGCATCAATATCCCTGGAGATAGAGTTCCCATTCCCATGCCTATCCCAAGGTTGTACAATTCTAATCCCACTAGGCTACCTACCTCCCAACTCTTATGCCTTAAATGAAAGTTAAGGACTTTATACCCCGTTATTGAGTGTACCTCAGAAAGCATTCTCTATTTTGGAATAATCTTTGAGAATGTAAAGACTATGGACTGAAGTTACTGGGACTATCAGGGCTCAAGAGCTCATAAAATCTATATTTTATAAACTTAGGCAGGTGGGAATATTTTCATTTTATGCAGTTCTAAAAATCTGAGACTGACTCACCATATAAGCTTTTTCTTCCAAAACGCAATTTAACTCTGGGGATGATGGTGCAAGTTTCAATTATGGACCACATGTGTGATTTTAAATGTGTATATATTCAGATTTTAAAGATTTTGAGAAAAGAGAGCTTGCCTGTTTGTGTTAAGAGCTGTTATTATAAAATAAAGTTAAAATGCATAAACCTTTCTTAAATTAAAAAGGTATTTTGCTATGGTAAAAGATGGAAAGTTCTTCTGAAGAAAACTATAGAAGCTATTCACAACATTTGAGCTATAATGTTGTTTAGACACTGCTAACAAAAGCAATTATATGTACACAGTAAGATGCAGAAAATTTAAACTTATAGCTGGAAAATATTCTTTTTTCTGGGAGGTGGGGAGGAAGATGTCAGTATCTTTTAAAAGAAGGAAGTAAAGAAAACCCCTTCTAATGTCTGAGGAATAAACCACAGAAATGCAATACTTTCAGCACAAAGACTCTCTCTAGGTGCTTCTTCATTCTAGGGATGAGTGAGCTGCCCCAAGAGAACTGACAGTGGTGGAAAAACACTATCATAGCACCAGGAGACTTCTAAAGCAGAAGCACTTGCAGCCATGAGCAGAATGATTGCTGTTTCTAGGCACTGTGCTGGCCTGAGGTTTACTCCAACACAAGGAATATTAAGAAGGAAAATGTTGGAATAAGTTGATCATGTGCAAGGAAATTGGAGAAGGTTATCAAATTTATTTATTGAATAGAATAAAAAGCTCATTCTAGAAAGCTTAAATATTTACTTAAGAAAAACGCTTGCTGAAGCTTTTCTTATGTAAGGGAGGCATCACCACTGCCTAGAAGCAGAGAATCCAAATTGCAGGACAAATATCCTTTGACAAAAGACTTGCTGAGAAATGCTAATCTAATGTGATAAAGAGCTAAAAAAAAAAATAGCCACAATCACTGTTTCTTTGCCTATTCCTCAAAGGCCCAGATATATAGCTATTAATTGACATTGATCAACAGATCCATTAAAGTCTAGCCTCTCTTGGAGGAAGGTTTAGTAACTCAAGTGAGAACAACACTTGCATCAATTATCAATATCATCATCATCATCATCATCATCATTATTATTTTGAGACAAGGTCTCTCTCTGTTGCCTAAGTTGAACTCCAATTCCTAGGCTCAAGAGACTCTCCCGCCTCAGCCTCTTAAAGAGCTGGGACTACTAGTGTGTGCCACAGCACCCAGCTAATTATTCTTTTGGTGGTGCTCAGAGATTTCTCACAAGAGCTAAAACAGATATGTATAAGCTTGTTCTGGAAGGATTAATGCAGAAATACGGTGAGCCAAGAAACTCCTGAGCAGGACTGGCAAAATTTCATATTCCAGTTTTTCCCTCTGCCTGGCAGCACATGGTCGGCATGTTACAAAGCTAAGGTGCCAATAGGTGAAAAGTTGGAACCCTTGCACCTGGAAAAACAAGTTGTGTTGATGAGTAGCAACTAATACCTACTGTTGATGGACAGAAATACCTGAAACACTGACTCTTTATATGGTCATAAAAATATACAGCCATAAATAAGCAACCACTTAATGAGTAGCACAGGTACTACAATGAGCTGTGGAAACTTAATGGGAACGTAACAATCCCTGGAATTCTAGCTTTCAATGGATGCTGTGATGAGAAACCATGAAGATGTTATTCCAAAGAGCTTGCATATCAGAAAAATAGCAGAGGCCAGGAGAGAGAAAAGGCAGAATGTCAAACGGGAGATAAAAATCAACCACAGTGTCCCATCGATAAGTTAGGGATGTAAGCATCGGCAGGGGGAGGAAGGCAGGGTACATGATGGTGCAGCTAAGATGAGGTAGGATCGGCAGAAACAGAGAGATGGGGTGAAGATTGAGGGGAGAGGGGAGAAGGAAGGTCTAAGTCTCGAGCTAATGTTCAGGTTTTTGTCTCAAATTTTGTTTCACTGTACTTTTGGTGGGAAGAACACAAATGAGCTTTGCCTCTCCCATGTATTCCTTTCCCATTCCACTTACACCCTCCTCCCTCTGGAATGATGATATAGTTGCTACAGAATTTACAAACCATGGAGAGGCTGTTCTCTATTACCAAGGCAGTGGTATCCAGCAGCTGCAGGATGGGAGAATCTGTGTCTCTTGGCCTTTTCATTGCATGACAGGAAGCGGAACACTGAGAAAAGCATTGTTAAGCGCCCACGAGAGCTGAGGAAATGCCAAACTGGAACTGAAGGCTGACAGACAGAACAGAGACAGAGTAGCCAGAGGTGGGGCTGTCTCCTCAGGTGCAATCGGCATCAGCATCATTTATCACTTTGGGAGCACCTCTAGCGTACTGGGTCCTGCCTTGACTGCAGTATTAGCTGCATGCAGTTCATGGACCCAGGATGGGAAGTGAACACAAAGCTCAGGGCAATGAAAGCCAAGGAAAACAGCTCGGCTTCCAAATGTTTTTGAGATTTTTCCCCAATGCCTTCTTCCTACTCTCAAACTGAATCCAAATTCCAATGTGGACATGTAGTTTTTATTTTTTGCTCCTACATGGCATTTTTTTTTTTTGCTTTGAGAGAAATAATATCTCTAGAAACCAAATTCTAGATTTAAAAAATAATTAGCAGCAGTACATGGACAGATATTCAAAAATGTTTGTGGAAAATACCTTTTCAAAAACCTTTGTGGAAATAAATGTTATAAATATTTTTCTCCAAAATGGAAAAAGTTCTTGTATCTCTCCACAGAGAACTAGATCCCATCCCCTCCAACTGTCTCATACTACCTGAGCTGAACCACCACCACTAGATGTTTACATCTGCAAGGATTTGTACTATACATCCCCACTGCAAGAAAGCACGTAACACTCATCACAGACACTTAAAAATATATACACTGGGCATGGATTTAGCACTGCCAGTCAGATCCTGCAGGAGTTAAAATGTTCACTTATCAGTTTTTGAATAGAATGGTAATAGAAAGACCTATCCCCTCCTCAGGCCATATCTTCTTCAATCATGTCATCCTTACCAGGAAGAACTGTAAGTATGGAGGTTGGGTAAAATGAAAGTGTTCATTGAACTGTGGTGATCTATTGGATCTCCTTCTCCCCAAATCTTTCCTGGTTGAAGTCATTGACATCTTTCACCCAGGGCATGAGCTGTCTCTGATAAACACAGGGAAACCATTAGGAGACTCAGTCTCCTCCTACTTGAATTCAACCCATCACTCAGTATCTGGGGGGACTGGCCAGGAAATACCACGTCTAATGCTACATCTGTCCAACCATCCAAGTTCACATGACTGGGCTTTCATCTTGAGCTCCCTTCCTCCGCTTTGCTGAGTAATTAACCAGGGTTACTGAGGTTCTGCATCAACAATGAAGACAGGGAAGGGGTGCTGCATGACAAATTATGGCCTTTCTTTTTCCCTCCTGGATAACTAAGAGTTATCTCCAATACATAATGGTTGAGTTCACTTGGCAACACTAGGCAGAATGAATGCATTGATAGAAACTGATGGAGCAATGCCACACCTCAAAAAGCAAAGTCCTTGCTCACAGCGACCTAAGCAAGGTCTGTCAGACCCCATGAAGATAAATGCTTCAGATTAGCCACTTGCTTTCCTGTGGCATTCATCCTTATGTTCTTAGTGAACTAGACACAGATGAAAGCCATGTTTGGCTGCCTATTAAACTTGTATATTTTGGAAAGGAAGCAAGTCTATCTATTACTATAGCAACCGGAAACCTAGGACAGAATGTGGGTAAGTTTGAATGTGCTGCTAATGAAGTCGAGATCATAGCTTTGCTTTATTTTGTGATGACACCAGCACTCCTAACCTGGCTAAGTAGCTAGCTCCTTTGTCACTGAAGATATTAGTCAAATGACGAAACTGGTGTATAAGGTCAATGACTGCAAATTCAGCCCCACCAACAATTTCTCAAAGTGCAGGCTGTAGACCACCTGCATAAGAATTGTTGGCAGTTTATTTTTTTAAAAAAAGCTAGTTCCTGGCCCCATCCAATACAAAAATGAGAACTGATGGATATGTTCATTCAAGATGGGAACCACCACCCTTCAAAGAGAACTCCGTGCCAAGCCCCATGGATACTGGCCAGGCTTATCTTTATGGAGAAGCATTCTTGACACAATTTGCCAAGGAAATTGAGTAGTGAGCAAAACCACAGGGCTCATTTTTCAAGTCAAAAATTGACCAGAGAAGGTTGTAAAAATTCTCATAAACATCAAAAAGTTCTCATCTTTCTTGACTCTTTTTTTTTTTTTTTAACAAGAGTAATACTCTTTAGCTGTTTACTTGAAATTTTCTGAAGGATAATATTAAGCCTTCCTCTGTTCACTCCATTTCACAGCTTGTATTAAATTCTAAAAGCTCTCTTCATCTTTAGGTAAAAGAAGTTAAATTGTTTGAACCTAAATGCCATGGCTTATTAGGGTAATAATTCAAATTTCAAGTCTGAAGTGACTACTCTTGGAATTGAAGAGGTGAGGCTGAGATCAATTATTCCACCCTCAGTACTATTAGGCAGTAGTGCACCTGAACCACCCCAAAGAGATGATATTCTGTTCTATTTTGAAGTAGAAATATCTTGGGATGTACAGTGAAGTATTAAAGTAGGGCTTAGAGCAAAGATCCTTCATGAAAATGCTCCAAGAAGAAACAGAGCATTAGGTCAAGAGTTTCTTAATTTTGTCAACTGCTCAGTGGCCCAAAGGCAGCTGTTTGAGAGAGGCTTACAAACAGCTTTCTTGTACCAATTGTTCTCATCCTCTAAAAGCTTTGGATAAAGCTCAGTTAAATGGAAGAAAAGTGATTTGAAGACATTCTTATAGAGAAAGCAGCAAAATCCTGGAATGCCTTGAGTTAGGAACACTTTGTAATCATTCCCTGAAATAATTTAGATGAAGAAAAACAAATTCCCAAGGGTGTTTTGTTAATAAATTATTTAAAAATCAACTATTTGCTCTATTATCAGGAAGTTAAGAATAAAAAAGTTTTTTGTTTGCAAATGGTTCAAAATGGTTCAGTTCATAGAGTTTGGTCAGGTCATTATTTAAAAAGAATGAAACTTTAAGGAATGAATGGGCAAATGAGGTTCCATCTCACCATCTCAGTCAGAACGGCCATTATTAAAAAGTTAAAAAACAACAGATGCTGGTGAGGGTGCAGAGAAAGAGGAATACTTACACACCGTTGGTGGTAGTATAAATTAGTTCAACTGTTGTGGAAAGCAGCATGGTGATGTCTCAGCTAAAAGCAGAACCACCATTCGACCCAGCAATCCCATTACTGGGTACATACCTAGAGGAATAGAAATCATTCTAGAATGTTCTATTCCACATGAATATTCATTGTAGCACTATTCACAATAGTAAAGATATGGAATCAACCTAAATGCTCACCATGGCAGATTGGATAAAGAAAATGTGGTACTCATACACCATGGAATACTATGCAGCCATAAAAAAGAGCGATGTTACGTCTTTTGTGGGAACATGGATGGAGCTGGAGGCTAATATCCTCAGTAAACTAATGCAGGAAAAGCAAATCAAATACTTGATGTTCTCACTTAAAAGTGGGAGCTAAATGGTGAGAGCTTATGAGCACAAAGAAGGAAACAACAGACATGGGTCTACTTGAGGGCGAAAGGTGGGAGGAGGGAGAGGAGCAGAAAAAATAACTACTGGGCACTGGGCTTAATACCTGGATGATGAAATACTCTGTACAACAAACCCTTGTGACACAAGTTTACCTATGTAACAAACCTTCAAGTGTACCCCTGAACTTAAAAGTTAAAAAAATAAGGAACATAAAGCTGTCGATGTAAATGTCTGAAAATCTTAATTTCTAAAAAAAATTGTAGGCATTTCCTTCATAAAATATTTCCTCATGTGACAGGTAGCAAAATTCAGGCCTGAGAGGTCATTTTGCATAACATTTTACAGCAAGTTAGAAGGAGAGCAAAGCCAGATCTCTTGAATCACTACCCAAAACAGTAGTATGATTTGTGAATTATGAGCATGCACATAACTTCAAAATACAACACAAAAGGTCATAACCATGACTTAGGTTTTACCTCCTGGTTTGAAAATATCCATGAAGAATCAAGATGACAGATGTAACATGACTTGGGTTTTTGTTTGTTTGTTTGTTTGTTTTTTGAGATAGAGTCTCGCTCGGTTGCTCAGGCTGGAGTGCAGTAGTGCAGTCTCGGCTCACTGCAACCCCCGCCTCCTGGGTTCAAGCGATTACCTGCCTCAGCCTCCCGAATAGCTGGAACTATAGGCACGTGTCACCATGCCTGGCTAATTTTTTGTATTTTTAGTAGAGACGGGGTTTCACCATGTTGGCCAGGATGGTCTCGATCTCCTGACCTTGTGATCTGCCCGCCTTGTCCTCCCAAGTGCTGGGATTACAGGCATCAGCCACCATGCCCGGCCATGACTTGGGTTCTTAAAAGTCAAGTTCTAACACAAACACAATATACCATTTTATTTCTTCTTCCATGTAAAAACAACACCTAGAAAAGAGATGTTCTAATCACAGAAAAAAAAAAAAAAAAGGCAAGACTGTGATCTAATTAGTAAGTTCAGGAGTCGGCGGAGGAAGAAAAAAAATACTGCTAATCGAGACCAAAATAGCAGCTATTAGGTCTAAAGAGCAAAGTACTAAGCGTGACAGAGGTGCCTATGTATGAATACCTATTCATAATTCACCTGGGGCCACTGGCCTGCTGTGAGCAAGTAAATGACAAATGAACAGCAGACTTATGGTGCTACTTTACACACTGAATAAATTCTTTGTGAAGATTCCCACCACTAAGGTACAGATTGCCTTTAAATAAGAAGAGGGGTTTGGTATTGCCTCAAGCAGATAAGTTATCAAGACAGCATTAATAACTCAAGTAGGAAGGAGGACAATATAGATGAGGAGAGATCTCAGAGTTAAAAGGTGGATGTTTTTTTCTTTTCTACTATGGGTTCAACAAATGACAAATACATTAATAAACTTGACATGTGTTGCACTTGACTTCTATGCTATTTCTTTAGATATCTATTTCCCTTCTCCATTCCTTGACTGTTAGAAATAGCAGAACGTGAGGAGCAATGTGGATGTAGAAACAGGAAGATAATTTCCTGAAAGAAAACAGTTCAGCTGCCAATCACGAAGAACTGGAATGTGGAGCCATGTTTTTCAGAATCTGAACATAGTTAGGATTGCATCCCAACCCTTCACCTTGAAGTTGCATATGGATGAATATGAAATGACCCTTTTTGTTCTGCCTGCATGTGACAGCAATAATCCCTGGCACAACAGGAACAACGGCCTGATGTAGGCTAGTTTCTCAATGCATAGTGCCCACCATGGTCCCCATAGAACCTCACCACAGGGCCAGCCCACCATATGTGCATAAGATTGAACATTCTTAGTGAACTCTGTTCACCCAAAATGTTGGGCAGCAAGGCTTGTACTTGTAAACAGGCACTCTGGTAGCTAAGATAAAAAAGAATGTCTAGGTCAAACAAAACGACTATCCAGCATCTATCTGCTACATGCCACTACATGCCCACCATGCTCCAGAAGACAGCAGGATTAAACCCAAAAGTCTCATGCCCTTGTTTTGTTTTCTTTCAGCAACTGCCACTATCTAAATCCTCTGCTGTATCATTTTTCCTCTTCTGTATTTTCATTTTCTTAGTTCTCTCACCCTCCATTCACCTAACTCAGCCTTTTGCCCATTCCAACCCTGCTGGAATGCCTACTCCGGGATCAATATGCTCAATCATCCACCTCACACTTTTTTTTTTTTCTTTGAGATGGAGTCTTGCTCTGTCACACAGGCTGGAGTGCAGTGGCATGATCTCAGCTCACTGCAACCTCCGCCTCCTGGGTTCAAGCCATTCTCATGCCTTGGCCTTCCAAGTAGCTGGGACTATAGATGCCCACCACCACACCTGGCTAATTTTTGTATTTTTAGTAGGTATGGGTTTTTGCCATGTTGGCCAGGGTGGTCTTGAACTCCTGGCCTCATGTGATCCATCTGCCTCGGCCTCTCAAAAGTCCTGGGATTACAGTCATGACCCACTGCGCCCAGCCATCCATCCCAAAGTTCTCCCTGGGCACCACTTCTCACTCTGAGCCTGAACAAATGAAACTCAGGTCCTCCCAAAGGACCCTGCTTCTCTTGGGGACTTCCTAATCACAGGATACTCATTCTCTCACCAAATAACTCAGGCTCACAAGGTGGGGCCTATGCACTTCTGCTGCTCAGCACTGGTTTTAGATCATTATTCTTCTACAAACTGTTAACTCTAAGATTTGCAAACCTGGCAACATCACCCTCTACTCCCCTCCTCTTTGATGTTTGTGTACTTTGACCTATTATTCCTTTACTGAAATCTGTCTTCTCTTCATTTCTGCTCCTAGTGATTTGAACATTCATACTGATATATGGTTTTGTGTCCCCGCAAAAGATATGTTGAATTCCTAACCCCCTGTACCTGTGAATATGACCTTATCAGATATAATCAAGTTGAGATGGAGGCCCTCTTACAAGGTGATTGATGTCCTTTATACGAACAACAAAATGCTATGTACAGGCAAAGACGTGCACAGAGAAAAAAGCCACGTAAAGATGGAGGCAGAGACTGGGGTTATGCTTCCACAAACCAAAGAATGCCTAAAGCTACCAGAAAATGGAATGGGCAAGGAAGTATCCTGCCCTAGAGACTTTGGAAGGAGCATGGCCCTGATAACACCTTGATTTCCAATTCTAGCCTCCAGAACTGCAAGAGAATAATTTGTTGTTTTCAGCCATCTAGATTGTGGTAATTTGTTACAGTAGCCCTACTAATGAATGAATATTCCATCTTACAACTCCTCAGTTATTTGGCTTCCTCTTTATCAACGATCTTCCACGCTCCAAGTCAGTCACACCCTCTCATGGTCATACACCTAGGGGTTGTTTCTATGTCCTCTACTCTGAGACCTCTGACTGAGACAGGCCACTGTCTAACCATGTACTCATCTTCCAACTTGCTCGCTCACTCATTAAACTACTCTCCCTACTATTTATATCCTTTATACATTTTCACTCCTATCTTTTGTTCTTTCCTCATTCAACTTAAATTCCAAGACTCCATGGTCCAATCTCCTCAACTCTTTTGCCCCTTTGTTGTTTATCATACTTGCCTGGCAACACTTTGATCCTGGCTGAATTTAACAATCCACTTTCTTCATGCCTGTGCTGGGACTGCTGCAGAGAGTGACACAATCTAGAAAATGCGTAGCACTAAAAATTCATGGTCGTCATCCTCAAGTGGTCTTCAACCCTATGCTCTCACACTATTTGGAAATGCCATTATTCTTCTCTAGGCAGCTCCCTCTCCAAAACTTTCTGCACAAAAACCTACAGATCCACCCTCATCCTTGACGTTTTCCTTCCTATTCAATGAAACATGAGTTCCTCATTTATCTGAAAGTCAGTTCCTTGTCTCTGTTCTTAACACCAGGCCTTTCCACTGTATCGGCAATTTTGCACACTGACCACCTCTTCCCTCTCCTGTATCTCCTCTCTTCTCTTTTCCACATATATCTTCCCCTCAGCATTTAAACATTCTGAAGTCTTTCCTATTTCAAAAATCCTTCCATTCTAAGACCCTATCCTGCCATCATTCTCTTTCAGAGATGCCTCATTGGTTGTCTTTATTTTCTTACTTTCTTCTTATTGCTCAAGTTCTCTAAATTGGCTTCTGTCCTCACCACATGCCATTGAAAGAGCTCCCTCCAAGGTTGTCACTGGCCTCCATGTCACTTTATCTAATGGACATGCCATCTTCTCCAAGTGGTATTCTACCCTATGACTATATTCCTTCTTGATATTCTTCTCTTGATTTCTGTGACTTCTATGACACACATGCCTATTTCTTTTCTGATCTCTCAGGATGTTCCTTCTTATCGTTTATTTCTCCATTCATTTTTAATTATTGACATTTCCCAGGCCCTCCTCTCTTTTTAATAAACATTTTCTGTATTCACTCTCATAGTGTGATTTACCAATTCCTTTACTAAGGAGTTACTTAAGCCAGTAACTCCTGAACATTACTTCCATCCCAACCTCTCTTTTGAACTCTTAAGTCATATATACAGATGCCTACCAAAATTTTCTGTTGGATGTCTTACAGGCTTTTTGAATTCCACATGACTAAAATTTAGTTCATAAATTCCATCTCCTCCCTCTGTCTTCCTTTATCCCTCCTCCAATATATGCCCTATTTCACTCAATGATATGTCAGCCAGTTACAGGCAGCTAAAACCTATAACTCTAGCATCATACTTGACTCCTCCTACCTTGATCCCTTTGCCACTCCATGAATTGTTACCCATACCTGAATTCAATGTAATCCAAGCCTATTCATCTCCTATTCACATGAGGAATCTATACAATGATCACAAGTCTATGTTTTCCTTCAGCAATAAGTCCCTATACATGTTCAGCTCCCATCCTTGCTACTTCAAAATCTGTGCCCTCATCACCTATCTTTTCTTTTGCATATGCCAAAACCATACTCAATTTAATTCCCTCTCTAGTAGTGCCATCTATTAGAGAGGAAATTAAATTGAGTGAAGCTTTGGCATATGCCAAAGAAAGTTCTATCTTTTGCATATGCCTATAGTTCTATCTTTTGGAACCTTCTCTTTCCTTTTCTAGGGCCCTTTTCTTCTCTTCCTAGAAACATGCTTGTGTCTCTTATGAAAACTTTTTCTTTACAACCTTAAAACTTTTTCTTTATAAGACTTCAATTCTACTTCAACCGTCATTTTTTTTTTCTCTTCTTCATTTAAACACTCAACTTCTTTTAAAGAGCAATGAATACTCATTGATGAGGTTCTGGTTCAGGTAATGGTGGAACTACCTATAGCAAAATAATCCTCTTGCCAATAACAATGATACATTCTGGATAAATATTTAAATAAATAACTATTTGAAGGCACCAGGGAGCAATCTAGAACTGAAAGGAATATTACTTTTTAAAGATGAGAAGTCAATCAGGTGCTATAAACATTTAATTAAATTTTCTTCTAAGGGTACTCTCCTGTTCATAGGATCCATGGGGAATAGATGTCAAGAAAAAGGCTTCTAGGAAGTAAGAGACCTGAGTATGGGGCTACCAGAATGTCTGGAAATAGAAGAGGAGAAATGTTAGGAACAAGGAAACCACCATAGATTAATAAAACCCAAGATCAGTATACAAATTCCCCTCAATTTGTTTGCCAACTCATAAGCTATATAAGACAGCATTGCTAGAAAGCAACAGCTAAAATGCTTAGAATAAGCAAAAGTTTCAACAGCTACTTATTTCTGGAATGGCAAAATTTGGTTTTCAAGTCTGGCTATTTAGAGGTGTTTAGAAAATACTGCAGGCTTTTCATTAAAATCCCAAAAGACTACATCTGGAGACCAGGAACAGCACCTTAGAACTAAGGGCAAAATTTAAATGGAGCAAGCTGGCACAAGATGAAGGAGACACACTAGTAATTTAACTGCCAGCTACAACAAAATACAATATTCCTCAGGGGGCAGACAACAGAAACCAGAATAACTATAAAATATCATCTACAATGTTCAGTATAAAATTTAAAAATACTAAATATTAAAGGAAATAGGAAAATGTGACTTATAACCAAGAGCAAAGTCAGTCATTAGAAGCAGACCTACAGACATTCAAGACGTTGAATTGGTAGTCAAGGATTTAAATAATGATTATAAATTTATTAATGAATTTACCAAAAAAATGGGAATAATGGGAGAAGAGAGAGATAATGGAAGGGGAGAAAGAATAATGGAGGAGAAAGAAGAATCTTAGAAAATAAACAGAAACCTTAGAAATAAACAACTGCAAACTTTAGAATTTAAAAATAAAAGCCTGAAATAAATTCATTAGAGGGGGTTAATAGCACATGTACATTAAAAAAGGGAATAAATAAATATAAAATAGGTCAATGGAAAGTATTCAGGCAGATGCATAGATAAAAAAATAGTTGAAGAAAAAATGGATAGAGTCATAGTGACCTGTGGAACAATATAAAACAATCTAACATATAAGTAGTTGGAGTCCCAGGAGAGAGTAAATATGGCACATAAAATATTTTAAGAAATAATGTCCCCCAAATTCTATACTTAATGAAAAACAACAACCAAAAGATCCATAAAGCTCAGCTCATCAAAATCCAGGCAAGATAAATTTAAAGAAAACTACCCTCAAACACATCATTCAGATTGCTAGAAACCTGACTGGGCACAGTGACTCACGCCTGTAGTCCCAGCACTTTCGGAGGCTGAGGTGGGAGGAGCACTTAACGTCAGGAGTTCGAGACCAGCCTGGCCAACATGGTGAAACCCTATCCCTACAAAAATACAAAAATTAGCCAGGCATGGTGGCTTGCGCCTGTAATCCCAGCTACTCAGGAGACTGAGGCAGGAGAATTGCTTGAACCTGGGAGGGGGAGGTTGCAGGGAGCGGAGATGGCGCCATTGCCCTCCAGCCTGGGTGACAAGAGTGAAGCTCCATCTCAAACAACAACAAACAACAACAACAACAACAAAAACCAAATTGCTAGAAGTCAAAGATAAAGAAAAAAATGTTAAAACTTTCCAGAGGAAAAGGTTTGTTACATATAGAAGAATGATGATAAAAATGAGAGCTAACTTTACATCATAAACAATGGAGGCAAAAGGGCAATAAGATGCCATCTTCAAAGTGCTGCAAGAAGAAGAAAAAAAACTAAATAATGATTTTTTATCCAGAGAAAAATCCTTCAAAAACAGGGACAAAATAAAGACATTCTCAGTGAAAAAGAAGCTTGGAGAGTTTGTCCCCAGCAGATCTGAAGTATAAGAAACACTAAGGAATATCCTTCAGGTTGAAGGAAAATGCTACCAGATAGAAATCTGGATCTAGAGGAGAGAAAAAAAGAGCACTGAAAATGGCAAATACATTAATTTTATAAAAGGTTCTTCTTCCCTTTTATTTCTTTAAAAGACTATTGACATTTTGAAACAAAAATAAAAATGTGTTACACATTTTAAATGGGTAGAAATAAAATCTCTGACAATAATAGCACAAAAGATATAAGGGAATTTGTATAAATATGAATGCAAGGAAAACTGTGATAAGTTAACGATTTATATTTTAATTACTAAAAAAAAAAAAAAAAAAAAGTATTCAAGGCCAGGCCTGGTGGCTCACTCCTGTAATCCCAGCACTTTGGGAGACTGAGGCGGGTGGGTCACCTGAGGTCAGGAGTTCCAGACCAGCCTGGCCAACATGGTGAAACCCCATCTCTACTAAATATACAAAAAATTAGCTGGGCCTGGTGGCAGGTGCCTGTAATCCCAGCTACTTGGGAGACTGAGGCAGGAAAACTGCTTGAACCCAGGAGGCAGAGGTTGCAGTGAGCTGAGATTGCATCATTGCACTCCAGCCTGGGTGACAGAGCAAGACTCTGTCTCAAAAAAACCCAAAAAAAAAAGTATTCAAAAATAATACTAAGAGGTAGAGCTAAAAAGCCAACAGAGAAGATAAAATGTCATAACTTTACTTTATTTAAAGGCAAAAAAGGAGAAACAGAAGAACAAAATCCAGAGGAGACAAAAGAATAGCATGAAGGTAGACTAAAACCTGAGTATCTAATTATTACAATAAATGTAAATGAATAAAACATTCCAATTAAACACCAGAGATTGTAAAATGGGGTAGGAAAACAGTACTTACCTATATGTTGTTTATAAGGGATACATTTTAAATATAAAGATATAAATACATACATAAGGTAAAAAACTGATGAAAAAGATGTACCATATAAACAGTAAGCATAAGAAAGCTTATGGCTACACTAGCATGAGTCAAAGCATACTATAAGACCAAGGACAAATAGGACAATTTGATAATGACAAAAGGATCAATTCATCATGAAAAACAAAAATTCTGAATACACATGCACCTAATAACAGAGCTTTAACATACATGAAACAAAAGTGACAGAACTAAAGAGAGACAAATCCTCATAGTTTTTAACACCTTTCTCTCAATAATTGATAAAACAGCAGACACATTTCAGTAAGGACATAGAAGATTTGAACACCCCTTTTGACCATCTTGACATCCATAAAACCTACATCCAACAACTACAGGACACACCATGTTTTCAAGACACCTGAAACATTCACCAACATAGACCATATGCTGGGCCATAAAATAAGTCTCCATACATTGAAAAAGATTGGAGTGATACACAGAATGTTTTCTGAGCACATCAGAATTAAAATAAAAATTAGTAACAATTAAAACTTATATCCCACTGATTCATTGTTTAAAACATCCACTCACTAACACTTTTTATCTAACTCCCTCTGACTCTCCTTAATATTTTACTTTTAAAAGTCACAAATATCCTCCTGATTCTTACATCCAGGCTTTCAAAAATTCAATTAGTTAATTCAGTACACATGGGCAACTTAACTAAGCCAATCAACATTTTCTGAGGACCTAATATGTGTATGACCCTGTGCTGATACTAAATGCTACTGCTTAAATATAGCACTTCTGATGTGTTAGGAACTGCTGTAAAGCATATTACAATTTTGAACCTGTGTCACTGAATCTTCATAATAATCCTATGAGATGGGTACAGTTTGAAGGATGAAGAAACTGAGGCAGAGAGCAGTAAAGTCATTTGCCCACAGTCACACAGCTAAGTGTTGGAGCCAGAATTACCAGTCCAGGCAGTCTGACTCCAGGGTCAAGTTTATTAAGCACTGTGCTATACAGAGCTATACAAAAGTCCTTGATGTCAGTGCTCACAGACTTGTGGAAAGGCAGAAGAAAAGTCAGATAAACTGTCACAAATTAAAGCAGTAGATGTTTTGCACCCCTCCTCCCCAGTCTTACCATGTCTGGGTACCTCTATCCCAATATAGAGGCACATAATAATCTGCCTTAGATCCCTTTAGAAACTTACTTTGAAGAAAATACATGATATTCTCATTTATATTGTAAAATATTAGCTGTACAAAAATTTAACACTGCTTTATGGCTCACTCAAAGCATTTGCATTTTACTAGTTCCTGTTTGATTTAAGCAAAATATATATTTCTAACTTAGGAATGCCAGACAGTCATAGGACAGATGTAGAAAAGTTGTGGGAGGGGTATGGAGATGTGCCCAGGCATTTCTGAAGTCTAATTACATGGAGTAATATGCCTTCTTTACCCTTATGTAAGCTGGATCCACGATACTCTTTATTTCTGAATATTACAGAAATTAGACAGTGATTCAGGTTTGGAATGAACAATCTTCATGAAGTCACTTAACTCAGTTTAAATTCTTACACCTTTCTTCTCTGTAAATGAGGACAATGTTTGCTTTATAGAGTCATAAAGAGTAAATGAAAGCAGTAGGCACCCACGGCATTACTTGGGACATAGCGCATGATGCCTGATAAATGTTAAAAAAAAAAAAAAAAGTCAAAATCTCAGCTTATATGCCTCTTCATATTACATGATAAGGGAGTTTTTTTTTTTTAAAGTTTTATAATAGCCTGGTCTTTCATAAGATCTCAGGTCCATAGAGAATACTATGTACTAACATACATCAGAAGTTCAAAGAAGGCTGTACAACCTTAGGATGAGTCTGTCTCTGCAAATCTTCACAGACTTAATTTTTTAGGAGGAAACAGTAATCTCTTTCTCAGCTAAAGAATCTAAAAATAATAGAAAATAAGTTATTTTTAGCCAAAGATGCAATCTTAATTTATGTCATCTACATAATGATGTTTGTACAACAGCTAATGTTTAATCCTGGGTCTTCAGAGCCTACATAACTCTCAAACAATAGCACACTATTCCATCATTCTGCAAACAGGAGATGAAAACAATAAAATGAAAATTTCCATTGGATTTGAAAACTGTATTTTTCAGTTTGAACAAGCCATGATCAGTAAGAAAGAATTCCTCAAAAAAGAAGTGGGACTTCACTGTTACATACCTACAGCCTCAAGACTTTAGACATGCCACTGGCTTTTTAAAGGGCACTAAGGTAAATTGTTTTACTCCACCTATCTTAGTTTCTTCTTCCTTAAAATCAATGAAACAAACCTTGGTCTGTTGAAACTTATTTTAAACAAAAAATAGTTCTCATATTCTTCCCATTTCTTGATGATGATCTACTATTAAGAAAGGTGGAAGTTGGGATTTGGAAGGGTATTGGGGTTCCGGATATATCTAACAAGGCCATAGTAGTTAAATAATTGTCATCATTGAAGATTACTGTGGGGTAAGTGTTATGACTTTTTAAAACTCCTTTTGCATGAGAATTTGACCTTCAGTTAACTCTCCAGTTTTGTTCCCATGGTTACTTGATACAACCTGTATGTAAGTCATGTTACCAGGGTACATTGCTTGTGGTGAAAATGATCCCTGATTGATAGCCTGCATGTGGACTGGGAAGACTATCAATACGTATTTTAGAAGGGCATATTCTTGGAGTGCAGCGACTCTTGTAGCTGGGGCTGCCTTTGTGGAGTCCTCAAAAGCTATGCCTATGGAATTGTTACAGATATATTGGTTCCTATGGTACGTGAGGCTTTTAAGCCATGGTGACTCTCACACCTGCCTGACGTGGACCCTCTCAAGCTCTTTGTACCTGAGCTGTCATCTGGGGATTGGAAATCCAGAAGCCAGCCCCTGAATTGCTATAGGGGTTTCTGCCGAAATGCAGTACTTGACACATCCCAGCTGGCAAGCCATGGTTTCTGTCCTATGTCCTTCTGAGAAGACTGATGCCAAGTGGTCTATGAGAGTCTTATGAGTATGGATGTAAAGTTGAACCAAACCACCCCCCCCAACCCCCTCAAGTGGACACTGCAGATACAGAATAGATGAGATATAATGTGAAGGACCAGAGGGAAAGTATTAAATTCCTAGTGCCTAGGAACACATTTTCTATTGAGTAAAAAGGAAAGTAAATAAACATTTGCTATCGATAAAATGAAAAAGAAACATTTCCTCTCTCTTTTTTCTGAGTCTCTGGTAATAGCCCCTAGTCTTTTTTTTTTTTTTTTTTTTTTTTTTTTTCTTGAGACAGAATCTCGCTCTGTCGCCCAGGCTGGAGTGCAGTGGCGCCATCTCCGCTCACTGCAACCTCCGCCTCCCGGGTTCATGCCATTCTCCCGCCTCAGCCTCCCGAGTAGCTGGGACTACAGGCGCCCGCCACCACGTCCGGCTAATTTTTTGTATTTTTAGTAGAGATGGGGTTTCACCGTGTTAGCCAGGATGGTCTCCATCTCCTGACCTCGTGATCCGCCCATCTCGGCCTCCTAAAGTACTGGGATTACAGGCGTGAGCCACCGCGCCCAGCCTTTTTTTTTTTTTTTTTTAACAAAACAAGATACCTTTAAATTCCTGAACCTTTGCTTATTTGAAAGGGAGCTGAATAATAGTGCTTCCATCAATTAATGGCAGTTTCAGGAGACCTTCAAGGAAGGGTGGACCATGGCATACAGGAATCAAAGTCCTGGGAGACTTCCCAAGTGCTAAATACTCTTCATGTCTATAGCAAGTGTTAATGATCTTATTATACTCATGCCCTTTATTCTTCTATCCTCTCACTCCTTTGCTTCCATATGATCTCCTTTTCTCCGGGTCACACACCAAGAATAGTTTTTGAACACTTTATCTCTTTTTTTCTCTGAGGTCTTTCTTCTCCATAGAATTCATCTCAATTTTCTCTGAGTCTCAACTAGCTTAAAACACCCTTGACTAGAAATGCCCAAGGTCACCGGTAGGCTCTGTAGCCAGCTGAGAAGAAGGATATTTGATGTCTGTGCCTCATGCCCAGTGCCAAGCTTGGAAACATACCTCCTCACCTCACTGCATGACTTCCATTAGGATACAAGAATCTAAGAATGGTACAGCTCGTTGAGAAATTTGATGGTAGAGAATTAGGGCAACTATTTAGTAATAAGGGAGAAGACAACCAGCCAAAAGAGAGGGTTGCATAGCTGCAAATGACTGCAGGAAAGAATGAAGCTCTTGGAACCCAAGTTCCTCTAGCAGACTGCTCCCAGGAATGGTGACAAGAAATTCTGAATATCTGCTCTATCCTTACCGTGAATTTGACCCTGTTTCTCTGTGAGAACCCTGATGGCGCACTTCCCTCATGCTACATATAAAAGGGGCACACTCATGCAAGGATGGTGGGTATGTCAACTGTAAACAATTTATCTATCATTTTGGGAAAGCAGTTTAATAGTGTTCATGCTTCCGACACCATTAATTCTACTCCTGGATATTTACTCCCGAAAGCCAAAATAAACCAAGAAAACCATAGGCATATTATTTTTTTACCATTCATGAAGACCATATAGCAATATGGAACTGGCTGAAATAGTAAAGAAAAAACCCAAAACAGAGAATGTCTGAATAACCAGTATGAGTACAACTTTGAAAACAGACAGGTACACGTGGGCAAAGGCTAGAATGAAAAACAAATGAAAATAGTTGTGACAAAGTGGTAAAATTATGGATGACATGTATCTCTTTTTAAAATTCTTCAGTCTTATCTTGCTTGAAATTTAGAATGACAAATTAAAATAAGAACAATCACTTAGTTAAGTGGATGTTAGGAAAGACATTTCCTCATCCCCAATTCATCTATGAGTGTATGACTTATCGTTTCTATGCCTGAGGGATACAAAGCATTCTCAGATTACAACACACTGTTGTTTCTAATCTAGCTCGGGTAAAACAACGATAAATACAGAGACATGTTTATAGAATTATATGATAGTTACATGAATTTGTAATTCCAAGACTTTCATTCTAAACTCAAGATTTTGTAAGTTCAGGGGCTGATCCGTGGTCTTTCTGTCTTTTACACAAAATCAGACCTTGTAAGTCAAAAGGGATAACAACTTTATACTTAGTATTATTATCAACTCTAGCTGTTAAGTGTACTGTATTAGTTCAGTATTATGTGCTTTATATATATTATTTCTCTTTATTTTCACAGTCCCCCTGAAAGGTAATTAGTTTTCCTTATTTTAAAGAACAAGAAACTAAGTCCCAGTTTAAATGTCTTGTACAATATGAAATCATAATAACCAGTGGTTTTATCAAGCTTACAATGCACTAGGCGATTTACGAACCCATTTGATCCTGACAGCAATCTTATAGGGTAGTTACTATTAAATTCCCATTAAGCAGATGAGAAAACTCAGCTCAGAAAAGTGAGGTACCTTGTCCAAGGTCCTGGTTTAGCCAGCAAGTGGTAGAGACAGGATTCCAACTTTGACAGTCTGGCTCACAGCCTGTGCCCTAAAGCAGGGTCCCCAACCCCTGGGGCCATGGACCCAGTTCATGGCCTGTTGGGAACCAGGCTGCACAGCAGGAGGTGAGTGAGGATTACTGCCTGAGCTTTGCCTCCTGTCAGATCAGTGGCAGCATTAGATTCTCATAGGAGCATGAACCTTAATGTGAGCTGTGCACGTGAGGGATCTAGGTTGCACGCTCCTTATGAGAATCTAATGCCCGATGATCTGAGGTGGAACAGTTTCATCCTGAAACCATCTCCCACCATCCGTGGAAAAACTCTCTTCCATAAAACTGGATCCTGGTGCCAAAAAGGTTGGGAACTGCTGCCCTAAAGCACTGCCCTATACCCTACTCGATGGATGACTAGAAAAGGATACCACTTGTTTTCTAATTTAGGTCAACACACTTCCCATTGGATTGTCCTGCACCTCATTTGGCAGATGAGAAAATTGCAAACATGAGTGACTGACTTGTCCCACGGTCACATGAGTAGCTCATGGTTGAGAATTAACTTCTTGACTTCTAATCTAATGACCTCCCTATTATCCCAGACTGCCGGGAATGAAAAACAAAACAAAGCAAAACAAAAAAACAAAAAAACCTAGCTAAGAACAAAAGCAAATGAGAAAAGGCCTTAGGAAAATCAAGTCAAAGATCTTTAAAAAGATAAAAATTTTCCTTGTCTCTCTTCTATCCCATATATTTTAATGGGACTCTGGTTCATGTCTATCCTTATGGATCCACAGATCAGTGACCTACAAGGGAGGGAGAAGTACAAGAAGGCTTCTGGAGGACGTGGCCATCACCCTGGACATCTGGTGTTACAGATTTTAGCCAAACTCTCTGTGTATGTCTGTGTTGTGTATGTTTATGTGGAAAATGGCATGCCAATAGGTGGGTCTTTTGGAAAATGTTACCAATTTCTGATTTTTGTTTTCGGTTTTTTTAAAAAAGGTTCTGTGAGAAAAACTGAGCTTAGAGGGTGTGATGGTGGGTTTTATGTCAACTTGGCTAGGCCATAGTGCCGTTATTCAGCCAAACGACACCATAGGTTTTGATGTGAAGGTATTTTGTAGATGTAATTAACATCTGCAGTCAGTTAACTTTAAGAAAAGGCTATTAGCCTTGATAACTTTGGTATGCCTCATCCGATCAGATGAAGGCCTTCAGAACAACTGAGATGTCCTAGAAAAGAAGGAACTCTACCTCAAGATGACAGCATTAACTCCTGCCTGAGTTTCCAGCCTACTGATACTAACTACAGATTTCAGTCTCACTAGCCCCTACGACTGCAAGAACTAATTTCTTAAAAGAAATCTCTATACACTTATATACTTACCTACCTACCCACTCACGCACTCACTCACCCATCCACCCATCTGCCCATCTGCCCACCATCCATCCATGCATCCAGTTGACTTTGTTTCTCTGGAGAACCCTGACGGATATAGAGGTTTTCCCAGGACTGAAAAGCACTGCAAGAATGCTGAGCACATAGATCCACTTGACACACAGATCATGAAAAGCAGAAACAGCCTGAAAATGGAGAAAGAAAAGTTCTGCTGAAAAGACACAGCATTATTGCCACCATGCAGGCGGAGACCAGTGCAAACATTACTCTCTGCCCTCGTGTCACAGTGGGCAGACAGTTACAACAATCTCAGCGCAGTCAGAACTGAAAGGGGTGTGCTCACTGTGAAACACAGGCTCAGGCATCTGTGAGTCTCTGTAGCAATAGAACAACAGCAGGGAGTAAAGAACACACACTCAGATTTCTAGGAATTAACA
Source organism: Homo sapiens (assembly GCF_000001405.40). Classification (NCBI taxonomy): domain Eukaryota; kingdom Metazoa; phylum Chordata; class Mammalia; order Primates; family Hominidae; genus Homo; species Homo sapiens. The sequence goes on along the minus strand of NC_000015.10, from coordinate 33,473,851 downwards.
GCAACAGAAAGGCATTCTGGGAGTATTAAGACCTCCTCGGTCAGCACTGACAGTGAGCTCAAAGCCTCCCCAGAGTCCTGGACAACACTGACAGGCAAAGCACCTCTAATTCTTCATAGTGCTCTGGGTTCCTACATCAACGATTCCTAGGCTTGTGGAAAGTTATGGTTTAAACCAGATCTGCTTCCCATTTAAAAAATAAATGTGTCCTTTCAAATGTCGTCCTCATCACCATCTCCCAGCAGTATCTCCCCTAAATGACTTTGTCAGACGCCAAGGTGGAAGAAGGTGTAGGGCGGACAGCCAATCTCACCTTGGCTTCTGAAGTGGGTTCCAAGAAGCACAGGCGATTCCCAAGTCCCTCGGCTGCCAGGCAGAACTTCCTCTGCTCCTTATGAATGGTGGCGATGCACTGGAGTACCACTTCATCCTCCTGCCAGGAGAAGAGAGACCCAAACATGAGTAAGGGGAACTGCTGAGCCAGGCCCCGAGTCACCTTCCTGTACCTGAGTCAGGTAAGCCACCAATCCCTGACAGCCACGTGCTTTTTGTTTTTATTTTTAAACCTGATTACGGAAGGAGATTTTTTATTCACAGGACATCACGGAGCATCTACCGTGAGTCAGAACTCTACTTAATCCTGGAGTGAGGTCAGTGGGGGCAAGTACACATACAGCCAAGGCCTCACTTCTGAGAGCTGTGCAAAGCATATGGTCTAGGTGAGCTGATGATTTCAACATTTGGGCAAATATGAAAGCAAATTTATACAATCTCTCCAAATATAGAATAAAACAATAAGATAGGATTGAAGGGAACAGAGAATACAGACAAGATCAGAGCAAGGTGGGATGAGTGGAGGGAAAGTGTTGGGGTTTCAGGTTGTGGAAGAGGCAAAGTATGTTTTGTTGGAGGAAGGCAGTGTATGTCGTGGGCCGCATATTTGCCAGAGATGGTAGAGGAAGATATGGAGGGTGAAGGAGATGGGTTTTAGACTCACAGAAAAGGAAGATTAAAGATGCCTTGAAGATCAGGTAAGAGGAGGAGGAACTGAAGGTCAAGTAGAAGAACTGCTCTGAATTCTCAAGGAGTAGACCTCCCTCCTAAATATCAATCCCAAAAGCAGCCCTCCTAAAATTTCAGAGGCCCTGGAAAAGAGGCAGCCCTCCATCTACACCAAAACATTTTCTTGCACAACCCTCCCTGAGGTGGAGAGGAAAACAGTTTCCTTACTAATCCTTCCATTCCTGCCCCTCCTATCTGTCAGGCCATGCTCCCTAGTCACCACCACATAGCTTTGGATTTCAAGCAGCAAACAGATTTCCAGGTGTGGTTAAGTTACGGAAGTGACCTGGGGGAGCCAGCTGGAGCCTCCCTCCTTCTGAGCATCTGGCCATCCATTGCCCCATCTCACCTCCATGTCCTTCAGTGTCAGAGATTGTCTTGTTGGAAAGTGTCACCAGAGTGTTGGAAAGGCAGATTAAGTAGAAATCATTTTTCTTAAACTGTGTCTAGAATGTGCCTACGAAGTGAAGAAAATAAAATGGTCCCACCTGGTGAGAGTGCGAAGCAATTCACGATTAACAGACCCCTACAAAGATACCTGCTTGTGCCCAGAGATAGGTGAGGGGCTGCAGGGGAATGCGAGAAGCCACAAGTTGTAGATGTATGAAACGAAGAGTGGAAAAACATAGCTCCACAGTTTTACTAGCACTGAAATGTCACTGTTCATTATCTAAGTGAGTCAGAAACAAATTCAGGAGTCTTTGCTTATAGTAAAATCAGAATTCATGGTCTTCATTTTAATTGAGACTGAAGAAAACTCCAGAATATCACTGCTTTAAAAGTGGGGGTTTAGTGAAATCTCTGAAGAGAGTGAAATTTTTCCTCAGGTGGAGTGTGCCCCTAGATCCTGTATCAACCAGGGGCGTTAGGATCCTCCTAATGGCATTGGTGGTCAGGGGCAGGTAATGAGGGGCTCTTAGTTGCCAAGATGACTGAGATGTGCTGTTTGTGTTGGAAAGCAGGGGCCATGGAAGTTAAGTCATCAGCAATGCAAGAGGTAGTACTCAAAACTTACCTTTCACACCCAAATCAAGAATACCCCCTATTGAGAAATAGTTATGTGTCTCCCCCACCACAGTTAACCAGTAAAAAGAAACAAAACTTAAAACCCCCCAAAAAACTAAAGCAACAACAACAAAACTCAGGCATTTAGAAATCAAAGAAGTGTAATTATGGATTTTTTTTTTTTTTTTTTACAAAGGCATGAAAGTTGACAGTTTTCCCATCAATGTGTGCCTCTGAGGTTCTCTTTTCAAGATCTCAATTCTCTTTCCCTTTCTATCCCCCAGGCGCCCAAACCACCAAGGCTTTGACCTTGCAGTAGCTGCCTTGGGGTCTCCCTAATTGTCTTCTGAAATTTCCCCATCCTATAAGTCACATCCCAAGCTGCCAAGAAACTGATACAATAACCTGCCCTGATTTAATTAATAGCAATTTGCAGAACAGCAGCCCTGCACACATGTGTTCCTAGGTTGGGGCTCTGGTGACACACAGATGGGTATGGGACTCTGGGCCAAATTGATGCTTCTCCAAACGATTTCTACTCTTTCCCACATTCTATCTGGAACCTTCTGCTCAACCATGCTGACCTGGCTGCAGACACCACCTGGAGTGGCAGCCTGCACCTGCCTTTGCTTCATATAGCAGCAATTATTTCCATAAACCTTCAATAGACAGACATCTGGAGCTTTTGAGTGCCTGACACTGAAATCTTTGCACTGAATTCTGTTTGGGATTATGAGATGAGTTAATTCAACCCATCTGATTACTCCTCTTGCTCCTGAGTAAAATACAGAACACAAGCTCTCCAATTAGAACACAAGCCTTTCTCTTCATCCCTGTACTGGTTTGCACTTTCTCCCCTAGAATTATCCTCCCTCCTTTTTTCTCATTTTGCTTTAAATCAGATCTGGGCATTGCTGAAGGATGTCATTTCCAAGGAAGCACCCTTACTCGAAGGCTGCAAATTCTTCCACATTTTGTATCTCCTTTTCCCAGAAGTCTGCCTACTTCTCACATGTCCTGATGCCAAATTTGGACCTTACTGTTCTACCCACGTGCAAAAACTCTTCAGTTGGACCTAATGATTTCCACCCTGTTTTGGTAGCACACTATCATGAACCTTCCATGTCATAACCTAGAATGATCCCACTTCTAAAATCCAGAACTGGACTATCCACCTTTACAGACCCATTTTCTCTCTTGCTTTCGCATTCCTTACTTTTACTAGATTTGCTCTATTTTATAAAGACTTCCAGTTCCTAGAAAGTGCTCTCATCTCCATTATTTCCTCTTTCTCAAGGAGGACTGTTGATTTTTTTTTTTTGATAGAGAAAATAACACAACTCTGGGGTTTTATGCCACTATAAATGTATGATTTCCTGGTAACTTATTTTCAGCTTGTTTCAACTCTATCTCACTGGAACAAGACCACAAAATTTTCCTTTTGTAGGCCTCACAGCAGATGCAACTCTGTCAATATAAAATAACCATACCTCCCATCTTTAAAAGAAAGAGAAACAAAATAAAGAGAAGAAAGTACTAAGTTAGAAGGTGCAATAATAAGCAATGGTGGTGGGGGCTGGGGGGACACTAAGACCTTTCAAACCCAGCCTCTGTCTTTTAGGATAAGAATATGATTCTCTTTAGTCATCGGGAAATACTATCATTAAGATCACATAAAGGTTTCCTGCTTTATACCAAGTAAGCCAAAATGTCTCTGCCTGGATTTCAGGTGCCCCACAGTTGAGTTCTACCTGACACCTCTAGCTTTGTCTCTCCTTCATTCCTATTGCCTTACTGTCTCCCAAATAAGTCATGCCCAGGATCCCTAAAATGCTCCTTCTTGAAACCCCTCCATTCCCGTATTCATCTCTGTATTCTTCTAGTGCTCCCGCCTTTCTGTTGGATCCTTCCCATCTCTATTTTCTTCTGCCATCCCTAAATATAAGGGACTGCTCAACGATTGGTCTTTGTCATTTTCCCTTGGCAATCTCATTCATTCTTCAGGCTTCCTGCTTTACTTCTGAGGAGCTGTTACTCAGTCTGTACCTCCAACCTGGTGGTACTCAAGGGTTCCAAACCTCCATCTATTTTTACCTGCGGACTTACAAACACTTCAAATCAACATGTCCCAGTGCACTGAAAGGCTTCTTTTTCAGTCTACCTATCCTTTTATATTCCCCAAGTTTGTCAAGAGCACATCCAACCTCTGGGCAACCTCAGCTTACACATCATTATCTCGTATCTCTGAGTCCTCCCCTTTTCCTGTATCACAGCAAATGGGCCAGCAGAAGGAGAGACTGGAGGTCTTGAGACCAAGACAAGGCTATTATTTGACCCAAAGCATTCTTCCCTAGTCTGCTACCAGAGGCATAGCTCTGGCCTTATTTTCTTGCTGAAAATCCTCAATGGCACTCTCAAAAAACATAAACTTCCTGAACTAGTATCTGAGGTTTCCACATTTCCAAACTATCATCCTAACTTCTTCCCTGTAGCGTTGGGTTTCCCTATTTCCATGCCTTTGATCATGAAATCTCTGAAAAGCTGCCCTAACTTGCCCTAGTTTTCCATGTCCATATATTACCTATTCTTCTAAGCTTAGTTTAAATGCCACATTCCTTTATGAAGCCCAAGTAATCTCTCTGATCTCTGAATTTCCATAGCAATATCACCATACTTTTTGCAGTGTTACTTACATGCATGCCTTCTCCCCCACTATATGTTTTTAAATGGCCAACATTTACTGATCCCTATGTGACAGGCACCATGCTTTACGCACAAGAACCCATTTAAGCTTCGCATCAACACTATGTAAGCACTATTGTTGTCTCCATTTTGCAAATGAAAGCCTGTATAGAGCAGTTACGTAACTTGCCTCAGGTCTCATGGTGGCAGGGGGCAGAGCCTGGTATCTAATCCAGGCAGCCTATATTGATGCACTTGCTACCACTACTTCCAGCTGACTTTGTACCCCTCAAAGGCAGGATCACATCTGATTCACATTTCTGCCTATCATGATACTCACCACTGTGGTATCTGATGTCTATTATGCACCCAATTATAATTTACAGAATGGGTATGTTTTTACACTGCAACCCTATTTAATTATAAACTCTATTAGAGCAGAAAACTTCTGCTTTCCCATCCAAGCTGGAAACATAATGTGTTTTGTAAAAATGTGTTAATTAACTGGGATATGGACTTGGATTACAAGAAATTTCCCTACTTTCACCCACATAACAGGGTCATTTTCATTGATGAGTCAGAACTGAATAATTGAATAAAAAGGGAACAGATGCTGGCATTTAAAATAAAACAATGAGGCTTTGGAGTCCATAGCTTCTATTTCTTAATTATTATTATTGATAATGATATCAACTATTCATTCTGGACTTCTGTGCCAAACACTATGCTGACATTTCCTCCTAGATTAAATTAGCCTTCACAACAACACAACCACTTTAAGAATGAGAAAACCAAAACTCAGAGGGGTTAGGTACATTTAATAACAGTGAATATTTAATGGCCAGTCACCATGTGCTACCATGTTATAGCATCTCAGTTTAATCCTTTCAATCATCCTGTCAGGTAGGTGCTAATATGCTCTATATTTGATAAAGTGGTTGAGGCACAGAAAGGTTAAGTCACTTGCCCAGTGCCACACAGCTTGTAAGTGACAGAGCCAGACCTTAAGCCCAGGACTGTCTGAATCAGGAGTCAGTTCTCTACCATGGCACCAAACGGGCTCTCTTACTCTAAGAGACTGACCTTAGCAATAGGTATGAATTCATGTCTGTCTGATTCTAAAGCCCATGGTGATGGTGTTGACAAAAATAGATGCTCCCAGCCCTGTCACATGATCAAACCACATTGAAACATAACCACATCACAGAGCACAAGGCCAAAGAGAGCAGCCAGAGTGCTAAAATAAATAAATAAATACAACAAGATTTCTCTATTCCCCATGATTGCAACACTGGAAGGGGTAAACATCAGCCCAAAACTTGCTGCAAAGGGAGAAAAATGAAAATCCAAGGTATATCATATGTCAGCCTCCCTCCAAGCTATGTGGTTCACACACGCCAGCTATTCCTGTCATAGATTCAGCTTGTGGTGGTGTTGAGTGATTGTCCCTGAACAAGGATATACAGCCTTTGGCTCTCTTTGCTTAGATTTCACATTGTCACAGGTCATCTCTGACAAAGTCAACTTCTTTCTACCGTCCTCTGGCCAAAGAACTTTGAACTTGAAAATGAATGGATCTTGCCTATTTTATCCTTACAGCTTTCTTTCTTATACCTTGGCTCGCAGCCTGAGGGCCAGAACAATAGAGAGCCATCTCTGCTGGCTCTGAGCTGATGGCTGGGGAACCTTGGCTCTCCCGCTTCTCTACGGGTCACCTGTGAGGAACTCTCTGGAACAAAACAAAATGGCTGACAGCCCTATTTAAGGTAGATCACCAGGCAGCTGATGACAGCCCTATAGTTAGATCTGCAAATCACTGGTACTGAGCAGCTCATGACCAGGAGCACGTGGGACAGAGTGCCATCCAGCAGATTTCATGTTTAAGTGCAGACATTATTACTGCAGAGGAAAATCCATAATGATGTATTGCTTTAAAAGGGAAGATGTTTCCTACCTACTCATCTTAAACATCAGGCACTTAGGGAACTGATAAAGTTAAGCTACTTTCTAAATATATGAAGATATGGGTGTGCACTTATTCTAAGACTTTACCCAAAAGCCTTTCTTAAATGAAAAATAAGTGGGCTTTTTGGAATGACGAGACTACACACAGATTATTTCACAAGAATGAATGACAAGGTCGTTTACTTGTGTGTTCTAAATAGCAATCATTTGGATTATTTGCTTCCTTCAATTCTAAGATCTTTAGGGGTAGGAGCCTCTCCTTTGTCTATGAATCTTCAGTGCCTAAAATACTACCTGGAACTGAATGGAAAAAGCACAAATATTTGTGAATTCAGTGAAAGAATCGTATGTTCTGAAAACGACTACTTATATTAACAAATATGCTTATGTATAAAAATTCCAAAATAAAGATCCTTCTTAAAGGAATCTATGATACCCTGTTTGCTTCTACAATAGACCCATGAGACATAGAAATATTATTAATCTCATTTTGCACACATTATGAAAGTAAAGGTTAACAGATTGAAGGAGAATAACTCGTCCAGTGTCCACCTCTCAGACATTGTATCTCCAGCAACAATGTTTGAAGTTTTGTTGTTACAACTTACTATTTTGGTTTTTGGTTTTATTATCCCTTTAGTACTTCTTATTGTCTTAGAATGTGTCAAAAGTTAGTGAAAGCTACCCATCTCCAGTTTCTTACTACTTGTTGTTAAAAAATGAAATAAAATGGAAATTTCAGGATACCAAGAAGCAAATTGACAGACTTATTTATCTTTCCTTTTTAAAATACTTTCTTCATTTGGCTTGTAGGATACTATTTTGTTTTTTCTGTTCACTAGCACCTCATACTCAGTCTCCTTGGTTGCTTCTCCTCATTTTCTTCCCTCTACTGCTACAGTGGTGCTCCAGGACCAGTCCTCAGAGTTCTCTTCTTTACCTGTACTCTCCCCTTCTTGATTCCATTTGGTTACATGGCTTTAAAAAACAGGTGTATTTTAAGGACTCCCAAGTTTGTGCCACCACATTAAACCTCTTCTCTGAACTCGACTTGTGTTTCCAAATGCTACTCAACATCTCAACTTGGATGTCCAATAGGCATGTCAAGCTTACTATATCCAAAATCAGATTTCTGAGTATCTCCCCACATATGTTCTTTTTGTAGTTTTCTTTATTTCAGAACATTGGCAACTCTATTCTCTGGGGTTGCTTGAGTGAACGGAGGGAAGAGACGGAGAGATGAAGAAAGGAAGGGAGGAAGAGAGAAACATCTTGAGGTCATGTGATTCCTTTCCTTCTCTTACCTCACATCCACACCATCAGCAAATTCTTCTCATTCTACTTTCTAAATATATGTGATTGTACCATCTTGCATCCTCTTCACCACCACCACCTAGCTCAGCCATCATCTCTTGTCACAACTATTGTAATCACCTCCAAACTTGTTTCTCACTGCTGTCCTCCACACAGTAGCCAGAGTCTTTTAAAAACCTGAGATCGCATCATTTCACGACTTGAAAGCCTCCAATCACTTTCCATCTTACTTAAGGAAAAGGCAGAATTCTTATCTTACTATGGCCTACAAGGTCCTAAAAAACGCCCATCTTGAAACGCAAAGCAAAACCTGTTAGACTGGCTATTACCAAAAAGGCAAAAGCTATGAAGTATTGGTGAGCATATGGAAAAAAGGGAACCTTTGCATGCTAGATGTACACTGAAAACCATTCCCTGGGTGGGACTGGAAATTGGTACAGAAGTTACGGAAAACAGCAAGGTGGGTTTTCAAAAAATTAAATATATAAATGCCATATGATGAAGCAATCCTGCTTCTGAATATAGATATAGATATCTATCGATAGATATAGATATACAGATATGTGTATATATATATCTCCAAAGAAAATGTGATAAGTATCTCAAACAGATATCTAACTCCCATGTTTACTGCAGCACATTCGCAATAGCCAAGATACAAAAACAACCTAAATGTTCATTGACAGATGAACGGATGAACCAAATGTGGCACACACACACAGTGAAATATTATTCAGCCTTAAAAAGAAGGGCATCATGTCACTTGCAATAACACAGATGTTATTGGATCCTGGACGGCATTATGCTAGCTGAAATCAGCTACGTGCAGAAAGGCAAGTACTGCATGATCTCACTTTTTATGGGATCTTAAATAGTCAAATTCATAGATGCAGAGTAGAATGGTGGTTGTCAGAGACAGGGGGGATGGGGACAGTGGGAAGATGCTGGTCAAAGGGTAAAAAGTTTCAGTTATACAAGGTAAGTAAGTTCTGGAGCTCTAATGTACAGCACGGTGACTCTAGTTGACAATACTCTATCTTATAATTGAGATTTGCTAAAAGGATGGAGCTTCAGTGTTATCACACACACACAAAGGTAAGTATGTGAGGTGATGGAAATATTCATTAGCTTGATTGTGGTGATCACTGCACAACGTATATCAAAACATCAAGTTGATACCTTAAATAAAAATATATCAATTAAATATATTGTTTATATTATATAGGAAATGCATTATATACATTATATATTAAATACATATTATCTATATTTGTATATATTTACATACATATAAATGTACATATATGTGTATGTGTATGTATATATATATGTGTATATATATATATATATATATATATATCTCCACCTCCCTACAGTCTCTCTTCTGTAACTCTTTTGCTTGCTTGGTTTTATCTATACTGGTCCTATCCTTAGAGCTCAAGTTTTTGAAGCATTATCCTCCCTCAAAACCTTGTACTTGCTGTTCCCTTCATGCAGGATGTGCTTCCCCCACATACCTGGAGGGCTCCCTCCCTCACTTCCTTTAGGTGTCTGCTCAAATGTTGCCTTGTCAGAAAGGCCTTCCTTGATCACACCATATAAAATTATAGCTCCATTTTCATGTTGCATTTCCAATCTTGCTTAATATTCTTTTCCAACTAGTATTTACCTCCTAACAATACAGGTTTATTTCTAATCTCTCTCCTCCTCATTAATAACCTTCATGCATATGATTCTGTTCACCATTGTATATTCAATGCCTGAAACAGTGCCTGGCATATGGTAGGCACTTACGGAGTCACTGAATGAAAGATTAGTCATTTTAGTTCTTACTAAGTAGTAAACCCCCAAAAAACCTGGGAATTCATTACATTCTTTTATGATTTTTGCTGAAAGTGTCCAGTCTTTGGTCTCATCTGGAATTGTTTGCTTATGGGGACTGACAAAAGAGGCACCCACAGCTTACAGGACCCTTTGGGCTCCAGCAACAGGGAGGACTGTTGTAATTCCTCTTTACAACTTTTCCCATTACCAAGAAGGCAGAGGTTGGAGCTTGAGCTTGACCATAAAAGCTACTCAGCCTCCCATGGCTTGATCTCTTATAAAACTTGCAAGGGAGAGCAAAGGAGAAAGCCTTTCCCTGAGTTGATTAGGGAGATGTAGCGGCATGCAGGCATTAGGGTTTACATATGCAATTAATTCTCTCTCAGGCAGAACATGCTGTTATGTAACATGGAAGAATGCAGTGACCTATTACCTATGACATTTTTCTCCAGAAATAATAATCAATTTGTTTAAGTTTTCTATTCTCATAGGTTGGAAAAATAATGATCTAGTTGCTACCCAGAGAATTTCAGGCCCCACAGAAGGATTTTCTATAAAATGGTAACACTGATATTCTGGATACATCTCTCCCACCCAATCAGAACACAGCAGGTGAGTGACCACACCCAAAAGCTTGCACACACTCCTTTGGTTTCATTATTCTTTGGATACAACAGCCATGGAGAAGAATGAATGGAAGAAATCTCAAATACTACAGCAAATCATAATTTTTACTCTCTAACCTCAGAGGTAGCAAGGGTCAGTAATAAAGTTATGGCAGGAAAGTTTTGGTCTCTGGTTCTAACATTGCTCTGAAAAAAAATTTTTTTTTTTTTGAGATAGGGTCTCACTCTGTCACCCAGGCTGGAGTGCAGTGGTGCGATGACAGTTCACTGAAGCCTCGACCTCCTGGGCTCAAGCAATCCTCCCACCGCCTGCTGAGTAGCTGGGACTACAGGCAAGGTGCGCCTGGCTAATTTTTGTGTTTTTTTGTAGAGACGGGGTTTTGCCATGTTGCCCAGGCTGGTCTCAAACTTCTGGGCTCAAGCAATCAGCCTCCCAAAGTGCTAGGATTACAGGTGTGTGAGCCACCACACCTGACCTGAACCTTATTTGAAGAAGGACATATGACCAGGACACTTTAACTTTTCATATTTCCATCATAAATGTTAATGAGTCTGTGGCTGTGTCTCCATCATATGATGCACTCTAAGCACTGTGGCTCCAACGAGACAGAAGAGCATCTAAGTCTGAGGCCACCATGGCACTAGCAGGGAGATCCTGACAAATTGTGCAATGGTATCTGTGTTTGTATGTTATCAGATCTATGGTATCTGCATTTGTATGTCATTAGATATATTATTTATTTTTAAGTCAATTTATCTTCCTATTTATCATTGGTTCTGGAATCCTTGGCTACTGTGTTAAGACATAATGTCTTCCCTGGGCCATACAACTGACCAACGACAACCCATCTACTTTTAGCAAGATCTTCTAACAATACTTATCCTGAGGGGAAAAGGCCACAGCACATCCACTTTTGTTTTTGGGAAATAACTAATTTATTGAGATTCTTTCTACTTGTAGCGCCTCATACAGGGTGCTTTCTGGGATTTTCCCCTTTAATGTTTGTAGAAAAAGTAAACAAAACTAAAATACTCGGCATGTAGGATACTCTTTGAATATCCTTTATGTGCACACTCACTGCAATTTACTGACATGTTGTCAGTAAATTTGTCAGAACAAACCATCCAGCAATTTCCATACAAAATCTAATAACCAGGGAACACTACCTTTTTCAAAAAAAGATGCTCTATAAAGTTAGTAGATGTTAATGAAATTTATGGGCTGACTTTTAGAAGGTTAAATCTTTGAAAACAGGTCACTTACAGGCAAAATAAGTGTTTCCAAAATTTAATGGAACATATAAGGCCTCTGAACTGTCCTGTCCAGGACTAGTTTCTTAAACAAACAAACCAAAAAACATAAAACTACGGTTTTTTTTCCAGCTCCATTCAGAACTAAATCATGCATTCATTCAGGAAATATTTGTTTTATGGTATTGGATATGGTGGTGAACAAGGCAGGCATGGCATCCACCTTCATGGAGGTCACATTCCAGGTGGATAAAGAGCCCAGCTTATACATTAAGCTCAGACAGGCTTGGGGTTGCACTGGTTTGCAGAAATGGTGACATAATTCAGGACCAGAAGAATCTGAGTAAGACAGCAGGAAGAACACACGGATGTTTGGGCTATTTCTTTCTCTTCTCTGACAACTTTTCTGCCCTAGGCTGAGCTGCTGTAAGTAAATGTTTCCATTGGAAAACTTATCCCTTTATGTTGCAACTCTTATATTTCTTATTTAATTCCCCTCTCACCAGAACGTTTAGGCTTAGAAGGCGAGGATCATATCCTGGCCATCTCCATCTGTTTATCTTGTATCCCTAATACCGATCATATGGAAAACATGTTGAAAGTACTCATTGAATTAAAATAATGGTTAGGAGAAATAACAGATTAGAATTGTGGGTCAAATAGAAGAAAAAGCTGTGAACCCAAAGTATCTACTAAAAGAATCAAAACCAGACACTATCCAGGGTTATAAGACATTGCCTCGTGAAGAGACAAAGTACCCGTGAAACTGGAGTGAAGCCTATTTCTGCTGACAGAATTCTCCTCAACTCATTCTCCTGTGGTGGGACTCAGTGTTTAGTTCCCAGGGTCTAGTCTGTGGTTAAAAGTTGGATATTAGTAGGCCGGGCGCGGTGGCTCACGCCTGTAATCCCAGCACTTTGGGAGGCCGAGGCGGGCGGGTCACGAGGTCAGGAGATCAAGACCATCCTGGCTAACACGGTGAAACCCCGTCTCTACTAAAAATACAAAAAATTAGCTGGGCGTGGTGGCGGGTGCCTGTAGTTACAGCTACTCGGGAGGCTGAGGCAGGAGAATGGCGTGAACCCGGGAGGCGGAGCTTGCAGTGAGCCAAGATCACGCCACTGCACTCCAGCCTGGGCGACACAGCGAGACTCCGTCTTAAAAAAAAAAAAAAAAAAAAAAGGTGGATATTATGTGCCACAAATTCCCACACTTGAAGGCTGTGATACAGTGGGGCTGTTCCTATCAAAAATCACGGAATAAACAGCACTTAGGGAAGTGGTGGGCCAAGCAGGAAACAAACTTACCAAGACTCCTGCAGGCACTGGTTTGAGTACTTCATAGTTCATAAACTCCTAAAAATTCTGTTCCAGATAGCTGTCATTATGCCCATTTTACAGGTAAAGGCACTTAAGCCTGGCCTCAGACGTATTAAGTCACTGCTCAGAGCAAGACGGCGATTTCTTTTGTTAATTATTCCTTAATGTATCATGCATTTATTCAGTGCCCATTACACACCATGCAGTGCTAGGCCCTCAGAATACAAGAAAGCTTCAAATTTAGTAAGTAGTGCTGTAAATCCAGTTCTGTATGACTCGCTAAGTCCTCAGAATACAAGAAAGCTTCAAATTTAGTAAGTAGTGGTGTAAATCCAGTTCTGTGTGACTCCAAACTTCAAGTTCTTCCCAATTTACACAAGGCTCTTTTGTGAAGGAAGCATTTCAGTCAGTTGCATACCAAATGTAAGAGTTGCAATATGTCCATCACTCACCACTCCCACTTAGTGATACTAGTTTTTCAACTTCTTACTCATAGTGTAGCAGCGGGCATTGCAGCCCGAAGGCTTTAGTTAAAGGAGCAGCTTCCCTTTCTTAAATAAAATATGAACAGCCAATTGTTTCTCCAACTTAAGTCTAATGAAAACACAGCTTCAAGCCCAGGGGCCATTCTCTCTGTCCCCTACCATGTCCAATCACTCTGCTGACCTTCTGACCATATGCCCTGCCATTAAAATTTCTGGAGCATATTCTAACAACAGGCTCAGAAAATGCACCTGTACTGCAGTAAAAGTTCTTAGAGTGCTTAGCCAAACCAAAATCTAGTTTAAAAACCAATAAAATTAGAAGCATATGAGATACAGTTAATTTATTTAAGCATGACTGCTTGATTCCTTTTGTAACCGAGACTAGAATTTGTTCCATATCCTCATCATATTGCTTTTTTCCTTTTAAATATAATCATGTCTGGCTTTGAATCCTCACTTGCAATAATTTCAATCTCAGTCATGTTTGGAGAAGCTTTCCCCTCCCTAGAACTGTTTAATAATCCCAGGAGAGTTATATAGTATACAAATTTAGAGCAAGGCAGCTGGTCTTCACTTAAAGATTGCTGTCAAGATACCCATTGTCCAAGCCTGCATGGTCCATGTGCTGGCAGGTGTCTACCACTTCATCACCATTTTCAGCCGCAGACTGTGATACCCAAAGTCTTGGTGGCTTCAGGGTCAGTGCCCAGGTCTCCAGCATCTTGGCCCTCATAGACCCTATGTCTTCTGGAGAGAATAATGGTCAGAGTTGCAGGTTTCTGCCACCTATTAAGCCCTGCTGTGCTCTTACACCAGTCTTAAACCAGAAAGCACAGCTTTCCCGGGTTTGACTATTTGGTCTCCACTTGTCCAAGCCTCAGGGACATCTTACTAATACCACCTGAATTTTTATCTCCAAGAGACTTTGAGAATTAAGTCTCAGCTCTACCCCAGGGCAAAAGGGAACCCCAGGTCTCCAGGATACAAATCCTTGCTTGTCCGGGTGAGGAAGGGATATAACTCATTTTTATTCTGCATTTTTTAACCAGAATTTTTCTCCTTTTGATGAGCCTACAGGAAAAGAACAAACTTAGCTCTGCTATGAAGCCGTGGGGCTCAACCATATGTGAGCATCATACTTATCTGGAGCACCTGTAAAAATATATTGATGCCTGGGCCCTAGCCCAATCCAAATGAGTGAGAATCTCTGGGGAAGGGTGGATGCTGGGCCGGGTATTGAAGCACTTCCCAGGTCACAGACACCAGTGAGGATGGAGGACTCCTCCATTGACTCAGGTCAGAAGTGACAGCTGGGGAAGTTAGAGAAGGTTGGTAGATATATACTAATACAGGCATGACATCACAGGGGAAAATAAATGAGTTCTGGATATGACAAAAAGAAGACAGTGGTGGGAAAGATCAGGTATTGGGTCTTCATTTCCTTTCAATCAAGAATCCAAAGGCTAGGCCATTGTTGACCCCAGAAAACACCAGTCACCAAAGGCTATTGTTTGCAGGTCCCTCATTTGGTACATTACTCTAAAATAGAGCCTGGTTTCTTTTTTCTCAAGGCCTTTATAATACTGCCTCATAGGACTTCTCCCCTGGCTACAGGGACTAGATAGGAAGATGATAGGTCAGCTTTAAGTGAATCATCAAGAGAAACTAAACACCTTACAGACTTCTCCAGAACTAGGGAATCATGAACTTACAATGAACTGAGAAGTTTAAAACAAGAAAAGCAGCTGTATTAGTCATGGTTCTCCAGAGAAACAGAACCAATAGGAGATATACACACACAAATATACACACAGATTATGAGAACTGGCTCATGTGTCTATGGAAGCTGAGAAGTCCCACGACGTGGCCTCTGCAGGCTGAGAACCAGGAAAGCTGGTGACATAAGTAGTCCTGGAGTTCAAAGTTCCAAGAACCAGGAGCAACAAGGTCCAAGGGCAGACAAAAATAGACGTCCCAGCTCAAAGACACAGAGAGTGGGAGAATTTGCCCTTCTTCCACTTTTTTGTTCTATCTAGGCCTTCAGATGGGATGATGCCCCCTCACATTGGGGAGGGTGAGTACAAAGTGTAATTGATCTCCTCCTATCCCACTGTCTACCCTACCCAGCCCCTGGCAACCACTCTTCTTACTTTACTCAGCTTACTAAGTGCTCATCTCTTCCAGAAACACACTCACAGACACACCCAGAAATAATGTTTTACCAGCTATCTGGGCATCCCTTACCCCAGTCAAGTTGACACCATAAAATTAACCATCACACTAGCCAAGCAACCAGGAAGAACTTATTGAATGTTCTCAATGTACCTGGCACTACTGATGATAGGAAACGTGCTGATCCTTATTTTCCTTTCCCCAATCCACTCCCAAACCGCTCCATGACAAGGTGTGAATGAATTTCTGATAGCTTCAAAGGACAGCAAGTAAAACTATTTTAACTTTTAAAATGAACACATAATTGCAAGTTTGTGGGGTAGAGTGTGATGTTTCAATACATATGTTGTATGATGATGAAATCAGGGTATTTAGCGTATCCACCACCTCACACATGTATCACTTCTTGGCAATGAAAACATTCAAAATCCTTTCTTCTAGCTATTTTAAAGTATACGATATTGTGAATCGTAGTCACCCTACTGTGCCATAGAACAGGAGAACTTATTCCTCCTAACTATAACTTTTTACCCATTGATCAATCTCTTATCCTCTTTCCCCTTCTTCTTACCAGTCTTTGGTAACCACTATTCCATACTCTACTTCTGTGAGATCAATTTCTTTAGATTTCACATATGTGTGATACTGGTCTTTCTGTGCCTGGCTTATTTCACTTAACATAATGTCCTTCAGGCTCATCTATCCTGCTGCAAATGACAGGACTTTATTCTTTATGGCTGAATAGTATTCCATTGCGTATATACATTACATTATCTTCATCTATTCATCCACTGACAGACACAAGTTGATTCTATATCTTGGCTATTGTAGATAGTGTTGCATAAGAGTACAGATATCTCTTTGACATACCGATTTCAAGAAGAATCAAGGTCTCTCTCCCCACAATAACACATTTCCTTCTCAGCGGCAGGAGTCAGAATGGCTAAATAATGTTTCAAAGCTAATATGTATGTATCTTAATTTTCTTTTGGCACATTTTTTTCCATTTGAAATAGGGAAATAAATTTTAATCTTCTTCCCCAAATTTGGGGAAAACATAGTTACACAATAGTATTATACAATGTCAAATAATACATTTACATGTATTCCAAACATTTAAAAAACCATAGTTCATCTACAGGTAGCTACCTATTTGTCGAACACAAACAAAATTCTAGTCATTATGCAGTATTTATCATCCCAGGAATTGAGAGACTTTATAACTTTGGATTCTAATTCTCTAAGTCAGCTTAGAATTAAACACCAATATTCACATCTTTTATATAAAGCAAATTAATGATATAGAATGGCCCCTATTTTATCACACAACTGCAACTATTGTTGCTCTGATGATTTCTGATTCAGCATTGAGCCACTGAAACAACACAGCAAGAGATTTCACCAGGAATAGGTGAAAGTAACACTCATCTCTAGCAAAACCCTGAGAAGGTGCTCATGGCCCCATTTCTCATGCTTTGTCATTATCAAGTTCTTTTGTGCAAATGTAACCTCCAAACCAAGATAAGGGATGGAAAAATGGTCTATGTGGAAGTGGAATCAGTGTTTAGGAGTGAAGCACCTCGGGAGCCACTGATTCCAAACCTCTCAGGAATTCAAGACAGAAGTTCAAACTGCTCTCTTTGCAAGGGAAGACATTCACATGCAAAGCACCAAAAGATAACCTGGGCAACCAATCACACAGCAGGGCTTATAAAAAAAAGACGTAATGCTATTTTGCACACTTCTTTTTCTGATTAAAAAACTTCCTGTGTCACGTGCTTGCCCACTCGCTGCCTACAAACAGTCAGTGTCCATTAACTAGTTAATCCTCTTGGCATTCTGCGCGATCAATTCTTTGGGCTCTGTTGAAGTTATTCAGCCTGGAGCATTCCAAGCAGAAAAGAAATTTATTATTCATCTGCAACTATGGGAAGGATTGATATATGGAAGATGGTAACCATCCATTATCCAGCGAAGTGAGAATGAGACAGACTAGCCCTAAAAACATAGCAGAGGAGATCGAAATGAGATATGAGAAAGAACTTACTGAAAGTGAGGGTTAAACACTACTATAAATTTTCAAGATTAGATTACAGTTATTCACACACAGAATACAGAACTATCTTCTCTGGGATATTTAAAGTGTCTTGTGATTAGTATTCTGTAAGAATACAATCTAAGGAAACAGTCATTAACAAAAGGTTATATTTGGTCAATTTATCCAATTTTAGAGTCTTGATGCTTGTGTACTGATGGACTTGAGCTTCGTGGCTGCATATACACTTAAGCCTGCCTCCATTATGTTTAGTGTGGGATTATGTGCAATAAATAGGAAATAAAATATTTTTCCTGTTCTTTAACAAGGTAGACATTTGTATCTAATACTTTTTTCTTCCAGGACCAATATCCAGAGACCAAGTTTCTTGGCCTCTGTTCCTATGACAAAGCTGTACCCGTTTGTTCTACAATGTGTGATATTGTCTGTTCCTGCAGCCAATTGCTTTCACTTTAGATGGCCAGGAACTTTCAATTTGTCCTATATGAGGGACATCTTCTGACCTTGTCTTACTTGACCTATGTGGCAAGGGACACCGTAAATCTCTGCATTTTTCTGGAAACCATCTTTTCTTTTGGCCTTTAAGGCACGTACTCCTCTCCTGAAAAGCTTCCCATCCTCTCATTCAGCCTCTTGTGCCTTTAGAGGTAGAATTCCTCAGGCTCTGTCTTCAGCCTCTGCTCTTCTCACACTACTTACCAAGTGACTCCATCCAAGTTGACGATTAACTCAAATCTCTTTATTTATAACTCCTAAACATCTTATCTGACCTCTAGACCCTATGTTAGATTGCAGGCTGCCGGTCCTTTGGATGCCCTGACACACTGCAAGTCAGTTCATCCAAAACTCACATCATAATTGTTCCTTCCCACAGGTGTTTCTTCTGCCCTCCCTGCACGGTGACAGGTGTCATCATTCACCCACACACCCATGGAGAGACCTGGAAGTCATCCACAGCTGCTCTGTGTTACACATTCAATTAGAATTTCCTTTGCTTCTCTCCGTTCCCACTGCTGTTTCCCTAGTTTAGGCACCTAGGATTTCTACAATAGCTTCCTTACTGAGCCCAGCCTTGTTTCTCTCTTCTCTGCTCCAGACACAGTGATATGCAAAAAGACAAATCTCAGCAGCTCACTACATTGCTTAAAACTCTTCCATAGTTTGCCAATAACGTTCAGGTTTTATAGCTGAAGTTCAAGTTCCTCCTCATCTGGTTCCTGCCCTCTTCTCTATAGCCTTAGTTCCTACCCGCCCTCACCAACCCTGACCCAAATGATCAACTTCAGCGCTATGGAGCTATTGCTGCAGTGCCACACTTACTCTTATCTCTGAGCCCTTGTATATGCTGTTCTTTTGGCCTAGGATGCATGCCTCTATCACACTCCTCATTTTCTCAGGCTTGCATCATATACATCATCTAATCTGGGAGGGTCCATCATTGTGCATCCATAGTGCTCCCTGCATACTTCTGGGACTACATTTATTACCTTTTACCTTAACCGCTGTTTCGCTTGTCTGCCTCCTCCATCCTTGGAGATGGCAACTGTGTCTGACTCATCTCCGTGCCGAGGATAAGGCCTAGCAGAGAGGATATGTTCGGTAAATGCTTAATGACTGGATGATGGATGGAGTTTCGCTTGGCCAGGGTCTTAAGTTTAAACTCAGCATGTTACCGCCAATATACTCACAGGTTAGCTTCTAGTTTTTATTTTTTAGCCCAGGCTACTGTATGGGGAAAGTAGGTAGAAAGAAAAGGTCAGTGTTACCTGCAGTGGGATAACAGTCAGGTTTAAACAGTTTTACAAGCAAGCACCTTAACTGCCTCCTCTGGCCAGTTACTTTAGTTTGGGGATACTCAGTCAGAGTGCCGTTAGTCCTTCTTAGTCTTCAATTTCTCTCTTTACTGGATGCTCCATGTCAACAGAAGCCATGTTTTCCAATACTACAGCATCTTCGCAAAACTTTGTCAAGTGAGCCTCCCACCTCACAAATCACTGAAGGAACAGACCAGAAGGATAGCCTCCAGCCTCACGCAGAATTCTTATGATGTCTGCTTAGATTCTGAGCTATTGCCAATTTTCAGGTCCAGTACCACTGTCCAAGCCTCAACCTGGCAAGAATTCAACAATTCTTCATTCAAAACAAGTCAATCATTTACCCGCTGGATCCTAGGAAAGGACCCAATGAAAAGAAAAGGCTGTGTTTGACTCACTGTTCCTCTCCAACAGAGTCAAAGGGTTAATCATTTGTGTGCAGTCTGGGTTCCTTGATTGTAAATTAACTTTTTTTTCATATGAAAACACAGGAAGACATTAGTATTATTTCCCTAATACTTCTTTTAGAAAAAACATCCTTATTTTTCTTTCCATAGAAAAATCAGGAAACTGCGTGGCAACTGTTGCAGAAACACAAAGACGATGCAACTCCACATGCATATTTTCCAAGTATACCAGGATTTGTGGTACAATGGACAGTTAACATTTGTATACAGATATACATTCTTTGGGAGAATCATCACTATATTACAGCAGTTGTTCCTTTTTGCACCAAACCTACAGAACTGTTGTAGGTCTTATTTTATATTTCTGCTTTTTTATGGATAAGCAATCAATATATAAGACTTTCTCACCCAGGCAATCATGGAAGCAAATGTTGTTTCCTTTAGCCACATACAATGGTAGGAATATTATGCAGAGATTGTTCTAGAATACACAAAAGTCCCCAAGCAGCTAAAGTACTTTTAAAGCTGAAAAATGCTGGTAAAATCAACTACATCTGGGCCAGAATCAGAGGTAAATCGACATAGAATGCCTAAAAGCCATCTGAATAGTAATTAAGGTTTATTTTTTTTCTACAAATCTTACTTTAATATAGCACTTAACCTTTCAAATGTTCTTAAGCCAACAAATGGATGATTTAATAAAGGTCTTAGTTTATTTTGAGCTTTGAGATAGAACTTGTTGCTTGACTATATTCCATTTTGAAGCTTTGGCCTGCAGTTCAGGCTGCTGCCCCTAAGGAAAAAAACCCTAGTTTCAAGTGCAGCAAACCTCACTGGAGTCTTCAAAGGAAGGAGAAAGGTTGGAGCCAGGAGGCTTCTGGCAAATGTTGGTATGAAGATTTGCTTGCAGACAAGTCAAACATTCAGAGACTGAGCCTCCATTGACCCTAACAGATTGCTGTAGGTTTTTCTGTAATTAGGAATAAAGTATTACGGTGTTTTTAAAGTCTGTCTTGTTCACTGATTAATTTCACTACTTTAAGTTTCATATAAAATCCATTATAGCAGGGTAGGGAAAACTACCAGGTTCTGAAATCAGACTGTTTGGGTTGGAATCTTCTCCCTGAACCTCACCATGTAACTTTTGGCAATTTTTTTAACCTCTCACACCTCAATTTTTTTGGCTGTGAAATGGAAACAATAATAGTCATTTATTCACACATTGTTTGAGGATTAAATGAGTTAGTAAATATAAAACCTCCAAAACAGTACTTGTATCTAACAAGTACTCAGTAGATATTGGCATTTTGTTATGATCTATCATTATATTTAAGAAGCCCTTTAAGAATAACGAATACTCAATGGCCTATGTCTTCTTATAATAATAGAAATAAGTAGTCTGATTTTCATAGACATATTATTTCTAAAGTTGCAGCCAAGATTTAGAAGAAATGGGACTGATTTTTTTTCTCTTTGGTTGCTTTTCTGGCAATTGAGATGCTGCTTTAAATCTAAGCAATATAAATTATCCTTGATAGATTACCGATCCAAAGCCACAGTATCAGTCCTGCTTTGGAAAGTTGGAAGTTAAAAAGAAATATCTTGTTTCTGTCCTGCAATGAACTGGCAGCACTCTGGGTGATTACCAGGGCAGAACCAACAATGAGAAACATTCCCTTTCAGCCCTGATTTGTACCCCATAACTGAGCTTACTCTAAAAGAAAGGCTGGATCGCAGCCTTTGGAACCAATTTTAATTCTGAAAGAGGCAAACACACATGGCCTGGCCCCAGAGTCTTGTCCCACTATCACGTCTGTTTGGTTGTTGGAGCATGGAGGCCCTTTCCGGGCCTTCAACCAGACTTCAGTGCCTTAGACAGTTTGATTAAGTCTGTGATTGTGATTTAATTTTTAAAAAGTCACCAGAATGAAATCCCAAAGACTCCGGTTTGAGTACTGATTAGATTATTCACTGGCTGCATGGCTTTGAGCAAATCCCTTAATTTTATGAGCTTTATTTATCAACTGAAGTTAATAATGACGAAGTCAAAGACTACTGTGAAGAATAACAATCATACATGAAGATGCATCCTATAAACTATAAAGCAGAAATATTAATAACTCAAATTTTCAGGCTTCAACTTTTTTAGTCTCTCACTTTGCATGGGATTCCATCTTCCTTGCTATGTCACTCTGGACTTGACTCCTGTCTGCACTGGACTAGGCTTGTCTTTGGACTTGACTGTGACCTGAAGATCTTCCAGCCTCTTTTCCATCCTGGCAAGTTCTGGCACGCTGCTGCAGACGTCACTGACGCATTAATAATTCTGGAGTTAACATAACCTGCTTGTCCACCTCACTCACATGATTGTGGAGCACATTTTTCCCCAGTTTTTTTTTTTCCCCAAAATTTAGGTTCCTTTTCCAAGACAATCTTGACAATTTATAACAGAGCTATGCAGCCAGTGGTCACTCTCATCCGTTCATTTTATACTGTCCAGCCTCTATCAGGCTAAGCTAATGGGAACTGTTAATATCCTGAAAGATAAGTGGGGAAGGGGTAGAGAGAGAAAGGAGCAGAACAGGGTGCCCGTTTGAATAGAGGTAATGAAGGTCACTGCTATCTACTGGGGGAAAGTGGAAGGAAGCCACCATTTATGGAGTGCCTGTTATGTACCAGCTCTGTGCCAGGCACTTTATAAACAGTACTTTATTAAACACTGACAATGATCTCATTTGCATTTTACATGTGAGAAAACTAATAAGGTTCAGACTATCTGTCATTTACCCAAAGCTACACAGTGGTAGAGATAAAATGAGGATCCAGGTTTGCCAGCACAGATTTGCCTCTAACAACATTGGGTTGTTTCAGGTGCTGCAAGGAGTCTCCAGTAAGGACCACACGATGCTCCATTCTGCTTCCCTCAGTGATCACAGCAAACCTCTGAGGGAATGGGAGTAGGCACTGGAACTTGTAAGCCAGAAAGCCACCAAACATGCGTCCTACCTTGGGGCCTTGAGGAGTAAGTGGAATAGGAGACACACAGGATTGCACTGTTTCCTGTGGTTTGCGCACATGTTTTAGAAGCTCCCCTTTTTCTCGGCACATGCACATGAACTAGGGATGACTAAAACCCATTTACTTGACATGAAATTCATGAAGCCAGGACTCAGTACTCTGCAAGGTAAGGATGCTGCAAGGTGTGCAGTGTAAATAAAAGATACATACGTAGCCCATAAGCTGACATTGTATTAAAAAAAAAAAAAGAACCCTCAAAAAATTCAAGAACAGAGGGTGCAAGGAGCTCAAGGAGCTCTGCCTAGGAATAGATAACGTCACTCTGCTCCAAACAGTTTTGTCTCAGCACCTCGGGCTCTGTAAACTGCTGTGTGGAGAACTTTGACTTAGAGAAGCTTGAGATGAGGGCGGGCGGCAGAAGCGTCTTGCTGCTTGCAAAGCTACAGGGTGTACAGCCTGGGGCTTGGTGGCATCCAGTCCCTGCCCTCTCTGCCTTCTAGCCTTAGAAATCCATTAAACTCACAATCAGAGTCTTGTTTTCCCAAATAAAGTACAGCCATTAGATTCAAGAACTAATTATTTAGCAGGATTTTTATCTCTAAGGACAACACAAAATCTCAGATTCTTGGTCAGACATCTGAGCCCACTAAGCTGTATCTGAGTGAAGCCATGCAGGGTGTGGATGCCCCTGGAATTCTCCCATTTGAGAACTGTAACTGCTAATGCTCACAGTTGCCGGCTTTTTTTTTTTTTTTTTTTTTTTTAGGTATTAATGCTCTAGCCGCAGTAAGGACAGGAAAAAGCAGGATTGAGATAACAGATAATTTATGGATACTTTGCCTCTAGAAGGGAAGGGCAGGGCTGCCACTAAGCAGTAATTCAAACTAGGTTTAACTTTCCTTTTGGGTATTCTCCACCTCATCCAGTCCCCATTCTACTTCCTCGGCTGCCTTTGTCCCCCTCCTCCCAGTCCCACCCAGGATTTGGGGGATCTTTATGCTTCCCTCTGGTTAAATACCTTCCTTTCACACCAGCATGAACACCGTCTTTGAAGCAAAGAGATCCGTGCTCGAAAATGACTGACCTACCCTATACACCTTGCCAAAACTTCTGTTCTCTTGACGTTATTGCAAAAAGCAATCTGATTAAACTTAGAGGAACCATCAGAATTCTTTCAGGTTTCATTATGGCATTTGTGTTATTTTTATATTCAGCATGGGACAACACACGACACTGTTACATTTTAAAATACATTACTAATAAAACAAATGTATTTCTATAATATATTTAATATTCTGCCCCCCATTCACACTATGTTATGTAGAAACCTCTTGAATAGCCTTCAGTGATTCCTGCCTCCTGGAGCTCACACCCTTGTGCAATCCCTGCCCGGTGAGTATGGGCTGGACCTAGTGGCTTGATTCACGATGTCATTGCCAAGATTATGTTACAAGGAGACTGTGAGTTTCACATTGTACGACCCCTCTTTCTGTCTCGCTTGATCACTGTGGAATCCACTGCCTTACGGAGGGGGTCATGTGGTCAGGAATGGATGTCTCTGGTTAACAGCCAGTGAGGACCAGAGGTCTGTCCCAGCTAGGTGAGTAAGCTTGGAAGTAGATCCTCCCCCAGCGGAGCACTAAGGTGACCACAGCCCGCACTGACACCTTGATTCAGCCCTGTGGGAGAACCAGAGCCAGAGGCTGCAGCCAAACCACACCCAGATTCCAAGCCTACAGGAACTGAGGTAATAAGTTTGTTGAAGTTGCTAAGTTTGGGGATAACTTGCCACTCAGCAATAGACAATTAATTACTCTCTCTGCCACAAGTTTTGAGTAGTGAAACTCTTTCCGGGACTACTTCTCAGGCCCTTGCGTCACAAATACCTGACGTTTGTGGCACCACTTCCCTTTCTAAACCTGTGGAAGACGAGGATAATCAGTGACCACGTTCTCTCCCCCACACTCCAGGCAGCCGCAGCCACTTCCAATCAGCTGCAAGGGGCAACCGAGACAGAGCCATTGACCCTCAGGAGCTGACTGCACAAGAAAGGTCCTGCCACCTGTCAGCCTCCTCACCTAATGAGGCCAGAATCCGCTTCCCAAAACCATAATTCTCTTACTCTTTGATTGTTTTCTCCCCAGGAGCCCAACTGCACTGAAATAGTGAAAATACAGATTAAAGTTGATTTCTGGATAAACTTCACCTTTGGTCTAGCAGCAAAAGGCCCTCATCATTACTTTGTCACCATCTGTGGAAACTCTTGTACATACTTTTTATTTTATGTACATTTCCTTGTTAGTGCTCAGCCACCTTCAAATCTCGCTCTCAAGGCTTTGCCTTTGTTTTTCTCTTCAGAAATGCCTGTTTCTCTGAGAGGTCTACAATAGTCTCCCCTGATGGGGGTGTTTTATAACTCACAGGGAAACATGAACAAATGACTGGCCTCCTTCACCCTTTCAGGGTCCTATTCTTGTTCACTGGTAGATTGGGTAGCCTCAGGGCAAAAGGTATTATCCTGCTCTTAGTCCCACTGAAACATGACTCTGATCTGGAAAAGGGAGAGGAGCAAAAAGCAGTCATGAAACACAAACTGTCTCCATATTCTCGAGGCCAGCAGCTGGCCAGACGTCTGCTTTCTTGAGAGGGGCTGCTTATCCTCCCGGAGGCCCTCACTGGAAGACTCAGCCACCTCAAGTCACTGGAACCAAGACAAGAGAGAAGAAACTGAGGCCAGGTTGGTCTGAAACAAAACCTCAGATAATTTGCTTTGCTCCAATTTAACCTCATTGTAAAAGGCATGTAAGTTGAAATTACAGTACAGGACCATTTTCTATCTCTTACATTGGTAATTTTAGAAAATATATTTTTATTATTATCCTGTCTCTGCTACTTTCCAATTTGGGGGACCCAACTTGGGCAAATTACTTAATTCACTGAGCCTCAAAAAGAGATTTGAGTTTAACCCATGGTAAGTGCATGCTAAATGGTACTTATTACTATTATCATCTATTGAAGTAAACAAAAAGTTATGAGCTGGGCTTTAGAATTATGCTGAACAAAAGAACTTTCAGTGATGATGGAAATGGTCCGTACTCTGTGGCCACTAGTCATGTGTGGCTATTGAGCCCTTGAAATGTGTCAGATGTCACTGGGGAACTGAATTTTTATTTTATTTAATTTAACTTTGCCTAGCTACATGTAGCTAGTGGCCTCCATCCTGGACAATTTTATCTGTGACAGTCCTTTCAAGGATGATCTTATCTGTGAAAAAGCCCATCGTCTCATGTCCTTCCCAGAGGGAGCACAACCCAATGCCTGCTCTGACTGGAGTACTGCAAAATACAACCTTAACCTCCTAAGAAGTCCAAAATCCCAATACTGCTCGGAGGAAAGTAAGTGGGCATGGGGTGGGGAAGGAAGTCCTTTTAGGAAAACAGAATGCTCCTGACCTACCATTAACAGAATGTCCAGTTCTCCTGTTGCTTTGAAGACTGCCCAGTTCATACCCAGTTATCCCCATTCTCAACTAGTCACCCTAATGGCTACTGGCTGAATGAAGTCAGGGGGTTCTCTGTGTGAAGGTAATTAGAGTACAGGAATTTATCATCATGAATACCAAGTTCTAAGCAATGAACAAAAGGTTACCTTTATTGACACTACATGAAATAGAAGCTGTCTCCAAACTAATACTAACACATGTACATCCCACCTTTTCTTTTACTAAGCACTTATACTACGCCAGGCTAAATAATAGAATGCAAAGTTGAAAACGGCCTTTGGCCTCATTTCTGTCATTCTAATCAGGGCTGCAGATGCAAGTAAAGAACTGTGGTGCAGGGTGAGACGCACTCTACAATGGCATAGAAGAGTCTGCCATCAACTCCATTTGTTGGGGAAAGAGCAGGAAAAAAGTTTTCTGAGAGCAAGAGGCAACAGAGCAAGGTGGTGAAGGCGTTGGAGAACCTGCCTTCTACAATATATGTAAGAGAAGGAAGAGTAACAGCTGTTAATGACACTAAAGTGCTAAAAGGAAGCTGTTAAGTTTCTGCACTAGAGTGAGTTTTCTGGCAGAACTAATTAAGATTGGGATACTATTATGGGCTGAACTGTGCTTCTCCAAAATTCATATGTTGAAGTCCTAACACCCAGAGTACCTCAGAATTTACCGTATTTGGAAACAGTGTTTTATAAATGATAATTAAGGTAAAATCAGGTCATACGGTGGGCCCTAATCCAATCTCACTGGTGTCTTTAGAAGAAGAGATCAGGACACGGACACACACAGAGGGCCGACCATGTGAAGACACAGGGAGAAGACAGTCATCATCTACAAGCCAAGGAGAGAGGCCTCAGAAGAAACCAAATCTGTTGACACCTTGATCTCGGGCTTCCAGCCTCTGTAACTGTGGGAAAATAGATTTCTGTTAAGCCACCCAATCTATGGACTTTATTGTGGCAGCTCTAGCAAACAAATACAAACACATTAAGCTTATTTTCATACCCAACTTTCACCCATGTAAAGAAATATTAGTATTTATTCTAAAGCTTCCTTATCTGAGAGGGAAGAGCTCAGTTGTCCTAAGTCTTCAATTTCGAAAGAAAATCTCAATCTCTTGCCTGGTCCTTGCGAGGAGAACACTAATTTGAGCAAGAGAATCAGAAAAGCAGAAGTTAGTGAGGTCAGTGGTAATTAAACGAATTTTCTCCAGGTGGCAGAAATAGTCCCTAGTTTTCATTCTGCACCTCGCCATGGATAAAGTAATTATCAAGTGTGGAAATAACTTTGAAGAAATTGCCTCCATTATCCTCAGGACTCTAATCAAATCTGGACAATCACACTTAAGCCACTCCTGAGAGTTCATGTAAAGGTTTAAAGGAAGCAAGTCTACAACATTTCCTACTAACGCGTCTCAGGGTCCCAGAACATTCGGGATCTTAATGTTACATAATGTAAAGTCACTTCTTTTGCTCTTTATAACAGTACAAAAATCACGTCGATTTTCTTCTGTCTGTAAAATGTACAAATCCAGTACCTAATAAGGATGAACTAACTTGACTTTTAACTTTCATTAAAAAAAAAATAAACCATTGAATTCTTCCTTTGTGTTGCTTCCAGGAATCTCAAATGGCTTTCGTGTGTGTGTGTGTGTGTGTGTGTGTGTGTGTGTGTGTGTGTGTGTGTGTTGGTGGGGGAAAGGGTGGTATTTATTCTTGTAGAAAAATGGGATGAGGAGGGAAAGGAATTTATATTCATCATCTGAGACTGGAAAACGGAAGTGTAGGTTCCCCAGAATTTAATGATATTTACTAAATCTAAGGTCTACACCATGTCTCTGCTACATTCCCTAGAGGGGACCTAGATCAGGAAAAATCAGACATGTGTCTCTACTGGGCTGGCTGCGTACAGGCATTTCAACATGAGTATGTCAAAAACAGATCTCGCCATTTTGTCTCCTGTCTCCTCCATCTCTGAAAATACCAGCATTCGCCCAGTTGTTCAAACCTCAAACTTAAGATTCCTTCTTGGTTCCTCCCTCATCCTTATTCCTCAATATCCAGCCCATCAGCGTTCCCTATCACCGCCAACTCCAAGACATATCCCATGTGCCCCCTTCGCATCACCCTCACTGCTAAGTCTCTAGCCCAAGCTCTCACCACCTCTGCTCTGACCACTGCAGTGGCTTATCAACTCACCTTCCTGCTTCTATTCTTGGTCCCTCCAGCCTGCTGCCTTGGCCAAGAATGGAATCTTTGCAAAATGTAAATGAAATCATACCACTCTTCTGCTAAATATCCTTTGATAGTGTCCTTTTAGGATAAATCCAAACACCTTATAGTGCCCTCTAAAGCCCTACATAGGCTACTCACTGTCTTCATTTCCACTTCAGCTATCAGCATTCTCCCTTCAGGGCACAGGGGCCGCGCACTCCAGCTTTTTTTTTTTTTATACTTTAAGTTTTAGGGTACATGTGCACAACGTGCAGGTTAGTTACATATGTATACATGTGCCATGTTGGTGTGCTGCACCCATTAACTCGTCTTGCTTTTATTCAGCTCCTTGAACGTGGCAAGCCTTTCCTTTTCAGGGCTGCTGAACTTACTGTGCTCTCCACCTGCAATGCTCTTTTGCCAGCTTTGCTGTGTGGGTGGTTGACCCACCGCTCAGGTCTAAGCCTCCAATGTAATTGCCCCAACTAAGACAGCTCTTTGCCCTTATTCTTCCTCACACCATTGCTAATATATAGCAGAGCACCTGCCACAATCCTTACTTATTCCTGAGCTTACTTGTCTCTTCTCTACTAGTATGTAAACTCCTTGAGGGCAGGGAGGCTCCATCTCCTTCATCCCCATATGTCTAGCGCTAAGTTATGTGCACAGCTAGTACTCAGTCGATAGCCACTGAACAAACATAACCAAGGAGTAGGGTCTATGGTTTTATCACATGGAAAGGCACTTACATTTTCCTATTTCTCTGAAAACAATAAATGAAATTAGCAAAATAAATATTTCTTAAACCTTTGGTTTTTCAGAAAGCAAATTAAAATGCAAATTGGCTGAACTTGAGGGGGCTGCTTAGAAAACTTCCTGTTCTAACAAGCTTTTTGCTCCCAGAGCAGAATAATTAGTGTCACCTGTCTACAACAGGTCTGTGACAGCCTCTTGGCCCTGGCTTTGTACACGAACCCCACAGGGAACCCATGAAATGGAGAAAAAAAATCCCACCAAAAACTTTTTACTATGGGTCTCAATTTAGTTTTCCTGACTAAAAATTTCATTTCCAAAGAATGCTAACCACAAAGCCCTCAAATTCATTTCAGGCACACTGGGCATCTTGCAATTATCACTCCAATATAACCTACAGGGTGTGAGTAAGTAGATTTCACATGGTGGCTGCCTCCTGCAATATCTATGGTGTGTCAGAATGCAATAGATTTTCAAGCTGTCATATAGGGAACCCCAGATGAACTGTCAACACAGACGCTGAAATCTCCAAAAATGATAACAGGAGCTAAGGATGATGGCAGAAAACAAGAGGAGAGTTATAAGGAAAATGTGATAAAGAGCTTCCCACTTCCTGGGCATGTGGCAGAGGCACAGCCAGTGAATTCCTGATGAGTGAGCAAAGTGGGCCCATTTATTTTGTGTCTGTTCCATCATTTCCAGACTCAGGTGCCCCATGTCTTGTAAAACAATAAAAGACCTGACAACCTGATAATTACTACTCTGAACAGTGTCAGAGGAGCGATGTCTGTACTGTCCTAGGTAAGCAACACACAATAGGATATTGTCATGTTTTTAAGGGCTGTTTTCTAATTTCTCGGGTGGAAAGAGTGGTTAACCTCTTTTTAAATGCATTGCAAACTTTGCTTTACTAAACATCCTATAATAAATAAAATTTAGCCATTGTTTACAACTTGGGCTCATCATAATCAAATTATGTCGTGTTCTTAATGTTGCTGGTAGCCTATCTTAACAGTTCCAGGGCACACTGATCTTTCAATTTTTCTGACTTCCAGGGTTTAGTTTATTTTTTAGCTGTCAACTAGAAATGCTGCACTTTTGTTTATGCAGGGTTTTTTTTTTTTTTTTGAGGTGGAGTCTTACTATCTCACCCAGGCTGGAGTGCAGTGGTGCAATCTCAGCTCACTGCAACCTCCTCCTCCCTAGTTCAAGGAATTCTCCCACCTGAGCCTCCAGAGTAGCTGGGATTACAGACGTGCACCACAACACCCAGCTAATTTTGTATTTTTAGTAGAAACAAGGGTTTCACCATGCTGGCCAGGCTGGTCTCCAACTCCTGACCTTAAGTGATCTGCCCGCCTTGGCCTCCCCAAGTGCTGGGATTACAGGTGTGAGCCACTGCACCTGGCCTTGTTTATGAAGTTTGTAATTCCCTTCTTTCTCCTACCTTCTAATGTGTCTGGAAATCACCATTATCAGGACAATTAGAACAACTGTGTTCTACTGTAAGAGCAAATATGCTTTTGTTATAGCCCCTTGTGGTGGACAAACACATGGATTTAGTGTTTTGGCTTTGCAGCATCTATTTTGGCTGTCCAGAGGCTTTTGCTTATTATTATGTTTTAAATGTTTACTGATACTGGATGAGTGCCCTCCAGATAAATGAAGTACTGCTATGGTTAAAATTTCTGTCTAAAGCCTGTTTGGCTTGAGGAAGGCATATAAACAACATGTGACATTTTCAGGCCATGTGCAACCTGCTGATATGGTCAGGCGGCTATAATCTGTGGTTTTAACTGTCTTTGTTATCAGCATCACCATTATTACATGATACGTCTTTGCAAACTCACTCCCCTACTTAATTCTGCTAGAAGCAGAAAACCATTGCATACCGAAATTCTCAAATAGTTCTCTGAAGTTGTTTCTTTTCAAATTTTAGAAGCAAAGAGGCATTAAATACACTTAAATTTTTAAACTACCTAATATTAATCAAAATAAAAATAATAAGCAAACATGCTCAAAGGTAAATTGTAGTTCCCAGAGAACATCAAAGTGAGATACCATAAAACAATGTAATTAATTCATGGTGGAAATTTCAATTGCTTGACTGAAATATTGTTTTTACAACCATCTTTTAGCTATATTTCCTCTCTTAGAAAAAAGGTAATTTATTACATTAATTAATGTATCATTGGAGTCAACTTTCACATAGAAATGTGAGGGATACATAATACCTAATTGAGAATTTGAAAATTGTTTTTATTTGCTTGGCACACACTCAGAAGTCACTCACTGACACTAATACCAGTTTCTGGGTTTGATGTCTCTCTGGCTTCATCTTATAGGTAACGGACTATAACCCAGCTGAGCAGTAGACAAAATGAAACTCGGAAATTCCTATGGATAATCCAAAAAGTGATAACTTGCTGAATGACATTCCAATGATATGTCTGAAAAATTACAATGAAAGTGTTTTTTCTCTTCTTATCCTGTGTCTTCTCTTTCCTACTCTCAAGGAAATAATTCAGTCACCATCAAGAGGCTCTCATGAAATCCAATACAGCAACCATGTAAGGATCTGGGACAGGTAATTCACATTCAACAGCAGTAAGGTCTTAAGACATTTGCAGAAATAAAGTAGAAGAAAGTATCCAAATGTATAAAGTAGGGCATTCACTTAAAAGCTGAGGTCTTTTAAACAATGAACTTCTAGGGAATGAACATTTTGTAAGCTTAATGTTATGATCACAGAGTTTTGAGAAAGCACCTGAAAGAGTGTGTTTAAGTGTCTCAGAGTCTAGACCCTGAAACAAGAATAAATGGGTTTAAGTCCCCACTTCTACCAGCTATAAGACCATGAGAAAATGACTATCTGCCTCCCCCAACTCCCCACCTATCTTCCCTCATCTAAAAATGGGAATAGTAACAGAACCTATGTCATTAGGCTGTCACGAAAATTAAGTCATCTAATATATTTAAAGAACTCAGAACAATTCCTGGAAAATTATATGTGCTATACAGGCATTGACTAAAAAGCACCCATTATAGAAATATTCATCCTAAGTTTTTTTTTAATCAAAGTGACATTAGTTAATACTGTGGCTGAAAAGGATGGTCAGAAAATCAGACTGAACAATTTGGCAACCAAGGATGAGGCTTGATGTGCAATTTCCTCTAAGCATTCTTAACCCTAACCGTAACCACAATTGCAAGAAATGAATTTCACTCAGCCCTGTTTTCAGCCTGCCTAGAATGATGGCAAATTCTCACCACTGAAGTGACCCTGAAAATGTGGCTGGCTGGGCACAAAGTGCTTGATAATGACAGAAACCATTCAGCTGTGCTGTGTACGTAACTGGGTAAGAAACTGCTGTCACACAACACCAAGCGACTCAAGAAATCATCGTTACCACCACAAGAAAGAGCCAGTGAGAGTCTTACTGCTCCCAAATCCACAGCTCTTAGCACAAATACTCTCACTGCTGTCTGACCATTCTTTTCCTTGTTGCTGTCTATGTACTTGGAAAATGCATGTATTAACATGTTTTCACTATTTGCTTATTTCATTGTGTCTTATAATGAACCTTCTGGACCACATATATCAAGCTCGTCTGCATATTTAAAGAGCCAGGTTTTACGGCTCTACCAAGTTGAAATAGAACCTCTAGGGATAGAGCCTGGAATTGTGGAATTTTGAATAAGGAACTCCCAACATATATAGAAATTCCACGTTGGAGAATCACTTTGATAATGTAGGTTTTAAAGTTAGCGCTACTGACATTTTGGATCAGATCATTCTTTGTTATGAAGGCTGCTCTGTGCATTGCATGATATTAAGCAGCATCCTTGGCCTCAACCCACTAGATGCCAATAGCACTCCAGCTGTAGGAACCAAAAACATCTCCAGGCACTACCTAATGTCCCCTGGGGGCATAATCACACCTGGTTGGAAGCCACTGAACTAGTCTATCCTAAAACACGCATGGGACAGAGGCTATGATGATTGCCTCAAAGATGTGGTTCTCAAGTGCTTACCTATGTACTTCCTTGTTTAAATGGGTTTGAGTCAGCAGTCCATATGAAGTCGGACTCAATTTTTTGAGACAGGGTCTCACTCTGTTGCCCAGGCTAGAGTGCAGTGGTGCAATCACAGCTCACTGCAGCCTTGATTTCCCAGGCTCAAGTGATCCTCCCACCTCAGCCTCTCAAGTAGCTGGGACGACAGGTGCATGCTGCTATGCCCCATTAATTTTTAAAATTTAATAGAAGCAGGGTCTCCCTATGTTGCCCAGGCTGGTCTTGAGCTCCTAGGCTCAAGTGATCCTACCAGCTTGGCCTCCCAAAGTGCTGGGATTACAGGTATGAGCCACCATGCCCAGCCTAGACTCAATTTTAAAATGAAAAATTGTAACTAAAGAATTTAAAACAAATTCGTTTTTATCTACCTGTCGCTATCCATGCTTGTATACCTACAACACATAAAAAGGCACTTTTTTCCATAAGAACAAGCCCATATGTTAATGAATGAAAAAGGACTAATGATAGATAATATTACCATAACTATGATTTTTTTGTGTATATTTGCCATATGTTAGTCAATGAGCTAAGTACTTCATATGGATTATTTCAACTCATTCTCTTAATAACCCCATGGCATCCATATTATCATTCTGATTTTATTCATAAGGAAAGTGAAGATTTAGGATTAAATAACTTGTCCATGATCACACAACTATTTTATGGCTGTAATCAATTTAGTCTTCAAACATTTTGAATAAAGATTAGAAATAGGAAATACTCCATAACTAATTTTATGAGATTAAAACCACATAGGAGAATATAGGAAAGGACAATTAAAGACTGTTCTCATTTATGAGCATCAATTTTAAAAAAATGATGGCAAATTGAATCAAATAGAGTATGAAGAAGATATACAGTACTTTTAAAAAGCATTTGAACAACCACTCACCAAGAAACAGGAATTTACAGGAACTTGCTCAAGTCATGCACAATGATAAAACACTTGACGTAGCCCCTTTAAAAATTAAAACAAATCAAGTATATTTACTGTTGTTGGTTCTATTCGACATTGTACTGTGCAATATGGGAAAAAGACTGTCATATGAAAACTATACAATTTCTTTTATAGAAATGCCAAATAAACCCAAAGATAAAATATTAAGAATTTTACAAGATGGCTAGTTCCAAGATCAACATGTTAAAAAGCAAAAGCATTTCTATATCTCAGCAGTAAAGGATTATAAAACAAAATTTTAAAAAAATTTAGCAATAACAAAAAAGGAAACCAGACAACTACATTAAAAGATTACAGAACTTTTTATTAGTTTTTTTTAACATTTTGAACTTCAAGTTACTAATACTGCTCGACTCTTGGGTCATTTATCAGCATCGGCCCATTCTCTCATTCCTATTTCCATTCAACAGTGACCACAGAAAAACATCCTAATGTATTTGTTATGTATCCTTTTGTTTGTATGAGTTCTTGTAAAGTGTAGATTACTGTTTTATGTGCAGGTGTATTTTTGTGATGTAAATAATAATGTGCAATAGAGTCCATTCTTTTAGTTATTAGGTTTTGTAACTCTATCAGTTTCAGGAGAAAATTATATAAAGACATTGACGAAGACCTGAATAAATGTACCATGCTCAAAGATAAAAAAGATATTGTGGAAAAGATATTGTGAATATGTCCGTTATCCTCAAATTAATCTATAAATTCAATACAATGTGGTGAAACTACCCTGTGTGTTGATGCACATGTGTGTGTAACTTGATAAGTTAATCCTAAAACTTATATGGGAGATAAAAGGAGCAAGAATAGCTGAGACAGTTGAAGAAAAAAGAATAATAGGAAATGGGGTTGGGACTCGGTGGCCTTTCCACACCACACAAAAAGACATTTTTAAAGTTATGCTTAGTGAGACAGGCCAGGCACCAGGCACATCAAGACAAATACTGCATAATCTCACTTATATGTGGAATTTTTTTAAAAAGGAGCTCATAGAAGCAATGAGTGGAATGGTGGTTACCATGGCCTGGGGGTGGAGGATGGGGAGGGAAGTACGGAATGGGAGATGCTGGTTACAGGTACACAGTGTCAGGCAAGGGGAATAAGTTCTGGGGATCCACCGTACATCATGGTGACTATAATTAATAATAATGTATAATTTACTTCAAAATTGCCAAGAGATTTTAAATGTTCTCACCACAAAAAAAGTATGTGAGGTAATGACTATGTAAATTTTCTTAGTTCAAAAAACATCACATCGTTTCTGTCTAACCAGACAAATTCTGGTTAGAGGTTATCTCTGAAGAGGAGAGAGAGAAATACAATAATACACAATAAATATATACAATTTATCATTTGTCAATATATAGATATTTGGGAGGCTGAAGCAGGTGGAATGCTGACGCCAGGAGTTCAAGGCCAGCCTGGGCAACATGGCAAGACACTGTTTCTACAAAAAATTTAAAAAATAGCCAGGTGGGTCTGTAGTCCCAGCTACTTGGGAAGCTGAGGTGGGAGGAACACTTGAGCCCGGGTGATTGAGGCAGCAGTGAGCCATGACTGTGCCACTGCACCCCAGCCTTGGAGACTGAGAAAGACCTTATCTCAAAAATAAAAAATAAAGTTATAGTAGGATAATGTGGTATTAGAGAAGAGGTAAGTATACAGACCAGTGGAAAAGCAGAGTCCAGAAACAGGCCACTGTGGCAGAGACTGTAAGCTGGCTCACTCAACAGTTATCCCAACTCCGTTCTTCCTTGTTTTCTTCCACAGTGGAAACTACTCAACTCAATGCTCTATTTTAATTCCCAGCCTCCTTTCAGGTAAGAGTAGTATATATAACAGTTTTATACAATAAAATTTAGGGATAAGGTCTTAAAAAAGATTTTCCCTTCCTGAAAAACTAAAAGGTAAATCGTAACAAGATCAGGTCTTTGACCTTTATACTTCTCCTCTTCTTCCTGACTTGAACACAAATATAAAACCTTGGAGTATGGCAGCCATGCCGTAACCATGAGGAAAATGTTAAGGATGGCAATGATGTAATGTAAAAGGAGCCTAGGTCCTTGATGACACTGCTGAGCTGCTATGCCAGCCTCAACGACTTTGCTCCAGACCACAGACCACTTATTGCATGAGACAAACTCCAGGCTTAATAGGCCACTATTTTTTTTCTATTTTTTGCAATCATATTGAATTTTCACACACACACACACACACACACACACACACACACACACTCTATCTCTCTCTCTCACACACACTCAAACACATGGAATCTTGATATTGACAGAGTTGAAAGTATAAATCATTACAATAAGTGATGCTAAGACAACTAGTTAGCACATGCATAAACAATAAAACTGAATCCCCACTTCACAACTCACACACCAATTCCAGTGGATTAGATATTTAAATGTAAAAAGAAAAACTCTGAAAATGTTAGAAGAAAATATTTTTGATATTGTGGTAGATAAGGACCACTTAAAAAACAAAAAATAAATAACTTAAAGGCTAATACATCAAATTGCACTAAGATTAACAATATGGTTTTGGCTGGGAGCAGTGGCTCATGCTTGTAATACCAGCACTTTGGGAGGCTGAGGTAGATGGATCACAAGGTCAGAAGTTCAAGACCAGCCTGGCCAAGATGGTGAAACCTCGTCTCTACTAAAAATACAAAAAAAAAATTAGCCTGGCGTGGTGGCAGGCACCTGTAGTCCCAGCTACTTGGGAGCCTGAGGCAGGAGAATGGTGTGAACCCGGGAGGCGGAGGTTGCAGTGAGCCAAGATTGCATCACTGCACTCCAGCCTGGGTGACAGAGCAAGACTCCATCTCAAAAAAAAAAAAAAAAAGAATATGGTTTCATGAAAAGGCAGATAAAGTAACACATAAGCCACAAACTGGAAGATCTTCGTAAAACATAACCAACAGGTTGACAGTTGTAATGTCCAAAGAACTAGTATGAATTATTTGGAAAAGATAGTAACCCAAAGCCATGAGCAGGTATTTCAAAGAAAAAACCAACACCAATATCTAATAAATATATGAAAAAGATGCTCAACCTTGATGGTAAAATTAAAGACACAGTGTGACACTATTTCACTCCATCAGATTTGAAAAAAAAGGAAATCAGTATAGCAAAGATATTGCACAAGGAGGGTTCATATACTTATGGTGGCAATGACAACTCAAATGAACACAACCTTGAAATATAACTTGCTATATATGATATTGAGAGGTGAAGCCAGCTGGACTTCTGGGTTGATGGGGACTTAGAGAACTTTTCTGTCTAGCTAGAGGATTGTAAATGCACCAATCAGCACTTTGTAAAATGGACCAATCAGAACTCTGTAAAATGGACCAATCAGAACTCTGTAAAATTGACGAATCAGAACTCTGTAAAATGGACCAATCAGCAGGACATGGGCAGGGTCAAATAAGGGAATAAAAGCTGCCACCCCAGCCAGTAGTGGCAACTCACTTGGGTTCCTTGCCACGCTGTGGAAGCTTTGTTCTGTAGCTCTTCATAATAAATCTTGCTGCTGCTGCTCACTCTTTGGGTCCACACCACCTTTAAGAGCTGTAACACTGCGAGGGTCTGCAGCTTCATCTCTGAAGTCAGTGAGACCAGGAACCTACCGGGAGGAACAATCAACTCCGGACATGCCACCTTTAAGAGCTGTAACGCTTGAGGTCGGTGGCTTCATTCTTGAAGTTAGCAAGAGCAAGAACCCATGAGAAGGAATAAATGCGAGACACAATATGGAGGAAGAGGCATATAGCCCATTTGACCCATCAATTTCATTTGTAAGTATAAATCCTGAAGAAATTCTCACACAAGTATAAGAATGTTTATTACAGTAGGATGTGAAATAGCACACACACACATACACATATCCAGAGCCCCAAACTATACACTGACTGGAAAAAAGCATAATGATAAATGTATACACTGGAATGCCACAGAGTAGCTGAAAATTGATGAGAACCATATATATCACTATACGTGAAACTCACAACATTAACAAAAGTAGTTCCAGAAAAATACAGAGAGTATGACACATCTATATAAAAATTATAATTATCAGAGGTTGGAGAATCAGGAAAAATAACTAATGGGTGGTTCTAGGCTTAATACCTGGGTGATGAAATGATCTGTACAACAAGCCCTAGTGATACAAATTTACCTATAATAACAAACCTGCACATGTACCCCTGAACTTAAAATGTAAATGGCAGGGCACGGTGGCTCACGCCTGTAATCCCAGCACTTTGGGAGGTCGAGGCGGGCGGATCATGAGGTCAGGAGATTGAGACCATCCTGGCTAACACAGTGAAACCCCATCTCTACTAAAAATACAAAAAAAAATTAGCCAGGCATGGTGGTGGGCACCTGTAGTCCCAGCTACTCGGGAGGCTGAGTCAGGAGAATGGCATGAACCCGGGAGGTGGAGCTTGCAGTGAGCCAAGATCGCACCACTGCACTCCAGCCTGGGAGACAGAGCGAGACTCTGTCTCAAAACAACAACAACAAAAAATGTAAATGAGAAAAAATATTTTTATTAGTGTTGGGAGAAATACCTACAGCAAACACTAAAGAGAAGAGAATGACACATTCTGGTTAGAGGTTATCTCTGAAGAGGAGAGAGAAATACAACTGGGGAGGGGCACACAGTTATCGGTAATACCCTGTTACTTTAGCTGAATAGCAAGTATGCGAGTGTTCAGTTTATCTTTATTGTTTGTGCCTTACATATGGGTACTAGATATTTTTACTTGCATAAAATATTTCATCAAGTTACCAAGGCTTCCAACTCTACTTTCAAAAAAGTTGCCATGAAATTGGTTAATATTGTTCTATATTACAGAGAGAAGATAAGTTTTAGACATGTGGAAATATGGAGAGGAATAAGTGGATTCAACTGAGTTCTAACACATTCTGGAGTAAACACCCTTTGAAATCTCTTAATGTGCAAATGACAAAACCTCTTGCAGCTAATACAAACTATAAGCACAGGACCCACCAAGACAACGGAGGTGATTTGCAGAGCAAACTTCTGACGCTGTAACTGGCAAACAACCAACAAACAACTGATGAATTTCACTGTGGGCAAATAGACAATATTTTTACTGAAAATACAATCTACATTTACTGGTTTGATGGGCTCTCTCTCAGGCACAACTTAGGAAAGAGACCTTGATGATATCATCAACTATTTTTGAAGACATTGACCCAGTGTGCTGTTACCTACAAAAACATCCCAACAAAATGTCAACTACCATCAGAAAAGGTGCAAACTATTATCCTAGGATTTTGGAGAATGAGGGTGCTTCCACAGTTGGAATGCTGTGTGAAGTTCAAATTGTTGCACTTGAAGAAAAATGTAATGGAGCTGGAGGAGACACAAAAAGATTAAGTATAATGATTAGGTGGATAAAGTTGTGTCCAGTGAGGTCACACTAAAATATGAGAGTCTGCCAATCTGGAAAATGGGACTTGAAAAGAAATACCACTAAAATGCATCAGTTTACTTAAAAATATGGATGAGGTAACCAGCTGCTTGTGGAATGGGGCATCCCAAAGCTTGAGGTAAGGAAGGGGAAGCAAATACATTGAAAGCCTGAAATGTACTAGCTACCCAGTAAGGTGCTTTCTCACACACCAGTTTAGTTTTCTAATACTAAAAGTAATTTGTATAGGCTAATCATGTGAAACTTGTTACTTCAAAAGATGCTACACAGTCAATATATAAATCAGCTACTTCTATATTTTTACTTCTTACCCTTTTTCATACTCCTACGACTGCATTTATTTACTTACTAATCTATCTTCCCTAATTGTCCTTTAATTTCTTTGAGTGTATCATTACTTCTATGTCATCTTATATGTCCAGCACACAATACCCAAGAAGTTTAGTGAACGTAATATGTACTTATTATATAAAATGTTGAATGACCAAAATAGCTTTAGATGCAAATCCAAGCATGCATTAATGGTCTGCTAATGAAATAAAGGATTTGGGGGGACATGCCTAACATTTGATACTAATGCCTGAAAAAGCCAAATCAAACAAAGATACTCTTCTATAACAATGACTTTCCTGTGGGAGACAAGTGAAGCAGTATAGGGACCCCTCGGTCCAACCCCAGGTGGCAGTTTTTATGCTTACTACACACTAACCAAAAATACATACCTGAATACATACAGCATAAAATACATCTCTATGCAGCAGATAACAATGATTTGGAGAGTCCCATTTTATCTTCCTCTAGAATGTTTGCATGAGTCAAAGACCCATGAGGGAAAAGGTCAATATAGGCCTCAGGTAATGGACAGACCAGTTGAAGAATTGATCAATAAACTAATTTGATTCAGCCCACACAATGGACATTATTTCCACGGTTCTAAGGCTAGATTAATTTAGGCCAAAGAGTTGGATTGTATTGATTTTTCTATCCTGACTTCATATAAGCCAGACATTGAAAAACTAATTCGATGTGGAATTATTGAGACTAGAAAAATCTTCTCATCTCAGCCAGTCGCGGTGCCTCACGCCTGTAATCCTAGCACTTTGGGAGACTGAGGCAGGCAGATCACAAGGTCAGGAGTTTGAGACTAGCCTAGCCAACATAGTGAAACCCCATCTCTACTTTAAACACACACACACACACACACACACACACAATTAGCTAGGCGTGGTCGTGGGCACCTGTAATCCCAGCTACTCCGTCTCAAAAAAAAAAAAAAGAAAGAAAAAAAGAAAAATCTTCACATCTAATGAAATTTAAGTGGGTCTCTGTGGTCAAAAATTCGGAAAACACGGTTGACTATCTCAAGAATCGTTTCATAGTCACCTGGAAACAGGATTTAAATGCAACAGTGCTGCAAAACTCAGGAGTAAGCATCTTAAGACAAGAAAAAGTCTTGGAACCTCAAATTTTCCCCAAACAGATGAGGCTACAGGGTGAGGGCTGGCAGGTTAACATAGGTGTACTGTTTTGAAAACTACATTTATGTAGTTCAGTAACATCCTTTGTGTTCCCCAGATACCACACTGTTCTTCCTTTTAACTAAATGCAGACACTTGGTTTTTTCCCTCCTGTAGTAGTCATCTTTTTACATCAGCACCTATGATTTTTATGATCCTCACAAGCTCCTGCTTGTGATGCTTACCTTGGCTTTCTCCAAAAAACTATTCAGCCATGAGGGGAACACATATTTATTTTCATCCAAAACTGCATAATATTTGTAAGACATCTATGAGTCAAACAAGAGCCAGCATTTTGTGAGTAGCCAAATCTGAAGGCAAGGTAAACAATGAGTGAGGGTAACCCAGTGACTTACTAGTAGAAATAATTCCTATCTACTCCAGTAAGTCTTGCTGTTTCTTATCTGAAATATGTTGACAGATTACTTGATGATGCAAAAACGTCTCCTGGCCCCACAAACTACCCAGTCTCACCGTAAAAGAGACAACGCTTTACTTTTTGGTTTAGGCTTAAATTAGATCAGTAATACATCAACACATACTTTTTTGGCATTTCAAAGAAGGCTAAATCCTCTATGATTATCCTCCGTCTTCTATCTCTGTTGTCGCCCTCATTTCTTTTTCAGGCTGGAGTGCAGGAGTGCATGCTCGGCTCACTGCAGCCTCAACCTCCTTGTCTCAAGCGATCCTCCAACCTCAGCCTCCTGAGTGGCTGGGACTACAGATGCACACCACCATGCCTGGTTAAATTTTTCATATTTTTTTTTGCAGAGGGAATCTTGCCATGTTGCCCAAGCTGGTCTCAAACTCCTGGACTCAAGCGATCTGCCCACCTCAGCCTCCCAAAGTGTTGGGTTTATAGGTGTGAGCCACTGTGCCCAGCCCCTCTCTTCCTTTTCAGAAGTAGAAATTAGGTTTATCTCCTTCCAAACATATCTATACATACATATACACACACTTATATGTATGATTGTACATAAATGTAGCTGCAGAAACTATATG
The DNA here is from genome assembly GCF_000001405.40 of Homo sapiens. Taxonomy (NCBI): domain Eukaryota; kingdom Metazoa; phylum Chordata; class Mammalia; order Primates; family Hominidae; genus Homo; species Homo sapiens. The sequence continues at coordinate 33,431,362 of NC_000015.10, read as the reverse complement.
GTATCTCATAAAAGGTATGTGATACTTTTTTTTCCCCACTCAATGCATCTTAGAGATCCCTCTGTGTTGAGCTGGATACAGATCTAACTCATTCTGTTTAGCTGCTCCATAAGTGGTTTCCCATGGATATGGGAGTACTTTTGCTTTTGTTACGTGGCAGTAGATAATCTTATGCTTACCTCCTGCTAGTTATACTGAAGAAGTGCTGGATTGGATAGATACTTCTAACTCACCTCTTAAAGTGGTGGTACAATTTATAATCCCACAAGCAATGTGTCAGTTACTCCACACTTTCACCCATTCTTGACATTACAACATTTAGAGCAATTCACTTTGACAAGTCTTTTTTGAGCCCCTAAGTCTAGTTGTTCCTCTAAGCAGTAATAGGTAAGATGGGCCTAAAAAAATAAAGGGTAAGAAAGCAATGTACACTCTCTTCTGAGGCTGCCGGCAGTTGGAGAGTTAGTGACAGAGCAGGGACCCACTCTTGGGGGCCTGCCAGACATCTCTCACCCCCAGAGCACAGAAATAAAGGAAAATCTTGAATTTCTTCAAGGGAAATTCCTGGCACCTAGCCAGCTTTGAGAAGTAAATGAGCAACGTGATAAGCAAGAAGATAGTAGTAGCTTAAAACAATAACCAAGGAAGGTAGAGTCAGAAGAATGTTTTGTTCCTTATAGAAACTGAAGATAACATCTTAACACATGTCCCCGCATTGTTTTTCAGAAACCCACATCGCCACCAAATGGATTCTCTGGCCCGTAGACCTCAGATAAGGGGGAAACTGAGGACAGAATTCTGACCACTGTTCTTTGTTCTAAATTTCTTTCTAAGGGGCCTGGAGGAGGTCACGTCCCTAAGTCAGTGCTAACATTCTTTCTGCTGACCCTAAATTTTTAGATAAAGCTCTCCCTCCTCAACCAATTGCAAATCAGAAAATCTTCAAATTCGTCTATGGATCTGTGGGTCCCCACTTTGAGATGCCCTCCCTTTTTAAGTCAAACCAATGTATAGCCTCGATGTGCCGATTTATCACTTTTGCCTGTGACTTCTCCCTCCCCACCTTTAAAAACCCTTATCTGTAACGCATCAGGGAGTTCGGATCCTAAGCATTAGCTGCCCGATTCTCCTTGCTTGGCATTGTGCAATAAATGCCTCATTTTCGCTCACTGCAATCCTGATATAAGTGTTTGGCTTTGCTGCACTGGGTGAGTGGACCCAATTTGGTTGGATAACACTAACAGTCATCTATCTCAAAACAAATAGTGTACACCTCCTCTTCGTGTTTTTTGCTGATGTTGGCTGGAAATTGCACCCACTCACGTGCCCTCCTTCCCCTCTCATCTTAGACCAACCACCAGCACACCCAGCCAGAAGGCCCTGTGGGCCCTAGACGACTGGCTGGCTGAAGGTACACTAGAGAACCAAAACAAAGTCTTTTTTCCCCCTGCTGCTATTCCTATTTCCCAAAGAAACACTAATAATAAACCATCTTTTGAAAAGAAATCTTGTTTATGTCATACAATATTTAACAGAGGTCTGCCTTTCCAGAAACCAACTGTCAGTGCTACCCAGTCACTTAGATGAGCTTCCTAAATTATTCATTCCATTTTTGTGATTTTCTTATACGTGCTTAACAGTTCTCAATAAATATGTTTACGTAAAATGTATAAAGGAAGAAGTCTTCTCAAAATAGTGTTTTGGGAGGGGATAATAAAGAGGACCGTTGGTGTGGATGCATTCAGAGTGCTGAGCTGTGTGTCCTGTAAGAGATTCATTAGAGCACAATGAAAACATTAGAGACAGCAATGGCATGTTTAACCAGTCAATTAGAGCACCATTAAAAGTGCAAATCCGATCATCAGCGTCTGCCTTTCAGAAGCCCAGAGAAAGAAAGAGGAATCCTTCAGCTTTGTGTTCCCGCTGTTATCTCAGATTTTAAAATCTTTCTCAGAAGAGGCTGACTTTTACAAGGAAGGTAGTCTAGAAGAAAAAACATACATCTCTTTGAGCTGCGTGACAATCCTTAGTGACACCTATACTTGGCTAATGTAGGGTACTCATCAGGCTGAAAACATGTTCCCTTGCTTCTTCCCAAATTTCCCTACCAGCTCATAACCGAGTGGAGACAAAATCCTAAGTCCTCTGGGGACCCTGGTGGAACAACTCTTAAAATTGCTCAGACACAGTTGAAAGATCCCTCCCAGGCCTCCTGCATCATGTTTCCACGATTATTCTAAGGGAGTATGAGAAGACGAAGGATGCGAGCAGGAGAAAAGGCAAAACAAACTCCTGCAGTGCCCGCCCACTAAACAAAGTGTCGTTTTTCCTCCAGGATGCCTCAGCCACTGGGCAACTTAACTAGGTTCCTGTAGAAGTGCTGCTCCTGAAATTCCCAAGCTCTAACAGTAAAGAATCTCAGCAGCTTCAGGAAACAGAAGTCATACGATGTTCAAGTCACACTTGGGGACCTGGTATATTGTGTTATCTCAGGTATTTGAAAAGTTCTGTGAAAAACTTAATGTGGTACCCTATACAATTATGCTAACAACTTTGACTTTTTTTCACTAACATGTATCCCCTGAACTATAACTGTTTATTACTCATCTTAAAAATATGAAGTCACGGAAAAAAAAATCCTCTAACTTAATTGGGTCTGACTATGTGAATGCTAGAAAATAAGGAATCAAGTAATCTTAGATTGAAACACACCTGCAAAGTTTTTTATTTTTTTGCTCATCTTCCTCTTGGAGGAGACAGAAAAAAAAACTCTGAATAAACTAAGATTAAGGTTTTGTTTCCACGTGGGTATTTATGCTGCCTTAAATGGATATAGGAAAACCCAGAAATGTAGGTCTAAGGTATTTTGTTTTTATTATCTGTCCAACAAGAGGATTTTGTTTATCTGAGATATCTGGGTGAGGATTATTAAATTACTAAAATCTTCGAAGTACAAAACTTAATATCTACCTGCACACAATGACTTTTCATAAATTGAGAGAAAGCAAAACCTTTCTTTGAGCAGAGCTTTTTAAACCCAAGAGAGCACCTGTCATCAATAACTGAATGTACACATGTTAAGGATCATTGTGCCATTTGATATGGAATTAGCTCATTAACTCGAATGCAATACAAGAGACAGGGACAGGTAGAAGAAGAAGGAAATGTGCGCCATCTATATGATGAACAATAAGCTTATCTGGAAATCCTAGATCATTCACTATTGGGGTGGCCTTCTACTACCACAAACCAAAGACAAAGACACAAGCCTTACCTTCAAGGAGCTTACAATACAAAGATAACAGACAATGCATGGCACCATGTTATATCTGATGATAGGGATTGATAAGGGAGAAGAGGTCAGGTCAGAGAGATCTCCGTTTCTGGGAGAAGAAGGGATTTCAGAAAGGCTTCAGCAAGATAGTAGTTCCCACATGAGCATTTCCTGTCTACTTAAGGCCTGCCCTTTGCTATTCTCTTTGGATCAGAGCTTCTACCCAGAAATAAGGCTGCCCAGCGGAAATGGGGGAAAAGAGATACAGCCATGAGGCTCCTTTAGTGTCTGACTAATAGACTCCAGTTTCATGTTTTATATTCACCAATCTCAACCTGCTCTTTCTACATCTGGCTTTCATTGTGATACCACTGACTGCTCGGAGATGTGAGGGGAGCTTTGCACAGGTGCATAAATATTCATTTCAGAGAGAGCCATGAATAAACTTCCAGTGATGTAATACAACATCTAGTTCCAGAAAATAAAGTCAAGAGTTTGAAAAAAGATTGTCATCCCAAAAAGTATTTTTCAAAACGAGAATACTAGTCATAAACCTGCACTGAAGAGAATACCCATAACATATACACAAAAAAATGTAGTTGTGAGCAGCATTCTTTATTACTACCAATCAGAGTTTGAATATTTTTCATTTGTTTTTTAGAGATGAGGTCTATGTTGCTTAAAACTCCTGGGCTCACATGATCTTCCTGCTTCAGCCTCCCAAGAAGCTGGGACTATAGGTGCACACTATTGCACCCAGCTTTGAATCATTTTGGCCTGTAGTCAGAAATATCTTAACATCCATTCATAAAATGAAATTGGGGCCAAATCCAACAAAGAGTGGAACATTAAATTTTGATACTGCTGTACTTTTAGAGTGAATACCCACAGACTCACATACCCACACACTTCTATACCCTGTTCAGTGCCTTTCTGCATATCCTCCTGGATCCCTGTATCCATCAGAGGCCTCTCCAGCTGGTAACTATAGAACCCAGCTGTTATGAACTAAACGTTTGCATCTCTCTCTTCTCCCAAATTCATAAGTTGAAGTCTAAATCCTTCATGTGATGGCATTTGGAGGAGGGGCTTTTGGGAGATAGTTAGATTCTGAGGGTGGGGCCTTTATAAATGGGATTTGTGCCCTTATAAGTAGACAGAAAGACCAGAGCTCTCTCATCCCATCATGTGAGGATACAAGAGAAGCCAGCAGTCGGCAACCCAGAACAGGGCTCTCACCAGAACCTGATCATGCTGGTACCACAATCCCACACTTCCAGACTCCAGAACTGAGAGATATAAATTTCTGTTATTTATAAGCCACCCAGTCTGTGATATTTTGTTACAGCAGCCAGAATTAACTAAGATGCCAGTAAATAAGACTAAGATTCCAATCCTGGTTCTGCCACTAATCAGCTGGTAATATACTTAACTACCAGCCTCAGTTATATCTTTGTTAAATCCAGATGATAAGAATACCCAAAAGGGTTATATGTACATAAAATCACTTAACCATGTATCTTGTGTAGTTTTTTAAATTAAACTGCCTTTAGTACAAAAAGTTACACCCTTACCACTAAAAGGATAAGAAAGTACTACTTCCAGGAGCAACATTTTCTCTAACACCTGGCTAAAAAATATGGAATAGTGCCTGTAGCCTGCAATCTTCTGAACTCAGCAACAAAGGCCCATCCTCACTTCTGAGCCTGGATCCAACATCATCTGAAATCTGGAAGCCAGGCTGAAGAGTACCAAAGGACCACAGGGGATGCCCACATTTGCCACGTTTTCTTAAAAAAAATTAACATTTTTCAACTCAGTAATTTCAAAGTATTGAAATCAAAGTATTTTAAAGTATTAATTCAATTCCTGATATTTTTCTATTTTGCATCACCTGTCAAGAAGCTCGTAAGTTTTACATCTACTTTACAAAGAATGCTTAACATATACTTTTGCTGTAACTTTTCTCCTGACTCACACTGCCTTCTTCTCACATTAAATACCTCTTCAAAATAATGCTACTGATTTGTAGCTTTAATTAAGATTTTTGATCTTTACATAACATCAGAGGGTCAGGGAGCTCAATTACAAACAATGTAGGAACATATCAGTATATTTTCTTTAAAGATTTAAAGAATAAAAAAACAGTCCAGGCGCGGTGGCTCATGCCTGTAATCCGAGCACTTTGGGAGGCCAAGGCGGGCGGATCACGAGGTCAGGAGATTGAGACCATCCTGGCTAACACGGTGAAACCCCGTCTCTACTAAAAATACAAAAAAATTAGCCGGGTGTGGTGGCGGGCGCCTGTAGTCCCAGCTACTCGGGAGGCTGAGGCAGGAGAATGGCATGAACCCGGGAGGCGGAGCTTGCAGTGAGCCAAGATCACGGCAATTCACTCCAGCCTGGGCCACAGAGCGAGACTCCATCTCAAAAAAAAAAAAAAAAAAAAAATTGTGAGTCTCAACCTAGTAGAAGCTTCAGACCAAATGGTGTCAGAAAACAGACTGTAGACTATAGCAGACAACACAGGGTTATTTTGTTGGTGTTTACTTCTGAATTGCTACCTATTGTGGTCTCCCTCTTGAATCCTTTGCAAACAGCAGGATTTCTCTTCTCTCTGTAGTTTTAGATTTCACCAGAAATTCAGAAGCTGAGTCAGGACTACATGTGGCCCCATCTGCCAAGCAAGAAGGCTGAACTGTTTTGGAAATACAATGACGACAGGAGGAGTCAGAATTTCCCACAGCCTCTCCAGCAAACAGACAGACTACAATTGCTCCAACTAGATTTTACATTCCTCAAAGCCACAGGACAAGCAAGAACATTTATCTTGAAAAGCCTCATTAACAGAAACATCTTATGCAATTCTTTATCTCCTTTAGGGGGCTATTAAAGTGACTTACACCAACTGGGTATTCAACAGAGTTGCTGAATAAGTAAAACGCGGTGGAGATCAACACTAGCACACAGGATTCATCCATGGTGCACTTTTAAGGAGTCTGTTGACTGTATGGCCACATGAAAGGACAGGTAAGTTTCAAGATGTGGAAACTCTTCCCACAATCCTAACCATGCCAAGTTAGAAAACAAGGGAATGGGGCTGATTGCTGTAGGTAAAGTTATTCCCATATTCCCATTTTCTTCTTCTTGTTTTTCAAAATGTTGCCAGGCTGGACTCAAACTCATGGGCTCAAGTGATTTTCCTGCCTTAGCCTTCCAAGTAGCTGGGGCTACACGCACACACCACCATGCCCGGCTTCTCATCTTTGCATCTTGATAGAGGCCCTATAGTGCTCATCATATAAATAAGATATGATAAATAAGATAAATAAGACACAGAAGAGTTCACAAAAACCCCCATGTGATGACAGATAATCACTCTAACAGAGATAGGTGAGCCTAGACCCAGTCCAATATATGCCAGGTGGGGCTTCAGAGAGAGGAATCTTTTTATAGGCTTCAGAGAAAGGATAATTTCCTTAAATGTGGCTCAATCAGGCAGATGGGAGAGCATGCACTGAGCTATCAGTCACATGCTTATCTGGTCTACACTGGCCAGTGGCTTAGGAGGGCAGCAGACAAGGCTAGCGACCTACGCTGCAAAGGGCCTCTTACAAAGTACCAAACAGTTTGAAGTTTGTTTTGAGAAAACAGAAATTTGAAGTGGCTCAAGCAGAGAAGTTCCATAATCAGGTTTTTAGAAAAATAACTCTGCAGGCAGTATTAATAGCACCCCAACTAACCCCATTTGTCTATGTGCCAAGCAATGTACTAAGGGCTTGACCTGTCTTGTCTTCACAATAGCCCTGTTGGGTAGGCAATGTTGTCCTCTTTTATAGGTAAAGAAACAGGTGTTCACTGAGATTAACTGACTTGTCTGAAGTGTCATGGCTAGTAGTGGCAGAGCTGGGACTCAGACCAGGTTCTCATTCTGATGCCTGTGCACTTAAGCACTATGCTGTACTGCCTGCAGTATTTAGGAGGAATGAGAAAAAGAGGAGATCAGGAAATGAGGGAACAGTTTGCAAGCCACTGTACTAGTCTAGCCCAGAGACTAGGGACATCTGAACCAGGGCAAGGAGAGTTCACCAAGAGTACTAGCAAGGCATATTGACATGGCCAAGAGCTGCCGTTTAGCAAACTGATCCTGGGTGCATTGGAGGATATTTCAGAGCAACGGGTTTTCTTACTTTAAAATTTTTAGAAGAATGCTTCAACTGACAAGCCTTAACTTGGAAATAAAAGTCTATAATCAATTATTTTCTATGGCAAAAATAGGAACACTTAAGAAACCTCATGAACAAAAATGTGTTCAAAGCTTATTACTCACTACAAAATATTTTTGCATATTCCAAATCCAGGGTGCATAAGAGCACAATGAGATTCTACTTCACACCCACTAGGATGGCTATGACAATATTAAAAAAAAAACCTGGAAAATAATAAATGTTGATAAAGATGTGGAGAAATCAGAATCCTCGTACATTGCTGGTGGAAGTGTAAAATGGTAAACAGTGGAAAACAGTTTGGTGGGTCCTCAAAAAGTTAAATGTAGAATTACCATGTGACCCAGAAACTCCACTTCTAGGTATATATCCAAAGGAACTGAAAGCAGGAACTCAAACAGATGCTTACAGGCCAATTCACAATAACCTAAGGTGGAAACAATCAAAGTGTCTGTCAACAGATAAATGGATAAACAAAATACAGTCTATACATACAATTGAATTTTATTCAGCTATAAAAAAGGAATGAAGTTCTGATACATACTACAACATGGATAAACTCTGGAAACATTTTGTTAAGTGAAATAAGTCAGACACAGAAAGACAAATATTATATAATTTCAATTATATGAAATTTCTAGAATAGGCAAATCCATAGACACAGAAGGTAGATTTGAGATTACCAGGGGCTGGAGGCAGGGATGGAGAGTTATTGCTTAATGGTTGCAAAGTCTCTATTTGTGGTAATGGAGATGTTTTGGGAATAGTGGTGATGGTTGTAAAACATTGTGTAAGTACTTATTACCACTGAATTTTAACCATTAAAATTAAAACTTGTTAAAATGGCAAACTCAATGTTATATATATGTTACAATTTAAACTCCCTTGAAGCAAAATAAAAACACTAATATGCAAAGTTTTCTCAACTACTACAAGAGGGAATAAATGCAACCTTGTCTTGTCTTTAGGTCTATGTCAAATGCAAATATGCTTAGAACTAGATGCCTTTAAAATATATTATTCAAACCAATTCAATGGCTTTCTGCAGGCTAATATTTAAACTGTTTTACAGGGGATACAAGGCCTCTGCTGATCTGGTTCCTACTTACCTGTCCAAGCCCAGGTTCATCTCTCATACTACCTCTGCTATCTATAAATTCATGGCCCCACGATACAGAAGAGTCCCAGGATGTGCGAGGTTCTCTCCTCTCTCTCTCTGCTTGCCCACGCAGTTCTGTGTATTTAGAAAGGGCTCACATACCACCCCTACCCCAACTCTTATCATCTAGCCTAATGAATCCATGATCAAGCCTTCCCCACACTTCTGAAGCTCCTTTACCCATGGCCCATTACCTTGATTTATCCCTCTGCAATGGCAATCACAATATTCCAATTCCTCATTTGCATGTCTGTATTCTACTACACTGTTACTTTATTAAGAACAGGAAATATGCCATTCCATATTTCTCTACAAGGACTAGTATTCCATAAATGGTTTTTAAATAAATGAGCAAGAGACTAAGCCCAGCACTCAGCTGGGGAGTAAAGATTCTGATCACCTGTATTCTAAGATGAAGTCACTCACTGCTGCTGCCTCATTGTCCTTCAGTGGACACCAAGTTTAAGTATGAATACCAGGTGTCAAGTAATAAAACAAAAACAAAAAAACCATCAAAGTCAGAAAAGCCTCAAAGGATCACCCCCACAGTGAGACTATCCACACAAACTGGAACCTGAGGAAGTTCTGAGAAGGCAAGTGGGAAGGAGTTTATTGAAAATGTGCTCCATGTGAAACAGAATTGTTCAATTATAATAATGAACTGAAGTAGCACTGCAGTGAAGGAAGCAAAATCTTAAGGTGAAGAGTAAAAATGTTAGTAATCACCCAATACTACCAACCTCAAAAAATGAGTAATTTGATTATTCTTATCTAAATATGTCTGTTTCCAAGCAGGTCTTCCACATTTTATGGGACTAAATTAAACCTCTTTTAAAATTCATCCGTTTTTCTTTGTTCTGCTTCTACATCTGACAATTGGGTTACTCTGAAGTTCTACCTAACAGATGGAACTGATATAAATAGGGGATTTTCCAGTCATCGGAAATAAATGCTTCTAAATAATAATTCACAGAATAATACTCAGATTTATAAACTCCTGTGAGTTTGGTCACTATGAATTAGGGCCTCATCAGCATGACCTAGGTTATTTGATTATTACTCTTAGAGGTCTAAGAGTAAGCTCATTGTCTCCTACTGATCTTTCAAAAACCCCTCCTCTGCCAGCATTCCTTATTTCACACCATCTACCTTTGTTTGGGAACCAGAAACCTAGACATCATCCTAGAGGCTTCCTTCGCCTTTTTATTGTCCACATCCGATTCTCACCAAGCCCCTATAACCTTTCCCAAACCATACAGATTAGATTACTTCCATCCTCAATGTCGTTATCCTAGTCCAGGCCTTGGTTTTTCACCTGGATTCATACAACAACTCCAAATTGATCTCTGTGTCTTTAGTCTTGTCTCCTTTCAACCTACCTCTAGGCTCAGACTCATTGCAAAAGCAGCTCTAATTAGATAACTCCCTTGCATGAGGTCCTTCTAAATACCTTACACAATCAATGACATCTTCTAATATCTGTCCTCTGCCTCTCTCTCTGGTCTCCTTATGCACCCCTTTGAAATCTAAAATTCAGCTTCATTCCGTTTCTCCTCCAATTCACCAGGATCTTTCTTAGTTCCAGGCCTTTACTACAGAAAGAATGAATGAATAGTAAGTGAAATCCCTCCTCTCATGGCTCCCCAAATTGACCTTTTTGGCCTGGATAACCCATTCAGGACTCAGTCATCTTTGTAAGGTAATTTTCCCTAAAGAAGCAAGACCCCCAAGAAAAATTTAGGCACACCTCCTCAGTCTCCAGCACACTGCATGGTACAGGGCAGGTACTCAAAAATGCCTGCAGAATGACTGCTTACCATCACAGCAGGTAGGTAATGGACATGGTGGGATTTCATTTTACCAACAGTAGGTTCTGATCTAGATTATTTTTGCTTTCCTACTTCCATATCTGCATATTTCATCAAGGGGCCTTATCAGAAGCAACAGCTTCCTTTCTTATAAGGTAGGCAAAGAACTAGACAAATAAACAGCAGCTCAGTTTTTAAAATTTGTGAGATTGTTTTAAAAAAAAAATCGAAGGAAAAGAACATGCTGCAAATTTAGAGATCTGATTCTAGTGCTCCATCTGTCCCTGACTTGCTTTGCTGAAACTGACTTCTTGTGCCTTAACTTCGTCTGCAAAATAAGGATAGATTTCTACCTCATCAGGATGTTGCAAGAACAAATAAGACACAACATGAAGGTACCTCCACTCTGAATGGAATGGTCTACAAGAAATCCAGCAGATTCACCTTGCTCTTCTATGTCAATATAAAAATATTAATCAACTTACAAGTAACATCACAAACAAATGTATTATGTTTTGTGGGACTTATAAACAGGCCCTGGGCTTGAGACCCCATCGTCACCTGCTAAACACTCAAACCCCTGACATTCTGATTCTTCTGTTGGTTGCTTTGCTGCAGATAAGGAGGAACCCAATTATATTTTCTTTTTAAGCTTTGCTGGATGCCCAACACATCCATTTCCCCTCTCCCACTCTCTATGCAATGCAAATTCTTAAAACAAGGCTTGATTCTCCAAAGGAGAAAGTGTGATTATGGTAACACATTAAGAATTGCTGTGGAAAGTCACCTATTGTCTGATAAATTCATAATTATAGGTTGCATCTCTGTTCTCTTAGAGGCATCATAACAGTCTTAGTTTTTAATTCTGCTGGTGGAGAGGAAGACTCTAAATCATTTAGGAGGCCAGCTGTGTTGTACTTCAGCTGCAAAATACGAAAGTTCTCAAGTGTGCTTGGCATATATTCTGAGCTGAAGCATACGCTGCTTATGCAGGCAAAATGTCCTTGTACTGCAGATGCCTGGTAAAGTTACATGGGGATTTTATACATATGTAGTACATCAACACCAGCGCCCTCACTGATGAGTACACACTGCATCACTTTTTCCTTCTGCTTCACGTCTTGTAAGTGGGCACAAATTCAAGTTGGTACCATACTACCATGGAATTTTAAAATTAAAAGGAGCCTCAGCAATAATCCAAACGAATGCAAAGTTTTAGAGATAAAGAAAATGAAGCCCCTAAAACGTGAGAATTTTATGTGCTCACACTGTCAAATAAAGGTACTATTTGTGCCTTAGGTTTGACAGAGCCTGTCAGCAGAAAGGTACTTTCCTTACATCTTTTCAAACTAAGTTCCAAATGAAAGCATACAGATTAAAAATAAATGAATGATAGATGGAAGGAAGGAAGGACAGGAGCCAAAAGTTTACGATTAGAGGCAACAGAGTCTAACGTCTGACTGATTACTTCCTGGCACACAATGCACCTCCAAAAGCCAACTTTTCCACCTGAAATGGATTTCCCATCCCTTCCCGAAAGTCAACTGCAAGTAGGAACTGGACTGACACCTCTAAAATGATTTGGTTGAAGAATTTCAATGTGCTTGGCCTCTATTACTAAAAGAGGCAGAACTGAGGGTTTCAGCAATCTCAGTTTCTCACAGTGGCTTTTTCAAATTTACCTGATTCTCCTTTGCCTAATAATTCTTGCTTCTCAGTCCCTGCCCAGGCTTCCTCAGGAAGCTTTTCCCATTCATTATTCCCTCGCTTTTATATCTCTAATCTCTTTCTTTCTACTTGGTCCTGCTCCCCAGCCCAAAGGCTTAAATGCATATAAAGCACATATAAAACACATAAGCAGGATGGCTGTACACCATACCACACCTCTTTGTCCTCCCATCAAAAGCTGCTCACCTTTCTGTGTTTGCCTGCACCTTGGAGCTTCTGGAAATAAAGCCATCTATCCTCATATTACCTCTTCTTTGCTTCCACTAATTCCTTAACTCATTGCGTTCTGGTTTCTCCTGTCCTCATGCTAGCTTATTGCCTTGATTCTCCACCAAAGCAATTCAACTTCCAGATCCTGTCTTCTATACCACCTAAGTATTTTGTGAATGTGTCCCCTTGGCTTTATCTCTACCCCCAGTGTGTAAAGTTAGGGCTTGGTTTTTCTGGGATGTCTATCTTTGCCTTCCCCAGTTCCTTAGTTACACTGCTTCCAGGGGGTAGTTGTCTTAAAACACAAATTTGATGTCACTGCTTATTGACATATCACTATAGGTTAGCCTCATTCTATAAGATAAAGTCCAGTTTCTCCAACTACCCTTCCAGGGTCATCTTTCCTCCTCTTGCTACCTGTCTGGCCACCCTCAACTCTTGCTGAAACCCACTCTGTCCAGCTCTTCCATTTCTCACCATCTTCCCTTGTGCTTTTTTCTCTACCTGAAAAATGTTCTTGCCATTTTCTCTACCTGGTCTATTTCTACTCTCGTTTAAAGTCCAGTTCAAGACCAATAATGAGTAAATCAGTAATAAAAGACGAATCAATAATAATAAAAAAAAAAAACCTGCCAACGAGAAAAAGCCCTGGACCAGATGGATTTGCAGCCGAATTCTATCAGATTTACAAAGAATAGCTAGTACCAATCCTACTGAAACTATTCCAAAAAATCGAGGAAGAGGGACTCCTCTCTAACTCATTCTATAAAACTAGTGTCATTCTGATACCCAAATCTGGCAAAGAAACAATAACAAAACTATCCCTAATGAATGTAGTCCAATATCCCCAATGAATGTAGACACAAAAATCATTAACAAAATACTAGCAAACTGAATCCAGCAGCACACTGAAAATTCACCATGATCAAGTGAGCATTATATCTGTGACGCAAAGATGGTTCAACATACGCAATTTGATGTGATTCACCACATAAGTAGAATTAAAAACAAAAACCATATGATCATCTCAATAGATGAAGAAAAAACGTTCAATAAAATCCAACATCATGATAAAAACCCTCAACAAACTAGGCATCAAAGGAACATACCTCAAAATGATAAAAGCCATCTATGATGAACTCACAGCCATTATCATACCGAAGGGGCAAAAACTGAAAGCAACCCCACTGTGAACCGGAACAAGACAAGGATGTCCATTCCCACTGCTCTTATTCAACATAGTACTGGAAGTCCTAGCCAGAGCAATCAGTCAAGAGAAATAAATAAAAGGCATACGAATAGAAAAAGAGGAAGTCAAATTATCTCTCTTCACTGAGGACATGATTCTATACCTAGAAAATCCTAAAGATTCCGCCAAATGACTCCTAGACCTGATAACTTTAGCAAAGTCTCAGGATACAAAAATCAATGTACAAAAATCAGTAGTATTTCTACACACCAATAACGGTCAAGCTGAAAACCAAATAGATGATACAATCTCACTTACGATGGCCACAAAAACATAAAATACCTAGGAATACATCTTATCAAGGAGGTGAAAGATCTTTATAGGAGAACTACAAAACACAGCTGAAAGGGACCATAAGCAACACAAACAAATGGAGAGACATTCCATGCTCATGAATAGGAAGAATCAATATCATTAAAATGTCCATACTTCCAGAGCAATCTACAAATTAAGTGCTATTCCTATCAAATTACCAATATTATTTTTTACAGAATTAGAAAAAACTGTCCTAAAATTCATATGAAACCAAAAAAGCCCCAAATAGCCACGGCAAGCCTAAGCAAAAAGAAAAAAGCTGGAGACATCACATTATCTGACTTCAAACTATACTACAAGGCTACAGTAACCAAAATAGCATGGTACTGGTACAAAAATAGACACATACATGAATAGAACTGAATAGGGACTACTGAAATAAAGCCACACACTTTAAACCAACCAATCTTCAACAAAGTCAACAAAAATAAACAATGGGGAAAGGACACCCTATTTAATAAATGGTGCTGGGAAAACTGTCTAACCATATGCAGAAAAATGAAACTGGATTCCTACCTCTCACCATATATGAAAATTAACTCAAGATGGATTAAAGACTTAAATGTACGACCTCACACCATAAAAATCCTACAAGAAGATGTAGGAAATACTGTTCCAGACATTGGCCTAGGCAAAAAAGTTATGACTAAGTCCTCAAAAGCAAATGTAACAGAAACAAAAATTGACAATTGGGACCTAAGTAAGCTAAAGAGCTTCTGCCCAGCAAAAGAAACTATCAACAGAGTAAACAACGAACCTACAGAATAGGAGAAAATATATTTGCAAACTGTGCATCTGACAAAGGACTAATATCCAGAATCTATAAGGAGCTTAAAATCAAGAAGAAAAAAACATATAACCCATTAAAAAGTAAGCGAAGGACAGACATTTCTCAAAAGACATACAAATAGCCAAATATATGAAAAATGCTCATCATTACTAATTATTAGAGAAATGCAAATAAAAACCACAATGAGATACCATCTCACACCAGTCAGAATGGCTACTATTAAAAAGTCAAAAAATAACAGATACTGGCAAGGTTGTAGAGAAAAGAGAATGCTTATTGCTATTGGTAGCAATGCAAATTAGCTCAGCCCCTGTGGAAAGCAGCTTGGAGATTTCTTAAATAACTAAAAACAGAATTACCATTTGACCCAGCAATCCAATTGCTGGATATATATCCAAAGGAAATTAAATCGTTCTACCAAAAAGACACATGCACTCATTATGTTCACTGCAGCACTATTTACAAGAGCAAAGACATAAAATCAGCCTGGGCGCCCATCAATGGTGGATTAGATAAAGAAAATGTGGGATATATATACTATGGAATGCTACATAGCCATAAAAAAGAATGAAATCATGACCTTTATAGCAACATGGATGCAGCTGGAGGCCATTATCCTAAGTGAATTAACACAGAAACAGAAACCCAGATGTTCTCACTTACAAGTAGGAGCTAAAAATTGGCTACACGCAAAGATGGGAACAATGAACACTGGGGAATCCAAAAAGAGGGAGGGAGGGATGAAGGTGGGGAGAAGGGTTGAAAAACTACCTATTGGGCACTATGTTCACTATGTGGGTGATGGGGTCATTCGAGACCCAAATCTCAGCATCACACAATATACCCAAGTAACAAAGCTGCACATGTACCCTCAAATCTAAATTTTTTTAAAAAAAGGAAATAAATTATGTCTTGTAAAAAACTAAATAAAATTGAGTCTAGTTCAAATGTGAACTCCTCTCTGAAGCCTTTGCCCACTCAGTGGTCTCACGGTCTTTGCTTGCAGTGGTCTCACGGTCTTTCTCCTCTGTTCTCCTATAGCACTGGTACACTTCTCTATTACAGCCCTTACATACTGTACTGTAATTTTTTTTTTTTTAAAAAAGAGTATCTCTTTCACCAAATGGTAAGCTGCTGAGTATGTGGAACATATGGAATCTTTATTCACCTTTGTAATTCAGGTCCCTTACAGTCATGCAAATTATTAAATGAAAGAGAAAAGGGAAAATATGGAAATATCTGAAAAATTTTTACAGCTGTATACACACATGAATATCCATGCCTGTGCTGTCCTATAGAAATACACTGCTAGACACGTATGTAATTTTAACTTTTCTAGTAGCCACATTAATAAAAAGTAAAAAGGACTGGTAGTTCAATCATATTTACTCAACCCAATATATCTAAAATACCATCATTTCAAGTTATAATCAATAAAAAGTTGTCATTCTTGAGATACTTTGCATTCTTTTTTCATACTAAATCTCTGAAATCCACAACATGCCTCTTATACTTAACACATCTCAGTTTGGACTGGCCACACTCCAGGTGCTCAACAGCCACATATGGCCAGTGGCTACCATACTGGACAGAGTGTCTTATTAATCCAAATGCATTGACATATTTGAGGGGGTGCCTATATATAACCCAGAAGTTATCAGGCACAAAGATGATTGGCAGGTTATTGATAAACCACACAAAGTACTTATTAAGGCCGGCGCGGTGGCTCACGCCTGTAATCCCAGCACTTTGGGAGGCCTTAGGTGGGCGGATCACGAGGCCAGGAGATCAAGACCATCCTGGCTAACACGGTGAAACCCTGTCTCTACTAAAAATACAAAAAAATTAGCGGGTGCCTATAGTCCCAGCTACTTGGGAGGCTGAGGCGCGGGAATGGCGTGAACCCAGGAGGCGGAGCTTGCAGTGAGCTGAGATCACGCCACTGCACTCCAGCCTGGGCGACAGAGCGAGACTCCATCCAAAAAAAATAAAAATTACTTATTCAAACTTCAAGGTGCCTCTCAGACATGACACATCCTGTCACTGCTTCTGAGTCAAGATTCAAATATTGTCTGGCTTCACTCACACCCAAAATGTTGAGGAAGCTGTCTTTCTTGGTCTGGGAGCCAGAGTTGTTTTGTTATATATTTAGAACTATAAGCAAGATAACCATGGAGACCTCCATATCTTACATACTGTGGGTCAGCACAGTCTTTTTTTCTCTTTGGTCTCCAGAACTTTAGCTATACAGACCCAGCACACAACATAACTTTCTACCACTAGCTTACAATACCACTCTCCAAACCATTTAAAAATTTCAGCTCGAAGTCCTTATTTTCCAGGAAGTCTCTAGTTGTTTGCCTCTTTTTAATCACATTCTCTTTTCTAATATTTTTGTAATTTTTATCATGTAATACTTTAAGTCAATGAAATTTTTATAATTTTATAGTATGACTAATTAATTTCTGTTGTTTAACAAGGGGGTGAAGTAGAATCTGGGACTCCTGAAGGTACGAATATATAACAAGTAGAAACAGATTCATTAGGTAATTTGATATACATTTTAATGTTTTATTAGTATAGTAGCATTCATTCTAAATGTATCTCAGATGTTTAAATGACATTAATCCTGAGAAACCTCCTTGATGGCCTGCCATCGTACTTGGAATTCCCTCTCCTTACTTTGCAAAAATAGCCACTAAGAGCTTTTTCAAATATAAATATGACAATACTCTAAGTTATTAAGACTATTACCAATCATGGTAAAAAAGTTAATAGGATAATGAATCCCAAATACATGGGGAAAAAGACAGGTAAACTTTGATGGGAAAGGTGGCAAAGAATGACTCAGGGGCCCAGAAACAGCGCAGAGCTGAGCGGGGGGGAACAGGACCACAGGCCTGCTGCACAGCATGGGGGCACCAGGCACTGGGTAAGGACCTCAGTGCAGAGGCCCTTTAAACACATTTGACCCACTTTGCAATTTTGACCAGTCCTAGATCAGAAGTCAGTCTGCAGACCACATATCTCTTTTCATGAAGATGACAGCCCCTGCTGGCCACACTCCTGTCCCTAAATCAGAACAGTGATATCTCCTTGACCTGCTAAGAAAGCTCTGAGGAAGCACACAGGGAGCTCTCAGTGGCAATGACTGGACTGTCTTGTTTGCTCTCCCCACCTTTCGTCACATGACGCTTCCACTAGGAATTGGACTGTTTTCTCTTGCTTTGGTTTAAGAGTTCTTCACACCTTTTTGGAAGTCACACTTATTATAGCATATCTTTCTAATGTTCAGTCTTTGAGAAGCTTCTAAGATATGACAAACTCTTGCCCAAGACAAATCTTTTGAGGATCCAAGTCAGTGAGAAGACTTACTGGCCAATACAAATGTGTTTTTACTAGGTTTTCTAGGAAATGCAAGCTCCCTCCCTTTTCTCAAACGGCATAACAAGGCCTCTCCTAGAAGCATACATGCCAGAATTCAAGAGGTTGGAAGAACATCTCATTTTTATTTCTTCAAAAGAAGAGAGCCATTTTATCCATGAAATAATATCCTTGGAATTACATCATCCTAATTATCAGGATGGTACAGTTGTCTTTCAGACCCAGAGATGGGTAGACCATTTCTCATTCTCAAAGAGCACAGAAAGAGAAAGATGGAGTACATAGGCTAGTTTCTTGAACAGAATTTTTTTCTCATCGTCAACACTCAACCCCAGCTGCCTTCCCCCAGGAAGACTGGTTTTCCTCCTCCTTTGCATGACACAAATGCATACAAACTTGGTTTTCTCCATTTAACAAGCAAATCTGTTTGCAAACAGGAAGCTGTAGAAGTGGGAGGGTGTGAAACAGGCAAACCGGAGGACAGTTCTGAAAATGCAGCAGTGGAATGGGAGCTTGATTTAGCCACAGTACTCAGCTTCAGAGAGTTACAACCAAACCAGCCCATCTCCAATACTGGGCCTGGTCTCCATTGCTGCAGAAAGAGGCCTGAGTCCCATATTTCTGGGCCTGGTGACAAACCCTAGACCCAGAAGAGAAACCGTGGGGCTCTCCTCTCCTTTCTCCAGAGGGCAGGGAGACTTCTGCCAATGCACGTGGCCAGGGTGGCTTCAAAGTGATCCTACTGGTGACAACCAAATTATTTGATGGAAATCCACATATCACCACCTGCTCTCTCTCCAGAAGCCTTAAATAGAGCCAGGGTTTCCGCTGTCAGTTTGTCTCCCACTGAGAAGAGTGGCATCAAAGCCCAAATTCAGCTTGAGAACATACCTTTGGCACTTGGAAGAGGTCACTGGCAAGTCCGTGCCAAGAACAACCCATGGCCTTCCCAGCCTCAAGCCAAAGGGGTTACTAAATTGAAAAGCTGCATGGCTTCACCAGAAATTACTGAATCCACAAGCCCACAACTGTATCCGAGAAGAAAATAAGCCTACCTCATTTCAATGATAATATTTATAATCTCTTACTCGCCTAAGTAGTTATTCTCAGTAACTAAGAAACTATACACAAAGTAGCCTACTGAATGGCAGCAACAGGTGTGGCTGACACACTGGGAACCTAAGTTGGATATTACCTTCACAGTAATATGAGATTTCTTGACAGACAACTGTGACAAATTCTTTCTTGGGGGTTAACTTGGTCCTAAAAGGTCTTCATGGAGCTGATTATTACAACAGAAAACATCCAAAACACAGGAAAGATAGGCTAGACCCTTGCCAAGTGTCTGACAGTCTTATCCCTATTTTCTTGAGGCTTGCAGTTGAGGCATGGCCATCAGTGTGGTATGTGAAAAGCCATTACCGTGCAACCAGAGGGAGGAGACCAGCACAGGACCATGATTTTCATATGAAGACACAGCCTCTCAGAAAGCTCCAAACCTCAGATACCCTCATAAATTTTTGTGTGTGGGCAGTCAGGAAAATGAACTCCTAAGGGGAAGTGGAAGTGGTCGTAAGTTTGTGATTCAGATTTTGGCAGCTTTGTCAAATTAGTAAATAACTAGAAATAATAATCTTCAGCAGAGTCAGTGGGTTGACTGGGAAGATAGCACATGCCCAAGGAACAGGTGGCACAATTTCTTCACCGTGTGCATCCCATCTGAACCATCCTCATATCTCATTCTGTCTCACATCCATGTGGCCACAGAAATTCCTCCATGTAAATATGAAAAGAACGTATAGATTTGTTTGCTTCAATATTTGCAGTGACAGATGTCTGTCATCAGACTTCTTAAAGGCAGGCTGCACAGCTGCCTGTGTTACTTAATGCCCTAAAGACGTCAGTGATGGCTGAGGGTTGTGTAGAGACAAGGAAAATACATTATTTAAATTTAGTGTGAATACTCCTAACTTTTCTCAGGGGCTCAGCAAGACAACTTCAGCCCTAGGTAAGCAGACTTTCAAACAGCCAGAGCAAGACAAATCCAGGTAGGGGGCACTTAGAAGTAGGCACCAGCAAGAAGCCAGCTTCTCAGCCAAGGAGGGAGGGTGGCTGATAGGGTTGGTCTGTGTCCCCACCCAAATCTCACCTTGAATTGTAATAATACCCATGTGTCAAAAGCAGAGCCAGGTGGAGATAATGAATCATGGGGCAGTTTCCCCCATACTGTTCTCATGGCAGTGAATAAGCCTCACGAGATCTTATGGTTTTATAAATGTGAGTTCCCTTGCACAAGCTCTGTTGCCTGCCGCCATGTAAGATGTGCCTTTGCTTCTCCTTTGCCTTCTGCCATGATTGTGAGGCCTCCCCAGCCATGTGGAACTGTGAGTCCATTGAACCTCTTTCCTTTATAAATTACCCAATCTTGGGTATGTCTTTATTAGGAGCATGAGAACAGACTAATACAGCGTCCATGGTTCCTCTCGTGGCCTTCCACCCACTGCCATGCTGTGCGGGGCCCATGCCACTCATATCACTCTGAGACTGAAAGAATTTACAGTGGGGAATTAAATCCTCTGAAAGACATTTATGCCTCAATTCCAACTCTCCCCAACAATTAGATTAAAATAAGGCAATCAAGTACACACAGACTTCTCATTGCTTTCTGAGACATCGGCTTTCTTCACCTGACAAATTCTCTTCTCAAATCTATTACGGATGACTGGTCCTGAGTTTGAATAATGAGGATGGACCTTTAGTGACAAAAAGTTTGTCTAAACTTGTAACAAATCATTTTCAACATCTTGACACGTAGTGAATAATTGGTTTCCACTATGGAGGCTACCTGCCTGTTCATTCCAATTCAACTCAAATGATTCTAAATTAAGGAGCCTTGGGCCTGCCAAACCAAGTGTTCTCAAGAATCAAAGGCTCCTGTTCAGTTATTTAAAAATACATGAGGAGCAATAATGCCACTGAGGGTGATGAGCTAGCAGATCAGCCCCAAGGATTTGCTTAATCAGTGCTGTGGCATAGATTCCCCAGGCGGTGGCATTAGATGGGCCAGTTATACTGTTCTTCCCACTATCATTTATCACTGTGCACACAGCCCCAGACCATGTTTACACAGTGGGATATATGGTTTTTCTATGTTCAGAAAAAAAATAAGGGAATATAAATAGTTTCCTTCAAATTGACTTCTATGTTCTTTGGGGTTTATGCCTGCTTTGAGCTGCTCGAAGTGAGGGAAATAAATTCCAGGATCACTGGATCACAGGCCCTGGTGTTTTCAGGAGTTTCTCAGATTACAATCCTTCTTTAATCCAGGCCTAAAGGAGAAAGAGAACAGGAACTAGCATTTCCTGACTCCTTAGACAACCTTGTGCCTTTTTAGTCTACAAGACAAGTTCTTGATCCCCTCTAAGAGATAAGTTTTAATTCAGCTATTTTTCAGACATAGCTAGAACTCCAGAAGTGGGCAACTCCTAAGATTCTCTCTCTCGTACACCCACCTCTGGCCAAGATGAAACAGAAGGATCAGATTGACCCTCCCACTCCAAACAATAGGGAAAATTTTAAAACGACAAAATACTGGATATGGAACAATGGTTTTTCAAGACACTGGACACCAGAAACTGGAGAACAGTGGGCCCAACCACTGTCCCACTTCCTGTCTGTGAGAGCCAGGCTGTGGCACAGGGAGGAGAAACCCAGGTGGAGCCTGAGGTGAAGAGATAGAGCTGAGCACCTGGGGAGCCCAAGACAGCCAGAGTTCACGGGACAGAGTATCAGAGAGTAGAGAGCTGCAGAGAGAGCGGAATCTAGGTAGTGTCTCTGGGAACAAGAAGGCCTTTTTTCTTTTTTTTTTTTTTAGATTTTTTGAAACTCAAGTTTATTTGGATCAGTGATTTGTTTTTTACTTATTTATTTATTTATTATACGCAGCACACCAACATGGCACATGTATACATATGTAACTAACCTGCACATTGTACACATGCACGTTAAAACTTAAAGAAGGCCTATTTCTTATCTCCGAGTACATAGGTTGTAATTACCTAGGCCATTGGCCAAGCCAACTAGATAGTGAAAGTTTATAGAAATCCTCTGCCTGTCAGCACTCTCTGGCAGAAGGGCCACTGATTAGCAATCAAAAAGCAAACCCCTAATGCATTATGAGAAAGCGGTATTTAGGATTTGGAGGGTTTTTTTCCTCATCTGAATACACATACACAGAGAGTGAATTTCATGTTACTTCCCCTCTGACAGATTTGTGAGGAGCAGTTTTCTAGTCATAGATCACTCTAAGTAGATGACTATAAATATTAAAGATCCATTTGTTTTTCTATTCTATAGGAGAAGCAACTGAAGTTGAGACCCAAAATACTAAAATTTTATGTCCTCTGCTGCCTACTAGGATTGCCAGATAAAATACAGGATGGCATGCAATATTTGGGACATATTTATACTTTAAAAATATTTGTGTATCTGAATCAAAATCACAATGAGATACCATATCACACTAGTCAGAATTGCTATTATTAAAAAGTCAAAAAAACCGATGCTAGTGAGGCTGAGGAGAAAAGGGAATGCTTATACACCATTAGTGAGAAAGTAACTTAGTTCAGCCACTGTGGAAAGCAGTTTAAAGATTTCTCAAAGAACTTAAAACAGAACTACCATTTGACCCAGCAATCTCATTACTGGGTATATATCCAAAAGAAAATTGTTCTAATAAAAAGACACAATCATTGATATTTATCACAGCACTATTCACAATAGCAAGGACATGGAATCAACCTAGGTGCCCATCAGTAGTGGACTGGATAAAGATGATGTGGAACACACATATCATGGACTACTACACAACCATGATAAAGAACAAAACCGTGTCCTTTACCACAACATGGATGCCATCTGGAGGCCATTATCCTAAGCAAATTAACACAGAAACAGAAAACTGAATACATGTTCTCACTTATAAGTGTCAGCTAAGCATTAGGTACTCATGGACATAAAGATGCCCACAGTAGCAACTGGGGACTGCAAAGGGGGTGCGGGAAGAGCTTAAAATCTATTGGGTACTATGCTCATTACCTGAATGATGGGATCATTCATGCCCCAACCTCAGCATCATGCAATATACCAGGTAACAAACCAGCATACATACCCCCAGAATCTAAAAATGAAAACTGGAAAAAAAAAAAATTCAAGTTTAACTGGGATATCATTTTTTTTTCCTTTTCCAAATAAGGCAACCCTATCCTCAAGCAATGCTGTACAAAGGAACACTATCAGTTTTAACTCTTTTGAATGAGAGTAGAGGGGAAACAAGTAATATATACATGCCACAGG
Organism: Homo sapiens; assembly: GCF_000001405.40. Taxonomy (NCBI): domain Eukaryota; kingdom Metazoa; phylum Chordata; class Mammalia; order Primates; family Hominidae; genus Homo; species Homo sapiens. Next base: position 33,407,864 of record NC_000015.10, on the reverse strand, counting down.
AAATGCTCACATGTTAACTAACCTTAATAACCTATGGTTAGCCAGGAATCCACTGTCCATGCCGGGAATAAATGCCTTTCTCCAGATTTTATGCTCCTGTTTTCTAGAGATGCCTCTATTTTCTCTTTACTCACTTTCTTCCACTACCATAGGTCAAGGTTTCTACTGCAGTACTTTGAAGCTATGTGAATCGCAATTAACTCCATCCAATGACACAAAATCAAAGCTATCAAACTCTCAGGTTTTGGTATCTGGATGAAATGGCATGTCACCCCTGCAGTCCCCTTCCATCTCCCTTAGAGTACAAGTCAACATCCTCACAGTGACTTCCAAGGCCCCAGGTGATCTGGCAGCTCCCATGGCCTCATCTGCTGTTCTGTCACACCAAGCATGACCCACCACAGGAACATGGACTTCCTGTTCCTGCTGCCTGCAACTCTGTCCACAGATCTATGGTTCACTCTCGTCTCCATCAGGTCTCTTCCAGTAAGGCTACTCTGCTCCCCATTTATACCCTATCCTTCTTACCCTGTTTTACTTCTCTTCTGTCACATTATGTATTTACTTCGTCACCCTCTACTATAGTTGGAACAATTATGTCCTCTCCAAATTCATGTTGACACTTGATCCCCACAGTGGTGGTATTAAGAGGTGGGGCCTTTAAGATAGTGATTAAGCCATGAGGGCAAAGCCCTCATGAATGGATTAGTGCTTTATAAAAGGGCTGAGGGAAACTAGCTTAGACCCCTCTTGACCTTCTGTCCCTTCCACCACGTGTAGACACAGTGTTCCTCCCCTTCAGAGAATCCAACAACAAGCTGTCATCTTGGAAGCAGAGAGCAATCTTCACCAGATACCATTCCTGCCAATGCCTTGATTCTGGACTTGCCAGCCTCCAAAACCATAAGAGATAAATTTCTATTGTTTATAAATTGCATAGTTTGTGGTATTTTGTTATAGAAGCACAAATTCAATAAGATATCCCCTTTCTTGTATATATCTGAATAAACACTCAATTCAGGTAGGAACTTTGCTTTATCCTCAGAATCTAGACTAGGATCTGGCATGTATTTAGAATTCAACAAACTTTTGTTAAAAAAAACAATGAAATGGCCTGGGATAGTTATTTCCTCTTCGACTAACAAGCCCTTGTCTGACGGTTAACTTTCAGCTATGTTCAAACTGATCATACAGAACACAAGGCTTCAGCCTGTATCCCAAAACCAACTAAGTGGCTTCCTCTGCTGTACTATTTGAGGATTTGTAGGGCAGGCAACCTGACCCCAAATAGAGACCACTGTTTCATGGCAATTCTTTATTCCTCAGCTCTTGAAAGGTTATCTTTGAAATATTCTCCAGAGTAAATGTTCTTGAGAGGCAACTAAATATCATGGGTCAATACTTTCACTGTCATGCTGACGGGGATAGATCACAGACATTTTATGGAAGTGGAGTGAGGCCAGAGGTATGGAAGAGACAGCTGAAAGATTCCTGAGAGGGGAAATGAAAACTGTGAGGGTCAAACATTTGGTCCAAGGGAGCTAGCCATCTGTTATCAATAGATCCACTCCTTGGGACTTCTTCTCCCCTAATCACCTGTCTAATCAGAGAAGGTGGTAAAAAAAGAAGGCATTTCCTTGGCATCCAATGGGATTCCTATTTCCATGTACCCATGACAAAGCACAGAAGGTATTCTATGGAACTACTGTGATATCCCTTCCCTCCCACCTCCCTACTGCCATTAGACACTCTTTCCAGCCATAGCAGTTAGCAGGTAACTCAGACTGGATCTCCAGAATAACATGTCCTCCTGGGTACACTGCTTGGTTCAAGGGTAGGCGCATAAACTAAGCAGAGCCACTGAGAGTCCTTTTCAGGAATCAATATGGATTATAGAGAAGGGAGTGACACATTCTTTTCTCCATGATATACACCTGTGAGGATGCTATGGGCCTACAGCCACTGTGGGCCTCTTTGCCCCACCCCCAGAGAGAAGCTGCCTAAGAATGAAGCAGAGGACGGCAGAGCCAAGCAAGGGAAGCAGAGCAGAGTCCTAATGACATTGTCTAAATCGTTAGATTAACTGGGTCTGAAGCCAGAACCACCAGCTGGACTACCCAGTTCGATTAACAAGTAAGTTTCCCTCTTTGCAACCTCATTTGAGTTGGGTTTCTGACACTTGCAACTGAATAAGCCTTGGTTAATATACATCATTACTATCAACGTGCCTTACTTGCTTGTAAGTATCAGTGAAGCATCAGCTAGTCAAGTGACTAAACTATGATGCTTTATATTTTTAAAAAAGTATTTATTGAACACGATACTACATGTGGGTTAAAAAAATACATCAGCATGCCAAGGAGGTTTCATGGGTCTCCAGAATTCTTCAACTCTTTCTTTCTACTATCAAAGCAAGACAAAACCTCCCATAGTCCCAGGTGCTAGCAGCCTAGAATCTTGGCCATATACTCAGTGAAAAGGCACAGGGAAAATCCCTAGAGAGGGGACACAGGACAGTTTATAAGGTCACATCTCACCCCAGTTAAACTCCAAGACACATTCTTAATGAAGTGAATCAGGAGTGGTTTATAACCTCAGTCTCCAATGCCAGAACCATGGCCTCAAGGAATGAAAACCACTCATGGTTGCTGGATCAGATCACTAAGCCAACTTCTGCATTAAAAATACTCCTGCAAGAAAACCAAAGTTTTATATGTTTGACAAAAATTACCATCACCTTTGATTCAAATAATACTTTACGTATTTCTAATGTTTCCATAAACATTATCTCATGGGGGATTTCACAGCACCTGGGAGGTAAGTATTAGTTCAATTTACCAAATGAGACAATCATGGCTTTCCAAGGTTACCAGTTTCCCGAGGTCACACAGCTAGTTGGTGGCAAAGCCAGGACTTAACCTCAGGTCATCTGACTGGAGGATACATGCTCTTTTCATTATATTTCCAAGTTTCTCCAGCAGACAGCCCCTAAAATACTTGACATCTGATACCAAAAAGACAAATTTTTAAAATAAAAGTTATGTATACAAATGAAAGGAATATATTCTGTCTGGAAAGAAAAATTATCTTATAGTCTTCAAAAACAAGTTAAATCATTTCAGTCCAGTTTATACTTTTATTATGAACTTTATCCATTCTCATTTGTATTAAGACTTTGTTGTAGTGGTTAATGCTTCTCAGCTTCTCGACTTGTATACTTTGAAAAGTGACTGAAGCCTAGTGTTTTCAACAGTTACAAGTAAAAAAAAAAAAAACACACAGTAGTAAATAGTAATTCCTCATTTAAAATGATAAACAGGTCCCTAATTTTATTGATATGCTAGTTGGATTAGCTATTTCAATGATAGTAGTTCTGCCATAAACAACCAGTTGGCTAAAGAGAACCGTATAGAAGAACCTGAGCTTTGAGAGCAGACAAGCTTGGTCTCACGGTCACAGCCACCCCAGTCTGTGTGACGTTGGCCAAGTTACTTAACAGCTCTGAAGCCCATTTTTTAGTTGGTAAGAAGGGATGAATGTTTATCGTTTAGAATCATTGTAAAGATTAAACGAGCACATGAACACATACACGTTCAATAAAAGTGAATTTTTTCTCCCTCTAAACATCACCAAGATGTTTCATCATTTATAGTCATCAAGGTAAGCTAAAAAGCAACAGCACAAGCAATATTTTGATTTTACATCCTGTCATCATTTCTACTAATAAAAGGCACCACTCCAGATGTAAGCTAACTGTTATTTTACGACCAAATTCATCCCTCAAATGGAGAGGCAAAAACACTTCTGAAAGAACAGTAACATGTGGCTTGCTATTATAAGCAAGATGTACCCATACAAAACAACTGTTTATCTTTCAATTGACAAGATATTCCATATGCTTTTTGGCTATTGCATTTTTTTTTTACCACTCCTCTAAAATTATGGCTAACAATCTCTCTTTTGGCTTCCATTTGAAAGCCATCCAAGATTTAGTTAAAGGATAAACTCAGCCAAACCCAACTAAGAGGAAAGATATTTCAAAGGCACTGGAGGAACCAATGTATGTGATTATGCACAGAGTCTACTTATTAACCATTTAAGATCAGTGTTTTTAGAAATACTTGAATTATTAGCTATGAAGCAAATGGGAGACAAAATTATGACTATTTCACTGAAAAAATCTGATTCATTTTATGTTTTCTAAAATTACATTAATTTAGATTAATGAATCATACATGTTTACTGAAAAGTTGTCAATTATTATTCTGTAGTGAAATTTATAATTTGAAAATAATTTTTAGATTCTGATATATTTACCTATTAAGGATATTTATATTTAGTCTGTATTGGGCATACACATTACTGGAAAAATGTACTATTGACACTTCAAAAGTATTTCAATTCATCTCCGATTACTCAAAACATCAGACATCCACCCCCACACACAAAGTCAGCACTTCTCTGTATACTGTGAAGTTAGTTTCATAGCTTTAAACATGTATCTTATCATTTGGAGTCTAGATTTGCTCCGCTTCACAAAGCCCAATTATTTTGTTAATTTCACTAAAGGTATTGGCCCAGAGTTTAAAAAGAATAAGAGTATCATTGCACATTGCCTTAATTTTCTACCTATACATGGTTGAAAAGAAAATAATTAAAACATGCAAAAGAGATCTTTCATCAGTTACTGAGTTTCATACCTCTTTATAGAGTCCTGGTTCAGAAACGAAGTCTTTAAGATTCCTCATGTCCAATAGCAGCTCTCTTGACCATTCATTTCTCTACTGCCTCATATTAAAGATACAAACTAAAATAAAATATCAAAGTAAAGTCCATTAAATGCTCACTTAAATAACTATGTCTCTAGCCATTTGATGCTGGACTTGGTTGCTCATAGCAGGGTTGTGGCTGACGCAGTGAGGCAGGCACTGCCCATCCACATCCAGCTGTGGTCAGATTCCCAACAGCCTGCCTCCCTGCAGCTGACACCATGGTCAACCTAATTAGTCCTGGCCCCATAAGGCATTTGATTTCATAACAACAAATAGCACCAAGTCCTGCTAAGACTTGACAAAACACAAATTTGATATCCCAGCAGAGTCTTCTGAGTCCTTGAGTCATTGTCGTCCTGGGGCCCCTCTGCCTAGGGCAGTTCTCACTGACATGCTCTTAGTCTGTGCAGGATTTATGCTGAATGGATCATCTTCAAAGCTGGTGCTTAAATGTAGCCAAGCTGTTTAATATGTGAAGTTCAGCCTAGTATTAACAAAAACAGCCTGTCTACATTTTCATCATAAATCAGCTCTAAATAGTGCTCTAGATTAAACTGATGAATAAAGAATATTTATCCAAGGCAGACTGTGAATTTACATGAGAAGTGTGACAGAAACAACAAGCACCTGATTCATGCTTTTCCCATATTTGATACAACTGGTTTATGAAAGCCTCCTGTGTGCCTCAAGTATTTGGGGAGAGAATCAAATTGGGAGACTCAAATTCCATTGCCATTTACTAACCATGCCGCTTCAGCTGTGTTATTCATGGCTCTTCTTCATCTGTAACCTGTAAATTGTTAGTCTCCCAATTCTATCAGGAACACTCTTGTAAATGAATCAACCACAGATGCAGGTATGAATTTATTAGTGTCTTATAATTTCTTTCCTACCGGATAGTCTTGTACAAAAATTGTACAAAATATCTATGATCAATTTAAATGTTGAAATGCAACATTTAAATTAAAATTTCTATTTCCTTTCCCCCAAATCAACCTGTAGATGCTTTTAACCATTCTTGCAGAAGATTTTAGCTGTTTGGCTTCTCCATCTATTATTTTATAATAATCATGGGAAGAACCTCATCTTTCTCAGTCTACTACTTTGTGGTCCTTGGCCTTGTATATTATCTTTACAAAAAGCCATTGTTGAAATTAATATGTACTCAAATTTGGAAAACACAAAAGATTTGGAAAACACAAAATCACTCATTGCCCCCACCCAGAGATAATCACTGTTAACATTTTGGTAGACATTCTTTAAATTACTTATATAGGTACAGATTTGAGAAAAAGAGAGATTGTATTTATTCTAAGATGCTGTCAAATATAGGATTTGTCATCCATATAACAACATTTGTAGGGGTTGAGCACTCACATTTTGAGATGTATCCTTATTTCAAAACTGTTAAATGGTGGTCCACGTCTTAAAGGTGACATATCCTTTTTCCATATGACATCACACTGTCATGTTCACATACTGTTTTGTAATCTGTTTCCTCAAGCAAAATTTTACAAATGTTTTTCCATGTAAAAAATTATTCTACAGGCCAGAAATTCTCGAATTTCTACAGCAACATCTTAATGGCTATACAGTTTTCAGCTGGCAGTGATAGGCGCTGAATAGTGCTGAATGCTGAATGTAAGATTTGGAAGACTTGTCAGAGGATTTTACCAGGTGACTTAAATTCATGCACTATACAGTGTACTTGTGAAATCAGACGCCTGAGACAACAAGGTTACCACCCAGCCTGACCAGGGCTATTGCAAGGATAAAATTAATAATTTTTTAAATGAGCTGTGAGAAGTTAAAAGTGCTCTATGAGTGTAAACAGTGCTTCTATCATCAGGAGATGATACATTCAAGGATGTCTTAGCTCACTTGCCCTTCAGGATGATTGCCCCAACAAAGCAGTACTGTTTTTAAGACCTCATAATAGCCGAGCAGAAGAGACCGCTAAATAACACTCTCAAGGGGGACACTTCCCATGCTGCAGCTAAAGAAGGGCATTCGCTCATATTTGGCCCTGGGCTGCTAATGCCTTTCACATGTTCCAGTAACCAGAAAATATATGTTACAGAACCAACAGTTATTTCAGGGTGACCAGACCATAGTGGGTGGTTAAGGCAAGCTGTTGTATTGCAAATTTACCCGTCCATGCTGTCTTGACTTTAGGTCAGTATGATTGACCCAAACTGTGGCTCAAAGAGCAGAGGTAAGAAAAGGGTACTGCAATACTTATAAAAGAAGGTTCAGAGTGTTTTTCTTGTTCAAGTCATAGTTTTAATGTGTTGGATTATGCGTTGGTGGAAGAAAGGGAAAGCATGATAATATCATTAATAATACCACTCCCCACTGGAAGCCAACTCAGGCATCTTGCTACAGAAGCCAGTTTTAAGACTCTATAAAAAGCAAGCACCCCTACTCTACTACCTTACAAAATTGCCGTGTTGCTTTATCTTGTTCCATACAACTCACCACGAAGGAAGAAAGTCTCCATGAAGGAAGAAAGTCTCCACGAAGAAATTTCAAATCAGTGATAGAACTCAGCCCTCTGCAGCTTTCACAGACCTCTAAATAGGGAAATCACACAGGAGCTCACCTGCTTTTCCCCCAGCACGTGAATGCAAAAAGACTCAGGTGTCATCAATTAGCTTCATCAGTAGGAACGGGCTTTAAAGGAAAAGTTACAAAACAGCAGCCTATAGTGTGTGTGTGGCGGGGGGAAGGAGTCCATCTCTTTTCGTTGGTGGTAGGTAGGGTTGATCATTCCATTTATTTTCCAAATCGGGACACTTTCAACAGTGAAAAGGTGTGCTATCAGTAATTATGCCAAAACGGTAGTATAAACCGGGATGGTCCCAGTTTACATATGGTGACCATAGTGTTAGGATATGAATTAACGTGCTTGACTCTGACAAATATAAGGCTGAGTGAAAGAAGCCAGACACAAAAGGATATATACATGATTTTACTTAAATAAATTTCAATACATGCAAAATTTATCCATGAGATAAGAAGTCAGCTTAGTGTTTTCCTTGCGAGAAAGGAGTCAGAAGAAGAGGGGAGGGGCATGAGAAGGGCTTGGTGATTTCAGTAACATTCCATTTCTTGAGCTGAGTGGAGTCTGGACTGTGTAGTAATTCATTGAGGTGCTCTGTTGTGGTATGTGCACTTCTATGTCTGTCCTACCTAGATTTTAGAAGTTATTAAAAAGGAAGACTTAGGATTTGATTGTATGTATATACATATACATATATGTATACACACATATTTCCATACATTTATTTATAGCTACAGCTATAACTATAGATATAGATCTATCTTTCTTTCAGGCTTATTTTAGTATTAGCTACCATGTCATTGTTCTTGCCTGGGGGTGTTGAGGAGGTACAGGTAAAGCAGCTGTCGCCCATGAACAATTTCAGCAATTTCAGGGTTCCTTTTTTATTTTTGAAACGGAGTCTTACTCTGTCGCCCAGGCTGGAGTGCAGTGGCGCTATCTCGGCTCACTGCTACCTCCGCTTCTCGGGTTCAAGTGATTCTCCTGCCTCAGCCTCGCGAGTAGCTGGGAATACAGGCGCCGGCCACCACACCCAGCTATTTTTTGTATCTTAATAGAGACAGGTTTTCACCACATTGGCCAGGCTGGTCTCGAACTCCTGACCTCGAGATCCTCCCACCTCAGCCTCCCAAAGTTCTGGGATTGTACAGGCACGAGCCACTGCGCCTGGCCTCAGGGTTCACTTTTTTAATTTAGGAGAAGAGAGCTTGGTTCTGGCTCAGCGAGTCTATTGAAATGTAACAATGCAGAACTTAATAGCGCTATAAATGCTGTCCTTTAAATTGGCTAGCAAGCAAATACAAATGATGTCATATGAGTCTTACAATGGTTTAGCTCCATTTCAAAAATGAAGAGGCAGAGACTTAAAAAAAAGGGTCACTTGTCAAAGGTAATGCCAGGATTTGGCCCTAGGTGTGATGGATTCTTAAGCCTGTGCTCTTTACCATGGTGTCTCTGCTATTAGGAGTCTTGGTCCTCTATTTAAATCCTGGCCCTTGTATAAATCCAGGATTCTGGATTAACATCTAATGGTACAGTTTGAGGAAACAAAACATTCAACCTAGAGAACCAGGCAATGCCCCCACAATCTGAGAGGCTCATTCTCGGCACGCCCTGTGAGATGACACCTGGCAGGTGCACCCCGCACCCAGGTACCCAGGCTGTCAGAGACATGCTCAGCTCGCCATGTGAACGAGTCCCTCCAGGCCAGAGCCTCGCTCTCCTCAGAGCCAGGAACGCAGCTCGGCTCTGCACTGTGGGTCTGCAACACCCATCACCCCCCAACCTCCTGGTCCCTTCCCACCTCCGCTGCTTTGCTGTGTGCCTAACCACATGACACCACTCACAAGAGGAGACCAAAGCTCCACCCTCCACCCACCTGGGAGAGAAGAGAGTGGGAAAAATTCCTCTCCAAAACAAAACTCCCTGAAATCCCATGCGTGGAGAAATTTCTTGTTTTACACACAGTAAAATAAGTATAGATACACTGACTAATTGAAGACATTCTGTCAGACTAGCACATTTTAATACTGCCAAAATTCACTGTGACCTAATCATTTAACCCATCTGTCTCAGACCTCCTATTTCTGACTGTGAAGTTGCCGAACACCATTCACTTTCCCCACTCAGAATTCACTGTTTATGTTCTTTAGAGTAAAGATGCGACAAAGTCAGGAGTTCCTCGCACTGCTTACTGCACTAAGAATGGTGCGCCTGATACCCACAGCATTGTGGATGGATGGCCACCCTGACGGTTTCTAATAAAAACTTAGCAACTTTGCTTTGACCATTGACCTTACACGATCTTTGCAACTCTGAAAAAATCCTTGGAAAAAGGTAGTTCATTTCTGTCAATGTTGTGTGTTCACCATCCATTTTATTTAAAGCTACTTTAAATTTATATCAGATCATTCTTCAAAGAAGCCCCAAGTTGAGTATTTTATCTCGCTGGGACTGTAGAAAATAATTGAAATATATTATTACATAGATTTTATATTTGGCATACCAGGCTTGTGATATTTGTAAACTAAAAATAAAATCCTAAGCTCCAAACAACTGATGGGCCACAGACCCCCTTGTGGACAAAGGGAGCCCAGAAAAAAACTGAATTTCTGGCCATGATGGGATGGGAGATCAAATAGGCCTCATTACACCCCCCTCTTCTGTGGTTTAGACACAACAACTGGCCAGAATTAATATTAAAATAGAGATCGTAAGACTGACAGAATAGCCTCTCAGTGGCAATAAGATACCAAATTATAAACAAGACCTAAGGCCAGGCAAGGGTTAAGTCACACACCCCACACCTAAAGAATAAACTATGATTCTCACTGCCAAAAGGTTTTTCTTTTTCTCTGGCAGCAAAACAAGAACTGTTCTCCAGATAAGCAATATTAGAACAATTACAGCTCATCCAGCTCACAGATGCTGCCTAAATCACAGACGATGCCCCTGTTCCACCAGCCATGACTACGGCTCTGATTGGACAAGAGACTGCTTTCAGTAACTTTCTCCTGAAAAGAGACCACTGACCATGCACTGGTCTATGCCAGTTTACACAGATTTTGTACCTGTGTGTCTTTGTGTCCTGAAAAGACCTTTTGATGCATAGGGCCTAGTTGTAAGACATTGAAATGTTAAGGCTCCACTCCAAAGTGAACGTGGGTCATATGTTAACATGCATGTTTGTTTAATATGCTTGTGTCCGTATCACCTTTATGAATATTCATAGCTCCTTTTGTAACCTGCTGAATATGTACATTTAGCCAACCTGTTCAGCATAAAGTCCTATCCCTACCCCTCCTCCTTCAAAGTTCCTGTCTCTGGTCTTGGCTGGAGGTATGTTTTCCCAGCCTGGGGGATGGGCACCTTACAGGTTGTAACCCTTTATAAGAAATAAATTTTCTTTCTTCTCCTTTTCTAAATTTATACATTGTAATTTTTTCAGTTAACAATATATAACAAAAATCAAATGTATTGTTGCCTTCTCTGGCATATAGAAGCTCCAATTTTTCTGCAGATGTTATTTTTTGCCTTTATTACAGAAGTATTAATAAAATATGACTGGCTTTGTTTCATTACCAGAAAAATAAAGAGGTTGGCTTGTGTTATTTGGTCATGTAAGCATTACTCTTCTGGGTTTCAGTCTATAAAGGGGGGTTGAAGGAGAAAAGGCCCTCTCTAAATCTCCTTTCCTGTAGCCCAGGATATCTATGAGTGAGAGGTAAAAATCTCCCTAGACCTGGGTCACTTGTTATCTCACTGACGGTAACCACCAACTGGCTGGAGCTGAGTGGCAGGTATCCTCTGCAGATGGGTCACCAGCCCTCCAGTTTGTCACAGTCTTCAGCACTCCCACTATCTCTGAGGCCAGCCTGTTTCACTCATGCATTAGATTTGTACACAGGCAGCTGCAGTTTTTGCCACTGAAAGCAATGGCAAAACCCCAGTTACCTTTGCACCAACCTAGTATCTGTCTGACCAAGGGATCCCCGGGGCTTGAGATCTCTCATCTAAAGACAGAAAAGTTGAGAAGATTAGAAGTTGGAGAACTTGGGATAAGTCTCATTACTTCACTCAAGAGCAGAGGAAGTGTCCCTCGGGTGGGCAGGCAGAGGCCAGAAGATCATTCAGGTGACAACCACAATTGTCACTGTTGGGCACAGGTGGGAGATGACATGCAGGGTGTCAACCACAAAACACTGACGGGTTTGGAAGGTGCTTCACTTCACTCACACAGACGGGATATATTCTGTGGCTCTTAATGTAAATTCGGCAGTTGTCAAGAAGGCCTGTGCAGGGCTCTCTCTCAGTGAAGTATACTATTCTGGGCCAGAATAGGTCCAGCTTTCATAATCACTCAAGTGGGCCGGCCCCTGAATGTAAGATCCTTCAGACAACACCTGCTTCTCTTCAGCCACTATGGAAAAGTCACCGGCATGAATCCGAAGTGTCTGTGTCCCTGAATGACAGCACAGGTGGATGAAGACTCACCCACTCACTCGGGCCAGATATCCAAAGTGGGCAGGCACAGCAGGACAGATAAAAACAGTCGGCCCTCTGTATGCGTGGGTTTCCATCTGCAGTTGGTTGAATCTGCAGAGGCAGAACGCATGGATACTGAGGGTCAACTATGCTATGCCATTTTATGTAAAGGACTTGAGCATCCATGGATCTTGGAATCTGTGGGAGGTCCTGGAACCAATGCTCCGCAACTACAGAGGGCTAAGTGAAGTCACTTTCAAGGCAAGCAGTCCCTAAGATAAATCACTCAGCTAATCAGAGAGGATTTAACAGGGAGAAGCCCCAGAGTGAACCACGTCCATGTTCATCATTGCACAGAGCACCCAGATATGATTTCTAGAATGGCTGACAAACACGGGGCTCCAGGCACAGTGGAAGGACTTACTTAGCAGAGTGCCTGCCTGTGTCACGGGAAGGCTGTCAGTCACTGGGTCTGGCCCAGATTCATTACCAGCTCAAATTTTAGGCTCTGTCTCTCTGGATTGCCTGTCAGTCATCCTAGAGCCCGGGCTGACATTTCAGAAATGCCCAGTGTTGAAGTACGTATGTGCCTTGCGTTATGTAGCAGATGATAAAAATAAAAGACCCCTAAGTGGTTCCATTTTAAGTTTCGGTTTTTAAGAAACTATCACAAACATAGCAGTGCTCCAGGGACTGTGGGTTAGAAAGAATAAAACATAAAGCATCATCTCTGCATTAGAAATGTCTTCCCATAATCAGGCTACTGCTGAAGGAAAAGGCTCCAGCTACGTCCCCATGTTTGTGACTGATATGAAAAGTCACACCTTGATGTGTACACAGCTATAAGCACGGGCACTAGTTTTCCACAATCAAATTTTAAAATCACACACCATCTTTGTGTAACTGAGCACATTTTCTTGATTTTCCTCTAAAGTTCACAGTCCTTGGAATAACACACGGTATTGTCTAGCCCAGAGGTTCTCAAACTTCAATGAGCTTATAAAACCTCAATGCCAAGATTGCACCCCATACCATACCAATTAAGTCAGACCCTCTAAGATTGGGACCCGGGTATCAGTATGTGTTTTTTTTTGCATCAGCATTTTTTAAAACTCCTCATGTCTGGCATTATACTGTATGTCCATCTGGCTCTCCTTACCTTTCACATTCCAAATTTATTTCCATTCATCTCTCAGAACTGGCTTTCAAAATCAATTTCTCTCCCTCTTGTGATTGTCCTAACTGGTTGCTACATTATTTAGAAATTAGCTTGACTTGTGAAAAACAGAATCAGCACATGTTTGGTTGGTAAAAGCCCCAGAGATTAAGAGATGAGCTCTTCTATACAGCATCATTTCAGAATCAAATTAGTTTGTGGCTTCAGCCAAGAATCTCATAGAATGGAGGAAAGAATTCTTCCCCTGAAATTACAGTTCTTTTCACAGGATAACACTTCAAAGAGATACCATGGAGAAAATCAGCTCAGCAGCCAAAGTGACAACTTGTGACTCAACCTGATGGAAAACAGGGTGTTCCATACCCCTTGCTCCCACACCTAAACACCAAAGGTATACAGTCTGGGCCAATCTAAACCACATGGAAAGTTGGAACATAACATGTAAATTGTCTCTCTCTTTCAGATCACTGGACTCAGATTACTACATACTCCGATTTTTCTGCTTCTCCCATCTCTCTTTTTGGCTGTACTGAAAATATTTTAAACAATGTTGAATTCTATCGAAAAGCTTGTGTACCCTGTAATAACTTCCTTTCTTCCCTACTGTCTCAGCTCATCATAGGGTTGGCACCATGCCACTACAAAGGACCATTTTACTCCGCGTGGGAGTTACTGCCAAGCAGTGTTGAATATCTTACTTTCCACATTTCCCAACATGGAAAATGAGGACAGTAACACTTGAACTAACTTCCCAGGGTCACAAGAGAATGGAGTGGTAACCTGTGCCACACAAGATGGTGCAGAGAACACAAACTTTGGAGCCTGACATAACTGAGCCTGGCTCTGTTATTTAGCAGGTGGATGACCATAGGAAAATTGTTTGATCCTGTGTCTCTGTGTCTTCATTTGAAAAGGGGATGTCAACATCTATCTCATAGGGCTGCTGGATGTACTAATTGAGATATCGTATCATAGAATGCCTCGCATTGTATCTGGCACACAGTCCTTGCTCAGTAGCTGCTTGTTTTCTGTCCCTGAAGTAGATCAGAAAAACCAACAGGAAATGCCATGTTGCAGCCCAAGGGTCCAAGATTGTGAATTTGCCTGGCTTAGAATTCAAGCTTGTCATCCTGCGCCAGCATCCAATAGCGGCTCTGAGAATTTACCAAACGACCAACATGCAAAGCCTAAAATACACAGTGGAGTTCCCAGTCCTGAATCCTGCCAAACAATCACCCTTTGTTGTCGAATTGTCCTTGAGTTGCTCCTTCTCAACCATAATGGGCTCAAGTGGGCTCATTCTCAAAGTTTGCAGCACCCTGCTTCCCTCCCTATCAATAATAAGCTCTTCCTATTTCCTCCCCCTATTTTTTAATATGAGTCTTTCTCCCTTTCTTCCCAGAATTGGCTTAAAGCATGTTGCATTTTCATACATGTTATGTAGGTTCTCAGCATGGTTCCTGTGGTCTTTCCAACAACCTTTCTATAGAAATATAACCACTACACTGAGGGGAGGAGGGTCAATAGGTATGGAAAAAGTTCACTTGATTTTTATGCTGAAGTTCTGAAAGCAAATCACGGTTATGCGACAATAATCAGCAGGTTTCTTTCAGTCCTGGGAAGTTTCAGCTCCTCATTTAACTCAAGTCAGCTGTTATATAGATTCTACCTGTTCACATCTGCCTTGCAGAACTGTTCCCTGAAAAATGTTTAAGCAGTTACACAAAAACCGAGTCAAAGACAAATGCTGTTGGCAGTATCTCTCTTGATAGAGCTGGTTCCATGTGACAGAGATGAGGTGGTAGCAGCCATTCATTCAGGGCTCTTAGAGGAGGCTGTTTTCAGAATTTCCAAATCTACAGCCAACATGAGCTTTCTTCCTGCCACAGCTATGTATCTGTAGTGTGCTAGCTTCTTGTGCAATCCCATGCCCTTGTAGGCTTCCTAAAACATACTTGAACAATAATTACAACTGCATATATGCATAGGTTTTATTTTCTTCCTGTCTTTTCAACATGTGATATAATTATACTGGCATTATACTATACTCTACTTGCTTCGATTTCATCCAGTTGGGTTTCTGACCATAGTAGATACTGTGGATGACCCACTCATAACCCCTCAATGCCATTCCAGTAGTGTCGGATCTCCTGCTATTACAAGCATTTTCTACTCTCTGTGTAAGGGGCTTCTCTACCCACAGGAGCCTGTTAGGCCTCCAAGTGGCAAAGGCTGGAAGTGGCAGAGAGTTAATGATGCAGGGAGTAGCCTTCAACTAAAATAAAAGAGGTTTAGTGAATAAATACCCAATTCCTCACCCCTCAGTTAGAACAACTCTGAGGCATGTTCTCCACTGTCTCTCAGAGGCCTGAAGAAGGATCAAGTCCCAGCTGCCCACAGAGTGACCTGCCGCTCACCCTCCCAAGGTTGGCTTCCTTCCCTTCTCTTCCTCACTTCCCCACTTCCCTACGGTGCTTCCTGGAATCCTTCCAAATAAACGACTTGTGCTCCAGCCTTATTTCAAGGTATAATCATAGGTACCTTGAAATAAGAGTGGAGCACAAGTCGTTTATTTGGAAAGGTTCACCCTAAGACACTGACGCATGCAACGAGACCCAGACAGAGTCTCTTCATTCCTTTATTTGACTTCGATTTTTTTTTTTTTTTTGAGGGCTTACCACGTGCCTGGCTCTGTGCTAGGTTCTAGGGATGCAACAATTAAGAAGATGGACACTAACCTTTTTTCAGCAAATTTACGATCAAATGGGGGAAACGGACATCAAGCAAGTAAGCATCTAATTGATAGGTGCTCTGAAAACAAAGTGCAGAATAAAAGCAGAATCTAAAATAAGAATATCTAGCCACATTTGCAGGAAACCTTTCCCTTAAGAAGCAGCTTTTAGTAAAAGGCTGAAGGATGGGTAGGATTAAGCAAGTAGAGTGGGTGGAATATTGTCCCAGGCAGAGGAAACAGCATGTTTAAAAGCCCTGAGGCATAAGGATACAGTGTTGCAGAGAGAAGAAAAGCATGGCTGAAGCATTGTGGAAGAGTCCTACACCCTCTTCCAGTCCCTCCTAAATGATCAAATTGGGCAAAGAACCCTAAAGAAATGGAAAGGACTTTGCAATTTCTTTTGGGAGTCAAAACAAAAACTCAACACTATTACTTTACTCAGCTAATGATTTATTTATTCGGCCTATTTGGTCCAGCCCTTCAAATTTTAATTTTTTTTTTTTTTTTTGAGACAGAGTCTCGCTCTGTCGCCCAGGCTGGACTGCAGTGGCACAATCTCGGCTCACTGCAAGTTCTGCCTCCCAGGTTCACGTCATTCTCCTGCCTCAGCCTCCTGAACAGCTGGGACTACAGGCGCCGGCCACCATGCCCGGCTAATTTTTTTTATTTTAGTAGAGATGGGGTTTCACCGTGTTAGCCAGGATGGTCTCGATCTCCTGACCTTGTGATCCACCCACCTCGGCCTCCCAAATTGCTGGGATTACAGGTGTGAGCCACCGCACCTGGCCCAAATTTTAACTACTTTTAAACTCCATTTAAAAACATGCAATCTTGCACTTGTTCAAAAGTAAAATTACTTGGCTGCATGAGAGTGAAGCCTCAGTGGAGGCACACCAGTTCAAAACGGTTGGAATCCCAGGCCTTTCTTAGAAACCATGTCTGTATTTGAGAATTACTCCCAAATCTTTGACTATAAGCAGAGTGGTGGGGCTGGAGGGATGAGGGGAAAGAGGCAGGACTAACATATTTCTTACTGTTTCAGGGATCCCAAAGATTACTCTCACCTTCAGAGATTTGCTAGAGGGAGTCACGGGACTCAGCAAACAGTTGTACTCAAAGCTGGAGTTTATTATAGCCACATAGTAAGAATACACAGCTGGATCATAAGGGAAAGACACAGGCAGAGAAATCAATGCCAGGCTTCCTTATACCCATTCCCTCCTGTGATGGGACACAACTGAGCATGTTCCTTTCTCCAGCAACTGAAAGTACAGTACTGTGTGCAATGTCTCTGCCTGGGGATCCCATTATGGAGTCAGCATCCAGGGTTTTTATTGGGGTATGGTCACAGAAGCACCCTCTGACTAGCAAGTACCGCTCTTCTAGATTCCCAGAACTAAGCAGGTGTTCGGCATAAATCACATTGTTTGTGCAAACAATCTACGCAGAGTGAACCACTCTGATTTCTTAGAGAATGGGACAAGTACCAAGTTCCCAGGTGTCGGCCAAGACCCCCACCCTTGCAGACAGACCCTTCTAAACATAGCCTCCTCATGCCTGCTTTGTTAACTCTTCTCTCCACACCTATCACCCCCTGAAGAAGAAGTCGTGAAAACAAATGCGTCGAACTTTCCCCTATTTTCAGCATCATAAGATCAACAGATAAAGAGAAGCAACTTCACAGGAGGTTTTATAGGAATTCTCTTTTGCAGTGGCTTGGTCCTGCAAATATCAGTTTGGAAATATCAGTGTTTGGAAATATTAGTGTTCAATAGGTCAGGTGAAATTTAGAGACCCCCAGGTATACTGGTACTGAGGCCCATGTGGGCCCAGCTAAAAGAACAAACTAAACAAACAAACAAACAAAAACTCTTATTTTGTTGGCTTTAAATATACAATACCAATGGGCTATATTTAATGATTGCCTTCATTTGAAAAGCATATTGAAAACTGAGATTTCATTTCTTGTCTCCCAGCAGCGAGACTCTGCTTGGAATAACAGTACAGATTTCCAGCAGTGAAGCCAATTCATCCGGCGACATAAATTTCATTTACCACAAACATAAACCATGTTTTCAGCAATAATTTACATACCTGAAATGATAGAAATTGGAAACTAATCAGCATAGCCTAAATACATGGCCCTCTTCATTGTAACTTTTTATAGCCAAAGTGACCTTTCTTAGTGGCAAGGTAGCATATTTATAGGATGCTATTTTCTCATGTAATTCACTGTCATGTTACATTTTCATAAATATTACTGAAAGGTGAAATAGCTGCATGTAATAATAACCCATAAATACTAAACTGCATCCTTGAAAAAGCAGTGAAAAGATATTAAATAAAAGTTTGCAAAGAGAAAATTATTCACGATTTCACACAAAATGCCTGTTTTGCATGTTACCTTTCAGACTCTGTCCAGATCATATATATTTTATAAGGTTATGATCACATTGTACATCAAGGTTCAGATTTTAAACACAGGACAAATATTTTTCATATTTTTCCATAGATGTCATAATTGTCACTCCATTACATTACTTGCTGCGGTAGGAGACAGTTTTACTTTTAATCTGTGTATTAAATTCTTAATTTTTAATGCAAGTAATCGATACCCATTGTTACAAAATAGTCAAGAAATTATTTTAAATGAAAAGTCAGTCTCCCGCCTTACCACATGCCAGCTGCTGTTATTCCCTAGTAGCAACCACTTTTATTTAAATGTCCCTGTTTTTAATTTTCTACTGATCATCTCCATATCACTAAAAAACATACTTACACTATTATTTCTTAATGTATTGATTTTAGATATGATCTATTGATTGCTACTTTTGGTTTCTGTATGGGTTTCCTTTGTAATTACTTATCCCTTCATTTCTTATTCCATCTATGATGAATTTTTTTTTATTATACTTTAAGTTTTAGGGCACATGTGCACAACGTGCAGGTTTGTTACATATGTATACATGTGCCATGTTGGTGTGCTGCACCCATTAACTCGTCATTTAATATTAGGTATATCTCCTAATGCTATCCCTCCCCCCTCCCCCCACCCCAAAACAGTCCCCAGTGTGTGATGTTCCCCTTCCTGTGTCCATGTGTTCTCATTGTTCAATTAAACATGCGGTGTTTGGTTTTTTGTCCTTGTGATAGTTTGCTGAGAATGATGATTTCCAGCTTCATCCATGTTCCTACAAAGGACATGAACTCATATGATGGGCAGAATTTTCTTAATTCTCCGTTCTATAGGAATAAAGAGTGATGAGTGCCCTCATCTTCCCCTTCAGGTTTCCTCCCCAGCTTCACTCTGAAGCTCTCTGTTGTTCATGTTTACACTTTTATAGCATGGAGGTTGATAATACTTACATGCTGTTCTGTAGCCATGTCTGTCTTCCATGCTTTGTCTATAGGTGAATTCTAAAAGTTGAAATCAATGAACAGTGTCTATATAATGATGACTCCATAACTACTGTTCACTCTTAGAAGCCAATGGTATAGCGTAGCTCTATTTCCTTTATTTTATAGCATTTTATTTATCCTGGGATTTATACTTGTCCTTGTCTTCATTCTTGCAATGTTTGTATTGCTTCCTTATATGATCTAGGAAATTAAAGGTAGCAATGTACCTATAGAATCGCTTTTCCTCACTAATCCCTACTCTCTGATACCTCCTCCCAAAGCAATCATTTCTCCTGCTCCAATCATAACTAATTGTCAGTAAAATTCAGCTGTCAACCTGGGATTCTCCTTCCTTACTCTATTGGGTTGAAATTATTATTTCCACTATACCATCTTCCCTTTTACTTTTTTCTCCCACTTAGAACATATCTGAAAGATCTGTGTTCTATTCTTACACTTGCCTGATAGTTTTGCTGGGAAGAGAAATCTAAATTGAAGATAATTTTCACTCAAAAACTTAAAGTTTTACTTTATCAACTATCACATCCTTTGTTGCTATGGTTCCTGATCTTTTGCAGGTGGCCTGTTCTTATGTTTTCTTGTTTTGTTTTGTTGTTTTCTTCCTCAAAAGATTCATAAATGTTTCTCTTTATCCCAGGTGTTCAGAACATTCAGAAACTGTGTTTTCTCTGTAGATCATGTTTTATTTATTTGTGCTAGACATTAAGTGGCTCCCTTCATTCTTGTTTTTTAGTGTTGTGAAATTAAAATTTTTTTTATAATTTCCTCCTCTTTCTTTCCTCTGTTCTTTCTTTCTAGTCCGCCTAGACTTATTCTCTATAACTTATCTTTTCTCTCACATTCTCCATCATTGTTTTTCTCTATTATACCTGCCTCAAAATCATCTACCCTTTCAGTACTTTAAAAAACATTATACAGTTATACATTAAACGTTTTGTTCTTTGTTCCTTTTTTTAGAGCATTTTGTTCTATGGATGCAGTGTCTGCTTACATTTTTCTGAGAATCATAAGAAAAAAAATCCAATCTCTTCTCTATTTCTGTTTTTTTTTTGTGAGGTCATTTTTCCTGCCTATTCATCTTGTGTTCTTTTCTTCATTTTTCAGATTTTCTTCAAATATCTGGTGATCCTTAGTTGCACATATTTAAGGATCAAGCAACAAAAAACTGACAGGTACCTTATGCCCATCAAGATGGCTATTCTCAAAAAAATAGAAAATAACAAGTGTTGGTGAGGATGTGCAGAAATTGGAACCCCTGTGCCCTGTTGCTAGGAATGTAAAATGATGCTGCTGCTATGGAAGAGTGTGGCATTTTCCCAAAAAAATGAAAAATAGAATTGCTATATGATCCAGCAAGTCCACTTCTGGGTATCTACCCAAAAGAATTGAAAGCAGAGTCTCTTAAGAAATATTTGTACACCTATGTTCACAGCAGCACTATTCACAATAACCAAAAGGTGGAAGCAACCCAATTGTCCATCAGTGGATTAGTGAATAAACAAAACATAGTATATACATACAAGGGAGTATTACTCAGCCTTAAAAAGGAAAAAATATTGCTGGGCGTGGTGTCTCACGACTGTAATCCCAGCACTTTGGGAGGCTGAGGCAGGTGGATCACGAGGTCAGGAGATCGAGACCATCCTGGCTAACGTGGTGAAACCCCGTCTCTACTAAAAATACAAAAAATTAGCCGGGCGTGGTGGTGGGCGCCTGTAGTCCCAGCTACTCAGGAGGCTGAGGCAGGAGAATGGCATGAACCTGGGAGGCGGAGCTTGCAGTGAGCTGAGATTGTGCCACTGCACTCCAGCCCGGGCGACAGAGCAAGACTCTGTCTCAAAAAAATTAAAAAATAAAAAAAAAGGAAAAAAATTCTGACACATGATACAACATGAATGTTAAGACATTGCACTAAGTGAAATAAGCCACCAACACTCTACAATTCCGCTTCTATAACACATCTAGAGAGTAATCAAATGCATAGAAACAGAAAATTGAATGGTGGTTGCCAGAAGCTGAGGGAAGGGGGAATGGGAATTGTTATTTAATGGATAGAGAGTTTCAGATTTGCAAGATGAAAAAGTTGTGGAGATTGGTTGCACAATGATATGAATATACTTAGCAATATTGAACTGTACACCTGAAAATGGTTACGATGATTTTTTAAAAAGAGGACAAGGAGCTGTAGCAGAAGTACTGGGGCATTATCCATTGTCTTCTCAGCAATTACAATTTCAGCTCATGCTGGCATGACTCCAATTTGATTTGAGTGCACCAGCTCATGGCAATGTTTTAAATTTTTGACGCGAAAGTAATCAATATTAGCAACACATATTTTTATATTAACACTCTTCTCCAAGATATGGGCTCAGTGACATCTTATGAGTTGTTCTGTATTTGGAAATGGTCTTAATTATGATACAGCAAGGAATGAAACGCCAATGAGTTAAAGAAACTGCTCAGAACACAGGAGTTCTGATATTTAGTACAAATTTTCTAGGAATATACAAAGCAAGCAAGAGGGGTGGTGTTGGAAAGAAAAGAATTTCAGGCTGTATGAATCAAAAGAAATGCTACCACCTTAAGACAAATTGATATAGAAAGTTAAAAGATTTTCTTTTTAGCCTTTTAAATCCATAAATTCTATTTTCTTGAAGAAGGATTGTTTTTATTTTATAACAGTAACATGTTTTAAAAAAAAGAAAAGAGGCTGGGCACAGTGGCTCACATCTGTTATCCCAGTCAAGACAGGAGGCCAGGGCGGGAGGATCACTTGAGCACAGGAGTTTGTGACCAGCCTAGGTAACATAGTGAGACCTCATTTCTACCAACACTTAAAAAAATTAGCCAGGCTTGGTGGTGCACACCTGTAATCCCAGCTACTTGGGAGGCTGAGGTGGGAGGATTGCTTGAGCCCAGGAGTTGGAGGTTGCAGTGAGCCATAATAATGCCACTGCACTCCAGCCTGGGCTACAGAGTGAGACCCTGTCTCAAAAAAAAAAAGAAAAGAAAAAGAAAAAAAAAGAAAAGAAAAAGGGGGCAGAAGTGTCAGCATATTTCTTGAAAATACTCAATATAGAGCCAACTCATTACTGTCCAAAGTCAGTATTAACATAGAAGATGAGTATTTAGCTTTACCATTCAGATTTTAAACTATGAGGTTTTTGTTTGTTTGTTTTTAACGTAGGACAATAGGTAAGTACTTTTTAACTTTGGAGTCTCATAACTCTATAGATAAAAGCAGTAGTAGAAGTAGCTATGGACTAAGAATGACTTGAATCATAATGCCCATTACTCAGCTAAAAATAATCAGTCGAACTGAAGTATCCTGGCATTTTCAGGGATAAAAAAGATAAATTCCATTTTCTCTGTTGTTAGCAAAGAGAACATATTTCTCCACCTTCTACAAGGGGAAAAAAAAAGTACTATTAAGCACAAGGGGATAGTATCTGGCTCTAATTCAATTCTGCCAAGAGGCCCAGAAGTAATCAATAAACACTTATTAACTAATCACGCAGCATCTCATTTCCGTGAGTGAAATGGTGAATGTTGTATACATCCAGAAAATAACCCTTTAATGTAGATGAAAAAGTAGAGGAATAAGGAAAAAGCTGTGGTAAGTGACATAAAAAATTTGATTTTACGTGAAATTTCACAGGAAACTGTTTAGCTTTCTTTTTCGTATACCTTGCTGGCACATCTAAGGGTGGAAGGGAAAAACATCAAGGCTAAAATATTATGGTCATATTTTACTGTTTCTTTCATAGTTATCCTTTAAATGCTTCCGCTATAGTGTTGGAAATTCCACACTACCTCCAATCAACCCTTAGAAAATCGTTAGTCAAAACAAATGCAGTCAATTTCAGGTGGGGGGCATGTTAAGGAGGTGTTGGTCAAAGGATACAAAATTTCAGGCAGACAGGAGAATAAGTTCAGGGGATCCATTATACAACATGGTGATTATAGTTAACAATACATTGCATTATTGAAAATTGCTAAGAGAGTAGAGTTTAGATATTTTCATCACAAAAAAATGGTAAGTATGTGAAGTAAGGGATAGGTTAATTAAATTTATGTAGTTATTCCACAACGTGTGTGTGTGTGTGTGTGTGCATATATAGATATGTATATATAAGGTTGTACACCGTAAGTATATATTAATTTAAATAATATTAATTAAATTAATATTATTATATTATTAATTAAAATAATAGTATAATTATTATAATATAAAATATAATATTATAATATAATATTATAATTATATTAATTAAAATAATAATGACCAAAAAAACAAGTACAAAATACCCAATTTGTGTTGACAAAACTCAATTATAATCAGAGGAGCCAAGGAATTTTTCAGATAATTCAGGCAAAACCCGGATGCCTCTGGCCTGCATTATTTAGTAGACTCTTCATCCACTTTACCTTTTCGTGTGCCTTGAGGAAGGCAGAAGATTTAGGTTGCTATCCTCTCTGAAAGCTTAAAAAAGATAAACAGTCAAGGCATCTTTCCTCGGTCTGGGTCCAAAAGCTGTATCTTACATATTTGTAATGGCAAGATTCTCAAAGGGAGACCTAGCTTTAAACCTAGGAGACAGGACTTGCCTGCCTATCAAAGGGGGGCAGAGTGCACAGGACAAAAGCCATTGTTTTGTTTAGCTCTCACTTACAAGTGACAACATGTGGTATTTAGTTTTCTGTTCTTGCGTTAATTGACATAAGATAATGGCCTCCATCTGCACCCATGTTGCTACAAAGGACATAATTTCGTGCTTTTTTATGGCTGCATAGCATTCCATGGTGTATATGTACCCAATTTTCTTTATCCAGTCCACTGTTGATGGGCACCTAAGTTGACTCCATGGGTTTACAACTGAATAGTGCTGCAGTGAACATACGACTGTATGTATCTCTTTGACAGAATGAATAATTTTCCTTTGGGTATATACCTAGCAATGGGATTGCTGGGTCAAATGGTAGCCCCTGGGGACTGCTAGATGGGGGAGGGTGGAAGAGGGGCATGGGCCAAAAATACTACCTATTGGGTACTATGCTCACCACCTGGGTGTTGGTACCATCTGTATGCCAAACCTCAGCATCATGCAATATATCCATGCAACAACCCTGCAAATGTACACCCAATTAAAAACAAAATGGTCACACCAAGTAGAGACTAAGGTGGACTCTCGTAGTTTGAAAGGTAAGACTCAGGTATTGTGGACCCCATGAAAATGCCGGACATTAACTCATGCTATTATGAAATCCAGAAGGCAATTTCCGGAAGATGCCAACAGGGATCACCAGTCAGAGGTACCACAAATATGACATATCACCGAAGTGTGGCGTATCTCAAAACTGCATTCATTTTTCTGGCCTTTTTCTATTTTTTCCTCTCTCATGACGGCAACACTAGATAGCCAGTTGCCACAACAATACAAAGCTGGCAGTCATGTCACACTCCTCCCTCCTTTCTCACATGCATATCCTGGAGCTCTGACATGCTCATCATTCACTTTTCCATCCTCTCTTGGTCTTGATCTTCACTGTTACCCCCATCACTTACTGTCTGGGATCCCTGCAACAGTCTCCAACACTCACCTAGTCTCCCTGCCTCCATGAGGCACTTCTTCCATCTCTGTTTCCTCACTATGGCCTAACAGTCTTTTTGAAATATGATTACATTGTTTTCTTATTTCAAATCTGTCAGAGGTGCTAAGTCATTCTAGGTATGAAGAATTTGTTCATTTTTTAACTGAAGAATTTTTTTTTTAGTCATGATAATACAGCTACAGGTTTAAAATTTCAAATATTACCAAAGGGTATGAAACGACTCTTGTCATTAAAATGTAAGGATCATTTTCATGAAATGTAAGTTGTTCACTCACCCCATGCCCCCAGGGCTCCTACTATTAACAGTACCACAAAATTTTTCTATGCATATATATGTGTTATATTAACAGATATGTCATATACAACATTTTACACAAATGCATTTTATGTAATTTATATTGAAGATTACGTCATATGAATGTACACAGATCTACTTCATTCTTTTGCACAATATTGAAAGTATAAAATGTCATTTTTTGGGGTGGGCACGGTGGCTCATGTCTGTAATCCCAGCACTTTAGGAGGCTAAGCAGGTGGATCACCTAAGGTCAGGAGTTTGAGAGCAGCCTGACTAATATGGTGAAACCCTGTCTCTACTAAAAATATGAAAATTAGCCGGGCTGGTGGCTTGCACCTGAAGTCCCAGCTACTCAAGAGGCTGAGACAGGAGAATTGCTTGAACCCAGGAGGCGGAAGTTGCAGTGAGCCAAGACTGTGCCACTGTACTCCAGCCTGGGCGACAAAGCGAGACTCCGTCTCAAAAAAAAAAAAAAAAAAAAAAGCCACTTTTAAAATTAGCAGTTCCTGTGGATATTTATGTTGGTACCTATACTAATGCACAACCAAGTTTTAATACCTAAATTCAGCAGACGAGTCCCTTATGATCTGGCTGCTGCCTACACACTTTGCTTCATTTTCCTTTACTTCCCCATATCCAGTTTTCCTTCCAGCCCCACCAAGCTTCTTGCAGTTCCCCAAAACACCATCCTTCTAGGTTACATCTGCTTGCAGTGCCCTCTTTGGCCTTTCATTGGCCAATTATCATCTTTTTAAAGTACTAAAATTCTAGTCTAATTTTGACACCCCTCTTCTGAACTCGCTTGATTCCTGTGCTACACTATGCTATATGGGCTCTGGAAATAACTGTTATACCTACCACTGCCCCTGCACTCATGACAGGAGATGGAGGCATATAACTAAGTGAAATAATAGAGGCTTACAGGATTGAAAAGAAGATGGGGCGAGTCTGAATGAAAATCAACATCATGCTCCATAGCACTGTTGTGCTCATACTAATGAACAGAGCACCTGCAGGACAGAGGAGGCTGAAGTGGGTGAGCAACAGACTGTGCTCCTGGAGTAAAACATAAATACAAGGCAGCATAGGGCAAGTCAGCCATGCGTCTTGCAGAACCACAAGAGGCCAATGAAAGGAGAGGAAGCTGAGATTGGGGCTGTCAGAAATGATTTCAAGGAGTGGTAGGACTGAATTGAGCCCTGAAGGAAAAATTAAACTGAGAAGAGTGGTCAGGGCAGGAAGAAGGCTATGAAAAAACACCTGGAGGAAGGGATGCTGAGCCATCAGGCTGGGGCAGCAGAGGATAGTGGAGGACAGACAGCAGGGAGATGGAAAGAAGGCTGAACTGAGATGCTCAAGGTTCATGAATTAATTCAATATGTGTTTATTGAGCACCTGCTGTTTGGGGCACTGGTGACACAGCAGTAAGCAAAATAAAAATCCCTGACCTCATAGCACTTCCTTTCCAGGGGTTCGGCTGCTAATTCCTGGTGTCACCTCGAGCAAATCACCTCACTGCTCTGGATCTGCCTCTTTATCTGTAACATATGGGTCTCGGGCATTTCTAAGATCACTTTTCTCTCCAATGTTCTAAGATGAGCAGGAAGGCGTTGGAAACATTGGCGGAACCAGATGATAGCAAACTGAGGAACCTGGACTCCTTCATCTCGGCAGTAACAAGCCTATGTGGATCTGTTAACAGGGAACGCTTTCAAAGTAGAGGTTTAGGAAAATTGATCTAATAGACTAAAGATAGGAGACAGAAGACTGGAAATTGGAAACAATTTAGGAGATTATTGATCCTTCGAGGTGATGAAGGCTTGGACATACATCCTAAGACCAAAATCATGAGTGAACAGCACAGATGTGATAAACCAAGAATAAGGTCCTTCTTTAAAATATTTGTTTTATTAAATAGTTGGCTATAAAGGCTTGATTGCCATGATACTGACCAAAATCAGAAGAACCGAGGAGAGCTTTGCAAGCTAAAGACATTTCTGGGTCTCCGTGTAAGGCTTGGCTGAAGTGTACGTACGTGTGCTGCTTCGTGGGCTCTGAACGAATGTCCTGTCTGTCAGAGGAATACCATACAGCCCACACCAGCTGAAAAGCACTACCCAGGGCATGGCTTAGCGCCATGTGCAAATGCGACTGGCTGTACTTTGGAAGATGCATGAAGCCCAAGTAACATGAGTTGTCTCCCTTGGCATTGATACTAAGTGCAGCCTGTGGAATTTGCTATATTTAGCCCTCTCCCTTGAAAATTCTAGAGTGCTTATCACCCTAGTAGCTAATCGCTCAGCCATCTCTAGTTCAGCCTTCCCATGGCTAAAAGAACTTCAGAAGTCACTCAAAGATAAATGTCCCCTGCCAGAAAATGTCTTAAAATAGAATGCTGTGAGGGTTTCCTCGCAGTGGGTAATAGGCATTTACCTAACTATCCCCCATCCCCAGTCCCACCTCCTGCCTCCAAGAACAGGCCTCTGGTCAGTCCCCTTTGCTAAGCCTGAGGCACTGGGAGCCCCTTTATAAAGGACCTTAGAGTTACCAATTTAGAAATCGGACAGAGTTCAAGGATTCTGTGATGGTTAATATTAGGTGTCAACTTGATTGGATTGAAGGAGGCCTAGATGGCTGGTAAAATAGTGTTTCTGGGTGTGTTTGTGAGGATGTTGCCAGAGGAGACTGACATTTGAGTCAGTGAACTGGGAGAGGAAGACCACTCTCAATGTGGGTGGGCATCACCCAGTCGGCTGCCAGTGCGGCTAGAACAAAGCAGGTAGGATAACCTTGCTTGCTGAATCTTCTGGTTTCCTTCTTTCTCTAATGCTGGCTGCTTCCTTCAGCTCCTCCTGCCCTTGGACATCAGACTCCAGGTTCTTCAGCCTTTGGACTCTGGGAATTGCACCGGGGGCTTGCCAGGGGCTCTGGGGCCTTCGTTCACAGACTGAAGGCTGCACTTTCGGCTTCCCTGGTTTTGAGGCTTTCGAACATGGACTGAGCCACTACTGGCTTCTCTCTTCCCCATTTTGCAGACCGCCTATTGTAGGACTTAACCTTGTAATCGTATGAGCCAATTCTCTCTAACAAATTCATATATATATATATATATATAGAGAGAGAGAGAGAGAGAGAGGGACACACACACACACACACACATACACATAAATATATCCTATTGGTTCTGTCCCTATGGAGAACCCTAACACAGATTCAATCTCAGTTCCATTCTTCTTGACTTATTAATTCCATTATTTGCTTCCAGTTGAGTGAAAAACAGACACACTGAAGAGTAATGAAATCGAGGGTAGCAGGACAGTTCAAGTCAAAGTCAGTTGAACTTTGCAAACAGAACAATGACAAAAAGTATTTTTTTCACAGGCACTAAACTGTAACCAAATGCCCAGTTCCAATGTCCATTTTGTTCCAATCCCCAGCATGGCCCTTCACTTCCACTCCCTCTAGAGCATAATGAGAAATAGCCACATGACCAGTCACTAATAGTCAAGTGTCGCTTCTATTCTTTTTTATGAATATTACATCAGCAATCTCTCAAATTCCTGAAAACCATAGTGTGTTACAGTATCACAGGAAATCAGTTTTATGTGATTACAAACCAGTAGCCAGAACTGCTTGTACTCATTTTTTTCCTGATGAGAAGACTATCAGAATTTTCTGTCTTTTATCCATTTTATGTGGGTGTGGAAAGACCAAAACTCAGAGGGGGAAGTAGTTTATCCACAGTTCCTTAGAAGGAGAAAAAGAGAACCTTTGTGGTAACATAGATAAGATTTTCACTTGGACTAAGTGTAATATTAAAACACACTTTTTTTTTTTTGAGATGAGGTCTCACTTTATTGCCCAGGCTGGAGAGCAGTAGCACAATCATAGCTCATATTAACGTTGAACTTCTGGGCTTAAGCAATCCTCCTGCCTCAGCCTCCTGAGTAGCTAGGACTACAGGCACACACAGCTATGCCTGGCTGATCTTCTTATTTTTTATAGAGATGGGGTTCTTGCTATATTGCCCAGGCTGGTCTTGAACTCCTGGCCTCAAGCAGGCCTCCTGCCTTGACCTCCCAAAATGTTGGGATTACAGGCGTGAGCCACTGCACATGGCCTTAAAACATATTTTCAATCTGCTTTCTGTCCTAATAATAACTTCTGATGACTGAAACAAATACTCAGGCACAAACACTTTTCTGGTTATTCCATAAAAAACACTAGATCCCTTCTCCTTATTTGCTTCTTATTTAAACAACTTGGGTTTCGTTGGCCGTCATTGCAAACAGCTTATTACCAACCACATTAGCCTCAACAAAGATGAACAAGAAGCCTCAAAATACCTACAATGCCAGATGCCTGGGATGAGGAACCCTTTTAAGTTTCTGCTGTGTACAGTCTCTGACCACTTGACACTTCTCCCAGGAAGCAACACTGTTAAGTTTAAAATGATAGGAGGCTGGGACAGGCAGAGGGGACATGGAGCTGTTTCAGTTTGGATGTTCTGGTCTCATCAAGAGTCCCCAAGATCTGTGGAAGAAAGTGCCAAATAGAATGGGAAGAAGGTGGGCTGGACTGGCTCCCCCAGATCCAAATTCAAAGTAATGCCTATGGGCCTGTATAGGTGTAATAATAACTACTATTTATCAAATGCTGTTCTATGCCAAGCATTATGCTAAGGACCATATATATACTGTATTCTTTAAATTCTTACAGCAGGCCAGGCACAGTGGCTTGCACCTGTAGTCCTAGCACTTTGGGAGGCCAAGGCAGGAGGATCACTTGAGTCTAGGAGTTCAAGACCAGCCTGGGCCATATGGTGAGACCCCATCTCTACAAAAAAATACAAAAATTAGCTGAGGTTAGTTGTGTGCACCTGTAGTCCCAGCTACTGGGGAGGCTGAGGCAGGAGGATTGCCTGGGCCTGGGAGTGAGCCATGATGGCACCACTGCACTCCAGCCTGGGTGATATAACGAGACCCTATATCCAAAGGGGGGAAAAAAAAAGATTTCTAGAACTTACGTTTTTAAAAAAATTCTCACAGCAACACCCTGAAACAACTATTATTAACCACTGCATTTTCCAGGTGAGGAATCTGAGATATCAGAAGATGTATGTGACTTGCTTAAGGTCACCTATGTATTCAGTAAGTGGCAGAGATGGATTTGAACCTGGAGAAATCAGGCTCTAGAGCTCATGCGTTTAACACTTCTGCTATAATCCCTTGCATATGAAAGTTATCGGACTCTAACTTGCTCCAATCCCACCTGTGGAGAATGCTCATGCTTATCAAAGACTACATTTCCCAGCCTTCTTTGCTGTTAGGGTGAGTCATATAACTGAGTACTGGACGGTTAGATATGAGTGGTCATAATGTGAGAATATCTAGGCCAGACACTTAAAACATCCTTCAGTGTCTTCTTCCCCATCCATGTGGTCTTGGAAGGCACAAGTTCCAGATGGCACAGATATCAGATGGAAGCAGCCAGGGTGTCTGCGTCATTGTTTAGAGAAGAGCTGCCCAGAAGAGCCACCCAACTCATGTGACATGAGCAAGAAACAAACTTTTACTGGGTTAAGACACTGAGATTTCAGGGTTGGTTTGTAACCATGGCATAGCCTAGCCAATTCAGAGCCTATAATACCCAATTTACTTCAGGTATTAACTTGTTAGGGCCTATTGTCTACGTCTGTCTAAATGGTGGTACATGCTGCCTGCCTTGCTTCCCTAAGCTACTAAATTACCTTCCAGAACACAAAGGGTTACATCGTTTCTACCAGATTTCTTTCAAAACATTGCCTCATATAAGGATAGATCAATAGATCAATGAAACAGAACAGAGAGTCCAAAAACAGGCCCACACATATGTGGTCAATTGATTTTCAATAAAGGCACCAAGGAATTCAATAAAGATAGGAAAAATTTTCAACAAGTGGTGCTAGAACAATTAGATATCTGTATGCAAAAACAAAAATAATTCAACACCTAACTCATTCCATATACGAAAATAAATTTGAAATGGCTCACAGACATGGATGTGAAAGTTCGGACCATAAAACTTCTAGAAGAGAACACAGAGGAAAACGTGACCTTAGACAGATGAAGTGGATGTTGTGGAGTACTACCCGGGTTCCCCACTTCAGACCAAGACCCCATTCCCGCCGCTGCAAGTGTTGGCTGTTATAGTCGCAACTGTGTCTCTTCATACATTTCCCTCAGCAAAAGGGATCTGCCTCACCCAGGGGGTAGCCCTCATCCAATGACTAGTCAAACTGTGTACACATAGCCCTGTTCCCTTGCCTCAATTTGAGACAAATTTGAAAATTATCCCATGAGAAATGAAACATATGTCCACAAGGACTTATTTCTGAATGTCTGGAGTAGACTTAGTCATGACAGCAATAAACAGGAAATCCAAATGTCCATCAGAGGGGAATGGATAAGCAAGTTGTTGGATATTCATACAAAGGAATATTACTCAACAATAAAAAGGAACAAACTACTGATACACTCAATATCATGAGTTATCTTAAAATCATTAGGTTGAGGGAAAGAAGCCAGACACAAAAAAGTATATATGGTACTAATCCATCTATATGAAATGCCAGATCAAATAAAACCATGGTGCTAGAAATTAGAATGTGGTCGTCTCTGGGGCGGGGAGAAGAACGTTGCCTGAAAAGGGACAAGAAGAAACTTGGGTTTACAGAAATGTTCTATATCTTTTGTTTTTTGAGATGGAGTCGCACTCTGTTCCCCAGGCTGGAGTGCAGTGGCGCGATCTCGGCTCACTGTAAGCTCCGCCTCCCGGGTTCACGCCATTCTCCTGCCTCAGCCTCCCGAGTAGCTGCAACTACAGGCGCCCGCCACCACGCCCAGCTAATTTTTTGTATTTTTAGTAGAGACGGGGTTTCACTGTGTTAGCCAGGATGGTCTCAATCTCCTGACCTCATGATCCGCCCGCCTCGGCCTCCCAGAGTGCTGGGATTACAGGCATGAGCCACTGCGCCTGGCCAGAAATGTTCTATATCTTAATTTCATTGGTGGTTACACAGATGTATGCAATTGTCAAAATTCAGCAAATTGTAGATTTGAGATCTGTGCATTTTACTGTGTAAAAATTATACTTCAATAAGAAATAATGTTTGCCTTGAATCTGGGCTTGCTCTGATCACCCCTACATGTGGATAGAGATCTCTATCACCGTCAATCCCACTGCAGTGAACTTTAAGAGTGGTTCATAACACAACTCTCATGTTTGAGTCTGGAGCCTTGAAATATGCCTATCTGGCTTTACCCAGAACTCAGCTTCTCTATTTTATCTGGATTGCCCTTCTTTTAGGAGCTTTAAAGATCTTTGAAGGAAGTGACAACTTCCTCCCCATATCTCTCCCCGTCTCAATCCAATCCACTGATTGCAGCCGACTAGGCTCGCTATTTTGCCATCTAAACAATCAACATCTCTCTGGCAGCAGACCACTGGGGACTTAACAATAACAACAGCAATAACAATAATTGCTATTTCTGAGTGCTTACCATGCATCAAACAGTGTCCTAAGCGCTTTGTATTATTTCACTTAAAAACTTGGGGCAAACCCTTAAGGTAAGTATTACTACTCTCATTTTACAGAGAAAGAAACAGAGATTCAGAGAAATTTTGCAATTTATCCTTAGTTAGAGAGCAATAATTTAAAAACTCAGGATTCAAACTGAACTCCATCTGGTCTCAAAGGCTGGATACTCTCCACTAGACACTATTTGCTTTCAATGTATGTTTAATAAAATATCGCTTGCTTGAATTTAAAAATAGCTATACTATTAATAATGCAGTGATTATAATAAATATTCAAGATAGTTCTTTAAAGTAAATAGCAGCACTTTTAAATTTAGAAGCAAGGAGCACCAATTTGCAAGCTCTGATTTGCCCTGGGTAAAGCCCAGCCAGAGCCACAGCCATGGAGCAGCTGAATACAGCTGCTGAGTGTCCTGGAGGGCTCCAGAAGATTTCCAGAATGCTCCAAACACATGCTCTCACAATTACATTTCTGTTCGTTGAATGTTTAGTGCAATGTAATTCATCTGCTCTCAATTATAACATTACCATTTCATTACCATTCAGAGCACAAATGTGTTGTCATTTTTTTAAACCCCAATGAGATTAAATTCAGGCTTCCAGATACAACTTCAAACTGTCCCAAAGGGTCAAGTGTGATCTGGTGTGCTGAGGAAATTTTCTTGGTGCAATTAAGCTCTGGATATTTTTCACTTCCTTTTGCTACAGACTGTTCAAAGCAAAGAAGGCATAGTTGGCACTGACCATAATTGAGGAAAAATGAGATCTGGCTGACGTGTACATCTATGCGTGTGGGTGTGTGTGGGTGGGGGTGGAGATATATATACACACACACACACACACACACACACACACACACATACACTCGTACAGGAAGAAAGCCAGAGACACACAGAGCAAGGAGACAAGGATACTATGGAGGCTACAGGCTAAATGAGAGATGAGCTTAGAGCCAGTCGCATCTCAGTCAACCTGAGGAGGCAGGCACAGTTGATACTCCATTACTCAGAGGCTGAAGATGGAGAGTCTGAAGTTGGCTTTTTTTTCTTTAAAAACATTTTTTTGTTATTCATCTTCCTCCCTCTTAATTGCCTATCTTTTTAGCAATTCACTGCTTTTTAGCTGCTTTGTTAGAGATTTAACAGGGAAAATAAAAATATGTCAAATTAAAACCAGCCAATTTTGTTTTCTGACAGCATCCCTGATTCCAGGCACTGTGAGGAAGGGATTTTAAACCATCACCTAAAATAAGATTTCTTTTTCTTAATTATCTGTACATTTCAATTACTCTTTATAGCTCCTGGCCTCTTTTTCTCTATTCCTACCACAACATATTTAAAAAAACTTATTTACCTTTCATTTTATCTATCCTATACTTTTATAAAATGACTGCCTTTTTTCTCATTCATACCTGCTACTTCCAGTAGCCCTCATTTAATCACTTTGGAGCTATTTGAAGGCATAATTTAATTGTTGTATGTCTGCAGCAGAACTAAGCATTGTGATGCCTTTTACTAAAATTACATACAATTTAAAACACATCAGAACATAAAAATCAAGTTATCTCCTGGAAATGTATCCTGGACAAAACAAACAAACAAACAATTTTTAAAATCTCCAAAATATGAAATAGCTATTGTATCAATATCAGAAAAATGCCTAGAAATATATATTGAGGTTCCACTCTGTGGTGTATTCTAATAACAACAGTTATTTTTTCTAAACATAGGTTGATCACCTACTGTGCCAGACCCTTTGCATACATAATTTCATTTAGACCTTGTAACAACTTTACGAAATTGGCATTACCCCATTTTACTGATACAGAAACATGATTTAAGTAAGTTATGTACCTTGTGGAAAGTCTGTCATCTGGTAGGTGAATTAGGAATAAATACATCACATCATCTGGATCTCTTCTGGCGTTTATATAGAGATGGTAGAAAAGGGAAGAGGAAAGATGTAAGGACTGTAACACCATATGGAGATGTATTCCTAAAATAGAAGTTGATGAATTAGGATTCCCTGGTCAGGGTCAGCCAGTGGCAGATGCTTGTTGGTAAATTCAAATGAGAATAGGAAGAAGACTTGATCAGCATGAATCCACCATTCCTGAAAACCTAACTCAAAGTAAATTGATCACTCAACAAATTCACTGATAGGAGAAATGGGCAAGAGACACGTGAGAAGTATGAGATGGTGTCCCTGCCTGCCAAGGTGCATAATCTAGATTGGGTGCCAATCTAAACACCAAGACAATCAGCACTGCCAGGCTATCTACCAGGTTATCTATTGTTGGGCACTATATTACAATTCTTATGACTTTGGAGAAAGCAAAATTTGACACACACTGAAATAGTCAGGAAGGGTGGTGAGCAGCTGAAACTTGAGTGAAGCCCTAAAGAGTCAAAGCTTTATGGGCAGGGCGCTATGGCTCACGCCTATAATCCTAGCACTTTGGGAGGCCAAGGTGGGTGGATTGCCTGAGCTCAGGAGTTCGAGACCAGCCTGGGCAACATGGTGAAACCCCATCTCTACTAAAATACAAAAAATTAGCTGGGGCCGGGCGTGGTGGCTCACGCCTGTAATCCCAGCACTTTGGGAGGCCGAGGCAGGTGGATCACAAGGTCAGGAGACTGAGACCATCCTGGCTAACACGGTGAATCCTCGTCTCTACTAAAAATCCAAAAAAATTAGCTGGGCGTGGTGGCGGGCGCCTGTAGTCCCAGCTACTCGGGAGGGTGAGGGAGGAGAATGGTGTGAACCCAGGAGGTGGAGCTTGCAGTGAGCCGAGATCGCATCACTGCACTCCAGCCTGGGAGACAGTGAGACTCCACCTCCAAAAAAAAAAAAAAAAAAAAAAAAATTAGCCGGGCATGGCAGAGTGCATCTTGAGTCCCAGCTACTCAGAAGGCTGAGGCAGGAGAATTGCTTAAATCTGGGAGACGGAGGTTGCAGTTAGCCGAGATCATGCCATTGCACTCCAGCCTGGGCAACAGAGCAAGGCCCTGTCTCAAAATGCTTTCTGAGCCAGGCAGTAACAATATCAAAACCTGTTTCTTCATCTATAAATTGGGAATAGTAATCCTATCTCCTTCACAGCAGTGCTGTGAAGACTGAATGGAATAATTCATATAGAGTAGTCAGCACAATACCTAGCACACAGAGCATCAACAAGTGGAAGCTGTTATGTGCAAAGCAGTTTCATGAAGGCAAATGCCTACTTGGCTGGAGTGAGTAATCTTCAGTTGAGGCCTTCCAGGTCTTTGCATCTTGGCTGAAATGCCAGATAAACAAGTTGGTTGGTGCTCATAAGGGTTCCAGCAGAACCAGCCATCACCGCTGCCTTAGCCCACCCTCCTCTGAAAACTCCCATCTGACAGCAGGCCCTGGGCTTGGACTTGTAGGCAGCTATCTAGGATACAGGATGTGCTTGTTGTAGCCAGCAAGACATCAGGAGTTGCTGAATCTCCAGCCTTGTGCTGCCCCAGTTGGAGAATCAGTCATTGGTTCCCAGAAAATGAATATGATCCTCCCGCTAGGTGTCTGTCTATCCCTAGCTCCAACTTTTCTCTGCTGTCTTGTCTGCTCAGAGTAGACTAGTAAAATGTCTACTGCCTGACATGATTATAAACCCCATGGACAATAAAGCTTAGATCATGGACAGTATTTTATTTATCTAAACATTCATCCATACCTAGCATCATGTGCTGGCGCCTAGCACATAGAAAGTGCTTATCAATGTATGTTTGTTCACTTGAATTTAAGGGGCCTCATGACACTTTCAGCCATCACATTGTCACTTGTTTAAATGTTTCTGTGCTACTAACAAGTGTTTGAAAATGCATCTTTTTCCCTCCTGCAGGAGCCTTGATACCATGGCAACCGCATTGGTTTGACTTGGAAGTATGCTTTGGAGCTGAAGGCTTTCCCTTCTACCTGCTCCAAATAGCAGCAGGAGCTCCAGACTTGAGGCTGAAGCCCTGCGATGCCAGTTTCCAGCTGAGCAACCCTCTGTTTCTCAGCCACTTTACCTCCTTACCTGTTCTCTCATTCATAAAACAGGATAATATGCTCTCTCAAAGAGCTGTTACCAGGTTTACATGAGATTGTGTGTGAACGCTTTTGCTAAATATGTTACAAAATAAATATGAAATAAAAATAATGATTTGTCTTGGGCCCATTCATTCAGTCACCAAATGTTTACTGAGCATCTTCTTTGTGCCAGAAACTGTTGTTCTTGGAGCGAAGGATCAAGTGAGGGACAAAACAGACTAAAATCCCTACTTTGCGGTATTTCCATTCTTGTGTCTATATCTCCTTAGGAGGTAGGCAGTAGACAGTATGGCGAAGCACCCATCTCTAAATGCTACTGCTCTAGATATGAGTCATCTTTATTTCCAGTTCCTTATGTCTGTCTTCCCTGCTTGCCTAAAATTGCTTTGAAGCTGACTTTGCCTTGAGCCCTGCCCTGGTTCCAGTTTCTTCCTGGTTCATCTGGATGCTTTACTTGACTTTCTCCATCCTGGCTCACACCCTTGCTTGTCTTGCACCAAAGCTGCCAACATCTTGGCATGACAATCTTCTTAAAATGCCTAGCTATAAAATGAAAACCTGGGCACCTATAATATGTCCAATACGTTTACTTTGTATCTGGGCCACAAAAGTGATTACCTACATGAAAGATGAGAATCACAGCCAAGAACTGGGAGTCAGCATTCTTTATGGCCAGCTGTGTCCTATCTGTAAGCAGCATAGCTTGCCAGCTGCTCTTCTTAGCACATCTGGCTGTAGAGCTCTGAACTTTAGTGTTCTGTGCCAGTAAAAGTATCAAGGGAATGACTGCTGTTGATTTTCTGACATGATGATTACAGACATCAAAATAACTCATCAGTAACAGGTTGAGAGGTAGAGGTGGGGCAGACCATGTGGAAACCGTGTCAGAGTGTGTAGAGGAAAGGGCTCTACCTACTCAAACCTGCTCAGATGGAAATAATAGCCTTTTTTGGAAAGCATCTCAGTGCATGGTTGTATAGCAGCAGGTAGAAGGAAAAGCCTTCAGTTCCTAAGACATACTTCCAAGTCAAACCAATGTGGTTGCCATGGTATCAAGACTCCTACAGGGGGAAAAAGATGCATTTTCAAACACTTGTTAATAGCACAGAAACATTTAAATAAGCGATAGTATGATGGCTGAAAGTGTCCCTTAAATTCAAGTGAACACATATACATTGATGAGCATTTTCCATGTGCTAGGCACTAGCACATTATATTAGGTATGGGATGAATGTTTGGATGAATAAGATACTGTCCATGATCTAAGCCTTAAAGTCCATGGGGATTATAATCAAGTCTGGAAGAGAGACATTTCACAAAGAGAACCAACACATAAGGCAGAATGTGACAGCTACTATAGGAAAGGTACACACATCTATCAACTTACTTCCTCATTCACTCAGAAAATATTTCAGCCCATGCTCTGTTATAGGTGCTGGGTGTCTCATATTCAGAAAAAAATGGACATGGTATCTTCCTTTAAAGTCTAGAGCAGAGAAGGATCTGAGCAATAGATAATAAATTAGATAGATAAATGATGAAGATGGATGGATGGATGGATAGACAGACAGACAGACAGACAGACAGATAGATAGATGAAGGAATTACAAACTGACACCTGCCATGAAGGTAACAGAGAGAATCCTATGGTAAAGGAGCTCCTCAAACACAGAGACAGAAACTATAGATGGAAGGAGAAGGGTAGCCTTCATGGAGGAGGCAGCATGTGAGCTCGGCCATAGATGATGAGTAGGCTTTTAACAAAAGGGAGAGGACCAAGGGCATCAAAGGACCAGAGACTGAACAAAGGTAATTTGGTGGAGGAGTGCCAATGGCATTTGTGGACAGCTGAATGGCTGGGTTTGGGTAGGCTATAGGGAGAGGGCTTGAAGGAGAGAAGAACAAGGTCTATGTTAGGACAACAGAGTGCAGTGGCTAGGGTTTGGTCCTGGAGCCAGGCTGCCTGGTTCTGCCACTTTCTAGGTGTGTGGCCTTTGGCAAATGACCACTTTTTGGTGATTCAGTTTCCTTCTCTGCAAACTGGGGATTACAGAATTGTTTCAAAAAGTGATGTTATAAAATATAAATGTTTAAGCTGTATCCGGCATATAGTCATATATGTCACGATTGAGCAGAGAGTAACTGGTCCAGGAAAAGTCTGTCTGTCAGTGCTGGTGCACAGCAAGAGCTCCCTGAGGCCCTCCCTAATCTTGGGAAACATCCCTAAAGATGACTAAAAAACCCTACTATTTTGAGGTGGATTGAAGCAGGTAAAGTTTTCAGGACACTGTCATGTTTCGGATTGAAACCCTCTCTTCTGGACCTCGCTCTAAGTTTAGGAGGCTATTTCTCCAATCTCGAGACACTAGAGCCCACCTGATGAAAGAGGCCTTCTCCATCACCCTCCCTGCTGACTGGGTGGAACGCTGCCAAGACTGCAGGCGAGGAGGTTCTGGGGCACTCCGACAAGGTGCATGGGAAGGACACTGCTCACTGCACTTTTTCTGGGAACCAGCTGCCTCACCCAGAAAGGTACAAGCATTTTATATTGAACATTATCACTGAATTGAACACCACTTACACAGGACCAGGAGGCTCATCCATCCATGTCATCACTTTCCAGAAATCTCAGCTTCAACAGCCTTGGGAAGATCACAAAGGCAAAGCCAAGGTCAGATGAGGGCCACACAGACTAATGTGGGGGCTGCTGAACCCTGTGTCTCCCCAAGCCACAAAGCCCTGCTGACTCTAAGAGAAGAGAAGCAGACTAGTTATCCAGACCTTGTAGTAAGGAGCCACCATGGTAAAAAAAAAAAAAAAAAAAAAAAAAGACAGGAAGGCTACAATGAAGAAACAAAAGTCCTGTTTTGAAGCTGCAAAACTAGGCGATGACCCAGAATCTACTCCGATGTTATATATTTGGATGAGTTGAGGCAAGTCAAACTCAGTGGGGATGTTTTTGTTGTTGTTGTTCTTTATACTGAGTCCTTACGTCTTTTTGTGATTTACCTTTGTGAATTGAAAACTAGGCTGGTTTTTCAAAAAGGAATGATTAAATTGTGTGAGGAAAGTTAAAGAGCTTTTGCAATTTATTGACAGGATAACAAAATATGAATAAAACTAGAGTTCACTTCCAGCTTCCCCCCTTCCTTCCCATTTACAATGCTAACAATACTTCATCAGATATGGAAAATATTTATCACAGAAGCAAGACGAAGATTAATGCAGAGGATTATTCATTGCAGAGAAGCCCCACAACTTTATGTAAGTAAGTTATCTCTGCAATAACTTAATTTTCATATCTGCAAAATAGTAAGGCTGGACTGAAAATCTCTCGGGATTCTTGACAATCCTTGTGAATTTAGGGGCATATGTTATCACTAGATCAACCAGCACTGCTACCAGGATTAGTTTCAGGGATATGCGAACAGTTCAGAAATTTGTAGTCACACTATGCTATAAAAATGGGTCTGGCTGTTTTGTTTTGAAATCATAGTGTAACTTCTTAAGAATGAACTCCTTTACCAGCACACCTGGTATACAACCAATAATTGTGCTCCTCAGAAATGGTTCTCATCTAGCCAAAGCCTGGGCAGGATTCTAGAGCCCTGTTTTCTCTTTCTTCTCACCACAGGGCACTCTTATATTCTTATGACTGGACAAACTGTGTGAAGGTTAGATAGAAAGCCCCGTTGTTCACATGTTTTCATTAATTCAGTCTGACTTCTCCATTGCCTAAACTAAACCAACTGTATTTTTAAAACTCTGAACACTACAGCAGAGTCAAAGATTATCCAGGAGAAAATGGGCAAGAGCAGGGAGGCAGAAAGGAAAAAAAGGAAGAAAGTGACAAAAGGGAGAATTCAGAGGAAATAAAGATTGAGGTCACTATAGTCTTTTCTTGGTTACTTATTTTCTTCATACTTTCTGAACTTTTTTTCAGAAATGCAATGTGAAAGAATTTAACATCTGGTAATAAACTACATGTTTTCTGATTTGATGACATAGCCACTAGGAGGTATCACAGCCTCTGGCTACTGAAAATAATTTACTTATAGTAATAAAAATAGGCTTTGTAATTTGTTTTTCATAGTTCTTCAATCATTGGCAATGCCTTTAGCAGCACTGAAATAAATGGATGAACAAAATGTTACAATCCCAGTGCTAAATTGGCCACGCTAATATCAGGTACACCCAATGTCATCCAGACATCCCTGTTTTCCCCTAGAGATGGAGTAGCTCTTTTCCTCCTGTGTGGTATTCCATCTTAGCTGTTAGAAAATCCTTCCTTTTGTTGGGCTCAAATTCATCCCTCTAATTTTCTATTGACCGGTCTCATTGTTCTCCATTTGGACTATGTATAACAAGTGTCTTGTAAGTAGTAGAATTCTCCTGCATTTTGAGTAAAGCCATCTACTGTGTCTCCAGGCTCCATGCTCCCATGGGCCCAGTGGTTCCTCCTAGCACACTGAGGCTCCTCAACACCCATCATTTTCCTAGCAAACCCCTCCTCTGATTTATCTTTGTCCATCTCAATGTTTCCCAAGTTCACATTAGTTCTTCAATAGGCACAGCACCCTGTTGCCTCAGATTGAGTAGACTGTCCATTTAAAACCCTTAATTCTTGTTCAGATGTACCACTGCTGCTGGTTCTCTTAGCTTTTTGAAATTAAGTGCAGGGCCTCACATATACTTTTATTTAAATTTATCTTCTTAGATGAGCCCCATTATTTCTAACTATCCAGATCTTTTTTTATTATGCCATTCAATATATTAACTACTGTTGAAAGCTTTATGCCATCTGCAGCTTGATAAGCATGTCTTTTTGAACTTTACCTAATTCACTGATGAAACCGTTGAACAGACAAGACCAAGAAGAGAATAAATGACGCAGGACCAGAAAATGGATAATCTATGACAATCAATAGTAAATAATCAACCCATATTTTTCAAGTTAATTAATTCATAAAACACATTTGCCAATTACCTATTATGTGAAGCAAACAGGTGCTGCAGAAACAGGAGAAAACAGAACCAAGACTGCTCACTCAGAATTTGCATTCTAGTAAGAAATGATCAGTGTTCTTTAATTAGGGCATTAGTTTCCACGCACAATTCTCATATCGTTCAGTTTACATTTCTCAATTTGGTTTACAACACTTTTAGGAAAGACCTTATTAAGTGCCTTATGAACTGGTGATATACATGTGAAACACTAATCTTCTAGTCCAATAAGCTAATAAATTAAGAAAAATAAACTACTCTGAGATA
This sequence comes from Homo sapiens, assembly GCF_000001405.40. Lineage (NCBI taxonomy): Eukaryota > Metazoa > Chordata > Mammalia > Primates > Hominidae > Homo > Homo sapiens. The sequence goes on along the minus strand of NC_000015.10, from coordinate 33,365,897 downwards.
ACTTTTTTAAAAACCACTTTACTGAGGCATGACTGATATGTAAAAGGCTGTATATATATAATAAATGCAATTCAATGACTTGGGTCTAAGTGTACATCAGTGAAGCCATCACCACCACCAAGGCCACAGACATATCCATCATCTCCCAAAGTTTCCTCCTATCCCCTTTATTATTGTTACTACTTATTTATTTGCATAGTAAGAATATTTAACATGAGCTCTATCCTTTTAGAAAATTCTAAGTGTACAATACAGCATCGTTAGCTATTGGTGCTGTGCTGTATAGTAGATTAAATGACTTATTTTTGCTGAACTTAAGCTGGGTCCTGCCAATCACTGATGGCTTTTTTGAGTTTTTTCTAATGTCCCCAAACTACACTTTTCATGATCTATCCTAGTATCTTGTCTGGAATTGTGCAACTCACTACCCTGGAGTCTTTACCATCCACTGACTTCACTTTTAAATCTGGAAATGACTTCTCCTCCCTTCCTCTGCCCCTCGCAGTGCTGAGCACCTTTCTTGTCCTTCCACTCTTTCAAAGAGTCTATCAGAAAGTTCAGTGATTTCACTGACTGACTTTTGGTCCCATGGAATGGAATTCATCCAGTCCAGGAGTCATGAGCTCTCAATTCCACATAATTAATAAATGTTTATCCTCCCAATCTCAGGACATGGATAAACACTGTGGCCCCCAAGGAGGAGGGTTATCCAGTCTGTCCTATGCTGTGACTCTTTCTGCACCAGCTGAACTAAAATAGCTCTTAGTGTGGCCATTATTTTTCACAGGCATCAGCTGATCTGAGCCCTCAGCCCTCTGGGTAATGCTCCTACATGTTGCTGCTACCCTGTCATACTCCTCTTAGTTACATGTCCCTCTGTCCATCTTCAGTATGTGTCCTTTTTGCCTCTCAGCTCCTGAGAAAGCTGTTCTTATATACCTTCTTGTCTTCCTTCCTGAGATCGTTTGCAAGTGGCAGAGTTACTTTTTGAGACCTCCTTCCATTAATGAGCCCTCTTTCCTGTTAGAATTGCATACTGTGGAATTACATCTACTGCTCTTTTCTAAAGTTTCTGAAGCCTGCCTTGCCCAAATCTAAGGTTCTTCTGCCTTGTCATCTTTCCTTTTGTTTTGATGAACGTTAGATAGAATCCATTTCTTCTCAGATCTCTTTCTTCTCCAGCACATCAACCTGGGTCTTCCTTGTTGGACACAATTCTGTCTACCTTGTCACTTCTATATCTTAGGAGATGACTTTTTCAGCAAGGCCTGACAATGCATTGTCTGGTACGCTGCTTTTTAATTGAATGCATCTGCCTCTACAGGCCCAAATATTTGAAGTCTCCCACCATTACTCTATCTTGTATTTCTCCCTGCCTTGTGCCTATGGTTTTGCAAGCTGCTAGCAAATACCATGATCTGGATAAAATGAAGATGTAGAGGAAAGGGATAGATGGGGAACAGAAGGACCCTGCAAAGGGCTTCTCATGAGGTGTGCATGCTGCCTCAGTAAAATATAATCACTTATTTTAAAGTAACTATAGAAGCCTTTTGTTCCATATGAAACTCAGAGAAAAAGGAGAGTGAACAGGTTTGTGATGGAAGGAATGTCAACCACTGAGAGAAATGGTTTAGTGCAGCCTGGTCCAACAGAAATACAATGAGGCACCTATGTAATATAAATTTTCTATTAGCCACATTTTAAAAACAAAAAATAAACAGGTGAAGTAAATTTTAAAAACATTTTACTTAGCACAATATATCCAAGATATTTGTCATTTCAATGTATTCAATATAAGAAGTTACTAATGAGATATTATAAGTTTTTGAAACCTGGACTATCTTTCACACTCACTGCACACCTCAATTCAGAAGCTAAATTTTCATTGGAAATACTTGATCTGTATTTAGAGTTCATAAAATTTACAGTGGAAAAAGTAGATTCATATATCCAAGTAGTTTCAAACATACTTAAAAAGTTTTCCAGTAACTGGATCCAGTATCAGTTTTTAAATTTAAATTAATTAAAATTAAATAAAATTTTAAATTCCATTCCTCCATTGCATCAGCCACATTTCAAATGCTCAGGACCCACATGCAGCTGGTGGCTATCACACTGAACAGCACAATCTAGAGACACAGAAAGTTCTGAGTGTGAGAACCCATCTGTTAACAAAAATTTCTTGAGCTCAACACATAATAGTCATTTTATGTTAACATCTCATGATTGGCAACCTGCAAATTGACAAAAAGCTTGTACTCAGTAATTCCTTTAAATAATTTCAGCATACTCATTACAGCATCTACATATATTTGAAAAAAATACGGATACAAATATCTAAAAATAGGGTTTTTTAAAATATCCACATATGTGGATTTGAAAGACCACTGTATTAACATCTGCCATATCCTAGGAGCTTCCATGCCACTAGTTAGAATCTGCTGGCCAAAGGATCCTCTGTGTCCCAAAACTGAGCATGAGAAATCAGTACTGGTTAAAACAGAAGAGAAGGCTCTTAAGCCATTATCAACCTTTGGCATACTCACAAAAATTAGTTAACAAATGTTAGCGAGCCAACAATTCCATTCAGAACCAAGATGTTTTAGTTGGAGTGAGGGAGGGAGAGGCTAAGAGGGAAATTTTGGAGCACAGGTTACACCAGCTAAGTGAGCCTCTGCAAAAAGATGAAAAGAGAGAGAAAAAGAGCACCCTACCTACATAAGTTCTCTGCTTTCTCTCCTCTACCCAAGACTGACTGGTACACATGGCACCCTTGCAGTGTTCATTATATTTTATTTATTCATCAACAAATGGAGATGCCAGATGAAGGTTGCTGTGTTGGGGAAGGAGCAGTCAGGACAGGGTGAGGATATGAAGAAGTATATAACACACAGCCATGTCCAAAAGTCACTGCCCTGTTGTTCTCTAATAGGAGAGTACAGACCCAAGCTCAACTGCTGCCATCACATGGCAGAACAACGTGTCAGGTGTTATAAGGGAAGTGCAGATAAATGATACAGGTAACCCCCTGAGATTTCACAGAAAGAAGATGTTAATACTATCTGGGAGAGTTGGAGAAACCTTAAGGGAGAGGATGACTCTTGTGTTTTGCTCTGGTACTGAAGGACAGTCATGGTGTAGGATATTTCAAGGAAGGGCTCTCCAAGCATGAAGTCTAGTAGAAGAAAATATGTGGAAAAGCATGGGAGAGAACAGAGAGCGATCCAGCTCAATTCAAACACTGTATAGGTGAAAGGAAAAGCTGAGACTGACAAGGAAGGCTGAGGCCAACCTTGGCTTCCAGGCTAGGAGTTGGGTCCTCCTAAGTAGGACACTGGGAACCAATAAAAGCACTTGAACAGAAGATTTAATCATATGTGTGGATTTATATTAATACAAATGTGCAGGTTTATACCCATGAAATGGTGGTGATGAGATGATGATGCTGATGATGCTGATGCTGCTGCTGCTGCTGCTGCTGCTGATGATGATGATGATGACGACAGACATTTACCAAGTGGTTGCTGTGTGCCAGGCCCTATTCTACACGCTTTACACACATTAGTTCATTTAATTCTCCCCACAACCCTATGATGTAGAGAAGACAGGTTAACATCAGGCTGTTCATTTTGGATCACAGGGAGGGTAAAGACAATAGAAGGCAAAAATACCAAGCAAATAACGCAATAACACAAACCAATGGGGAATTCTATTTACAAGCACTATAGAGCATTCAGCACAAAAAGTAAGAGGCAACACACCGCAGGGGGCAAGGGTGCTGTGTTATTTACATATTAATCTTTTGCATTCACCTCTTGTGGGATTCCATGAAGATCAGGCCTGGCAATGGGTGAGTGGCCACTGGTCAGGAGGCTCAGCCTTGGGAATGCGGCAACTTAGCCGGCCTCCAGTCAGTTACCTTCCTGGGCTCCCACTGAACCTTGCTCACTGAGGAAGATGCTGGGCTTGGATCACTCTTTCTCCTAAGTATGGTTTCCTGACAACAAGCATCACAGTCATCCAAGAATTGCTAAAAATGCAGATTCCTAAGCCCCATCCCGGATCAATTAGCTTCAAGTCACTGGGAGTAGGTTGTGGGAATCTGTGTTTTCAACACACCACCAGCTACTCCTCACGCACTAGGTTTTGGGTATCACTGGCTCATTTGTTAGCCAGGATGCTCCCAGTGCAGAAGGGAACAATATAAAATAGAGTCTCTTCAAGGCTGGGGAACTTGTAAAGGAAGTCACAGCGAAGGAAGTCCTTTCTGCTGCTTATTTAGCCCCTATTTTACACTCGTGATGCTGCCTGAGGCCCAGGTACCTGCAATCCTTGCAGTCTCTTTTACCTTATTCTGCTCTGTCTACTCTTTGAAAGGTGCAATGCTAAACACCCCTGAAATTCACTCTTCCTCATTCTCTTCCTTTATCCTATTGGTATAAAGTATTTACTGCTGCCATGCACTTTCTACCTTGCTAAAATGGAGACGGCCCATGCATGGTTAGGTAGTTTTATTTCTGCAACCTTTTATAAAAACTGTATTCATGTATATTCGCTTGCCATCCTTTCAATTAAGCTGTAATCTGCTGAGGGATTCTATCCTTTGTAATAATTCTGCATCATGTGTTCAGCAAGTGTCCAATGGAGAGTCCCAGATGTGAAAGAAAGGGGTGTCTTTACCAAAGAGGAGAACTGAGATCCAGTATCCATTTCTCACTATCTACATGGAAGCTGCAACAGAAAACCTACCCCAGCCCAGCTGCTGACCTGGATCCAGGCCATGAGAAATGTGGGCCCCAGCTGTATGCAGGCTGAGAAGCCTCCAGCTAGAGGGGAACACACCATGTGCTCCAATCAGAATAGGAGCTGCAACATCTGCTTTTCCCTCAATACAGCCATTACTGCTCGGTGCTGAGAGGAGAAAGCTAGGGAACAGCAGTGGGATTGGGGCAGAGAGAAGGGAATCAATGGGGAAGTGGGTGTGCAACCTCTGCTCAGGTCTGTCTACTGTCCTGTCTCCAGGAGCAGAGGGCTGGCCACACTAAAGCATAGGCCAGATTCCTTGGCTGCCTTGGGCTATAGAAAATAATTTACCTTCAATGAAAGATGCAAAACTCAGGCACTTTGGAGTTAAGCCACCCAGGTGCAAACCCCACTCCAACACACTGGCTGTGTGTTCTTGGGAATGTCACTGACCCTCTCTAAGGCTCCAATTCTTCACTTCCAAAATTCATTCAAAATATATTTTAAGCCATATCTAGGTATTTAGTAGAGAGAAATGAAAATGTGTGTCTTCAGGAAGACCTATGTATAAACATTCAGAACAGCTTTATTTATCACATCCAAAGACCAGAATCAACCCAAATATTCATATCAGCAGGTGAACTGGTAAACTGTGATATATCCATACAAAGTCATAGTACTCAGTAATGAAAAGGAATAAACTTCTGGTACATGCCGTAACATAGATCAATCTCAAAAACATTATGCTGAGAAAAAGAAATCAGGCACAAAAGAGCATATACTGTAGGATTCCATGTACACAAAATTCTAGAAAAGACAAACCTAATCTATAGTGATAGAAAGCAGGTCAGTGACGGCCTGGGGCTGGGAGTGGGAGATGGGCAGGGACTGACTGTGGAGGGGTGGGGGAAACTGTCCTATCTCACGACTGTAAGAGTGATTATACAGGTCTACTTGTCAAATGATTCATTTGAATGGGCACTATTTTTGCATTCAAGTGATATCTCAAAATTTATTTATATGGAGCACCGCCACGAGTCAAGTACTAAGTGCTGGAATATGATATGAACAAAACAAAATCCCGGAACTTGTGAAACTTACAGTCTAAAGAGGAGAGACAGATAATCAATGCATAAAAATAGATTCAATTCATAATGATAAATGCCATTAAAAAAATAAAGCAGGGTAAGGGTATGGAGAGTATCATAGGCACTATTTAAATAAGGGGTCAGGAGGCCGGGCCCGGTGGCTCACGCCTATAATCCCAGCACTTTGGGAGACCGAGGCGGACGGATCACGAGGTCAGGAGATCGAGACCATCCTGGCTAACACAGTGAAACCCCGTCTCCACTAAAAAATACAAAAAAAATTAGCCAGGCTTGGTGGTGGGCGCCTGTAGTCCCAGCTACTTCGGAGGCTGAGGCAGGAGAATGGCGTGAACCCAGGAGGCAGAGCTTGCAGTGAGCCGAGATCGCGCCACTGCACTCCAGCCTGGGTGACAGAGTGCGACTCCGTCTGAAAATAAATAAATAAATAAATAAATAAATAAATAAATAAATAAGGGGTCAGGGAAGGCCTCTCTAAAAAGACTGTGTTTGAGCAGAAACCTCAGTGAAGTGAAAGGCTGAGAGAGGATGTGAGCCATGGGGCTATCTGGGGAAAGAGTATCCCAAGTACTGACAACAGGACATGCAAAGGCCCTGGGGCAGAGTGGTGTCTGGTGCAGTTGAGAAACAGCAGGGAAGCTGCTGAGGCTGAAGCCAAGGGAGGAAGGTGAAGAGTCGGGAAAATAAAGACACACAGGGGCTTTAAAGACTGTAGGAAGACTGTAGGTGAGGAATTTGGAATTTAAGTACGCTGGAAAGTGAGTAGAGGCCTTTGTCTGTTTGTTGTGTTGTTATTGTTGTATTTTTTCTGAAAGAGAAGAAAAATGCTTTGATATTATCTGTGTTTTAAGAGTATCATGTTGGTTGCTGTGAAGAGAAGAGGTGGAAGTGGGTAAAGATGGAAGCAATAGTTATGAGACTATCACACCGTTGGAGCAAGAGATGACAGGGGCCTAAACTAGGGTGTAACAGTGGAGAATGTGTTCAGGGTAAATTTGGAGAGTAGAGTTCCTACTTCATAGGTTGGCTCTGAAGAAACACTGAAAAGTATTTAGAATGCTCTAAGCACCTGAAAAATACTTAAAATACTCAAAGCACATGAAATAGTGCTTAGAAAAGTACTTAGAATGTTCGAAAGAAAATGAGCTTAGAATAGTGCCTAGCACCTAGTTAAGCCCTCAGCCATGTGACCTAGGATTGCCACTCTTCTTTGGTAAAAGAACACTCATCGTCCCTCAGGAGAAGAAAGTGCCTCATTATTTTGGTCAAAAGATTGTAAGTCTCATTTTTATAAATTTAACTACCGCTAAGGCGCTAGGTACTGCAAAAGAAGCAAAATCTAACAGAGTATTAAAATTAAGTTTAAACCAAGTCCTTTTTTTTTTTTTTTTTTAACGATACCACTTCCCAGATTTCAACAAGTGTGACAAGGCATTTAAATCAAATCTTTTGTGGGGCAGGGATTAAGGACCACAGCTGCACCACAGTCCTGGGCTGACTCATGGCCAGTCACCACGTCTCTGCAGCCTTTTCACAGAAGTACAAAAGTGTTTTCTTTGTGGAGACAGGACTTAATTTGATGCATTTCAACCCTGTCTAAATTCCCCTCTTTATGGGCCAGACAGATATACTGTCAAACAAATTCCAAGTAAGCCAAACAGAGGCTGAGAGAATTTGTCAGTGGAGAAAGGCAAGTTTCACTTATTGTTGATAGACTGAGTTCCAGATGGGCAGCAGTGCCTCAGTAGGTAGAGTGCCCAGCAAAGGGGCAGACCCTGCACCCCACTAAGCACTTTCTGGGGACCTGGCAGCTTGTTCTTAACCTGGAAAATAAGTCCATGAAGTCGGCATTATTATCCTCACTTTACCAAGGAGGAAAGCAAGGCTCAGAGGAGATATACAACTTGTCAGTGGTCACTCAGCCAGGATTGGACCCAACCTGACTCCATACTCTTCCCATGACTCTACTCTACCAGCTTAGAAGAAAGTAATTAGAGGTTAAGAGCGTGCCCTGACACATGCTGCTCAGGTAAAAGGCACTGATGTATGCTTTTGCCCCTGGCAAATGCAAGGACAGAATCACTTACTGGCTACACTGCTGTAAGAGTTTGGACACAGCCCTCCTTCTAGTAAAGTTTTTCCATCTGATCCAACGTAAGTTTGCCATTCATGTAAAATACTTCCGTGTAAAAGAACCAAAACATGATTAGGCTCGCTGGTGACTGCTGGGGGCGGTGCTGGGGGAAGATTACCCTGTATGTTTGTTTTAAAATAGTCAATAATGTCCAATTAATGAAGGAACAGGTTGTTTCTTAAAATACTTATAAATGAAGGTGGAGTTTTCTTTTTTTAAGTGAAAGCAAGTTTATTAAGAAAGTAAAGGAATAAAGAATGGCTACTCCATAGGCAGAGCAATCAAACTCTAAATTTTCTATGATATCAATAGATTATTGCCTGTTTTAAGCAGGCACTATAAAATAACCTGCAAGACAAAAATGCAGGAAGTTGGAAAATCTGGATGTGTTAGCTGGAGAACAGGGTTCTGATTTTAAAATTTGAAGGTTTTGAATGCCAGAAAAATTCTAAAATGTAAGAGGGTATTGACAGGTGAGGGTGACAAAGGGTGACCCTTGTGTCACTAGAGAGGAGAGTGATACCCAGGTTGTGCCCTCACCTACCGGGACTCACCTTTTCTCTTGTCCAATGTGGAAATTAAGTTTTCCAAAACAAGTAAATTCATAAAGGACAGGATTGCTGTTTTTGTTTGTTTTATTAAGAAAATCTTTCTTGATCCATTCAAGACCAGATCTGAAGTTATTTTAAAGAAACCCAGCAGTGTCCACATAATTCAGGTCTGATAAGTGGCAGAAGTAGGGCTGGGCCCTCCTTCAAAATTTTTAGACTTCTGTTTGCTGCAAACACCACATATGTCCAGGACCAGGCCACGTGGTAGGAAAGCAAAGTCAGAGGTGGCATACAGGCAGGGAAAGCAGGTGAGATAGACAAGTGAAGGATGGGACACGACACCTTCCACTTCCTAAAGACCCTTCCAAGAGAACAGAGCATGAGTCACCAGCCATAAGGAATCACTCCTTTCCAAAGAAGCATCCAGGATACATTACCTAGTAATAAATGGTATTGCTCAACTATGGCCCCCGAAGGCCTATTTTTCCATATTATAATTATTACTACCTGTGATTTACTGGATTCTTACTATATGCCACATTAGAGGAGAGTTAAATGCTACATTAGTTCTCAGAGAGCAAACCTCAATCTTACCTTACTAAATGGCACACACAGAAAAAATCTACAGATGAGGGAACAGAGAGTATCTACTTATAATTTGCAAGTATCTACTTATACTTACACTTACTCCTTACTACTTACCTCTCTCATTTAATCCTCAAAATAAACATATTATGTGTCTATAATCATTCTCATTTTACTAAGGGAGAAAGTAAAATTCAGAGAGATTATACATAATTTTGTTTATTTTGATATGTTCTTAATTATCATTATTTCTTAGATCTGTGCCACTATGTCCATAGAGAAAAGTCCACAAATTCAAATTCAGACTTCTAAGCCTACCTGCAAAGTGGCAGACTGTAACCAGAGGGCCACTTTCATGTGGATCACCCTCACCTACTCTTATTTTTCTCACTTGTTTATGATGGAAACAAAAATAACACTAACGACTGAAATTTAGACACAGCATATCACAAAGCACACCAGCATACTTCATTGCAGCCTTGTGACAATGCTGTGAGGTAGAAATGACAGTTATTCTGCTTTAAGAGAAAAGGGATCTTAGGTTTAGTTGAGGTTATAAAGATTGCCAGAGGTATCTAGTAAGAGTCAGACATAAGACTAACACGGACCTTCTCACTCCAAAATTCCTTTCCAAATAACCATGCTGCTCCTTCACTTAGATTCATGGAACCTCATCGTATGCATGATTCACAAATCTATACTCACAGTTCTTATCTATCTCTGAAACTGAGAACCCCCCGCCATCCATCTGCAGGAAATCTCCACCTGAATGTCCTACAGCTGAAGGTCTCACTCTTCTGTTTCTCTCACAGTATCTACTACAGGGTTCTATATGAAGCAGGCACTTAACAAGTTTTGAATAGACAAATGACATATTTCAAAGGAAAAAGGAGAAAGAAGCCAATAACTGAGCTGAATTGTGTGGCGGGAACCTAGGGAGTATAGGGATCAGACAGATACTAAGTTCTCATCCTCTCCACCCAAGATGAATATCATTGGCACCGGTTATACCTAGCTAGGGGATCAGGGATGAGAAGCAGCCATCTTCTTCTGGTGGCCCAAGTGACAAAGGGCCTCCATATAGTCAGCTACAATGGAAGCAACACCAGCCTGGAAGGTTTTAGACACTCTTGATGACTAGATTAAAGGCTCTTTAAAATTACCTAAGAAAATATGGCAGAAGAGAAGCCTAAAGATTAAATCGTGGCTTTGATTGTCTTATGACTTCCACAGCATTTGCGAACCTATCTCTGATGCTTATTAGCGATGTCAGCTTTCACAAACACCTTAAAGTTTTTCAACCTCAGTTTCCTTACATGTACAGTAGGAAAAATAACATACATCTCATAGGGTTGCTGGGAAGGCTGCTATGTGATGCTATAGGTACCATATGATGCTAAATAAATATTAATTACCATAAGCACGAGTCTTATTCTCCTGGCCATTAAATAATATAATATGACTGCAAGTTAGAAACCTTCACATTTAAATAGTGAATTCATAATTTTGCCTGATCTCATGCTTTGTGTTTTGGAAAATATAAAGATGACAAGTCTGGCCAAGCCAACTAATACATGATTTTTTTTTTTTTTTTTTGAGGGAGTTTCACTCTTGTCCCTCAGGCTGGAGTGCAATGGCACGATCTCAGCTCACTGCAACCTCCGCCCCCCAGGTTCAAGCGATTCTCCTGTCTTAGCCTCCTGAGTAGCAGGGATTACAGGCGTGTACCACCACGCCCGGCTAATTTTTGTATTTTTAGTAGAGACGGGGTTTCACCATGTTGGCCAGGCTGGTCTCAATCTCCTGACCTCAAGTGATCTGCCCGCCTCGGCCTCCCAAAGGGCTAGCATTACAGGCATGAGGCCACTGCACTCGGCCCCAACTAATACATGATCTTGGTTGTAGGAATAATTCATGATGAATGCTGCCGAAAGGTGGTTTTCAACTGATCCTGTCAGAGACAGGCCAATAAAGTCCAACTACTTTACTTGTGAATTGCTAAGGAAATTGAGCATCACGGAAAATAGTAAGCTTCCAGATCAACCTTGATAAACCACCTCCTGAAAGAAAGATGTACTTATTTTATAAAGAGTATATGTGAGAGTTAGTGAGAAACTACTCCCACACCACAACTTCCCACCAAGCACAGAAAGCTGATTAAATCAATTCCAGGGCAGGCTTGCAAAGAAGATGAAAGGCTTGGCATTCTTGAATAATAACAAGTCAAGAGCTGCATTATGAAGTGATACTTGACACTTAGCAGTTTTTCTTTTTTGTAAAGATGCTCTCATTTACAGGATTTTGAAATGACTTTGAGCATTTCCCCATGGGTAGGTTCAAGGCTTCATAGGTGACATTAGTCAAAATGTTTGCACTTGTGTGTGCAGTTTGCAGAAAGAAAGCAAACAAGAGGCAATGCTCTACCAGAAGTGAGGGAGGGCAGACCAGATTCCAATGTGAGAAATAAAGCTGGGTGGATAGGAACACTAAGAAATGGGCATCTTACTACATGGTTCTTTCACAGTGGTTTCTTGGTAGATGCTGCAGAGAGGCTGAATTTAACAGCTGTAGGTTGACTGCCTCTCAAAGGAATTCTCATAGATGCCACCTGTATCTGAGAAAATGGGATGTTAAACATTTATGTTGGGCAGTAACAATAAGTACTCACCAAATTTTGCATTTTCCAACTTCTTTTGCTGTAGAACCCAAACCACTTGTCAAAGAATCAAAAGAGTGACCCTAAGAGGTCATGTCAAGCTTTCCTTTGATTCTGGGCAGCCGTCAGATAAATCAATGTCCAATCTGCTCTTCAAGGATCTTTCAAAAGGCTGGAGTCACAGTTTTCCATTCCCCAGAGTTAAAACATGATTTATTTTATGGAAACTAAATTTCTCCTACCATAAAGAATTTTCTTTCACATAGGTGTTACAAAGGATGGGATGTGTTATTCTTATATAGGATGCCTTCTTCTGCAATATCTGCCCTAGACCTACCTGAAAAAAAAATCACCATTAGACTGTCTGTTAATTGAGGGAAAACTGCTCCGCAGGAGTATTTCACAGAATCACAGCAACAAAGAACTTTAGAGGTAGGGAAAAGAAACTTCATGATCTGTGGATTCAACCCCTGATTTTAAAGTGTAGGTGTTCCTCCACTAGGGCAACCATCCATTCCAGATGGGGTTTCTAGGATGTGGGACTTTCAGTGGTAAAATCAAGACAGTCTTGGGCAAACCAGTATGGTTAGTTGTCATATTTTCCACTCAGATTCAATCTAACAGCAAATCTGGTTAGCTTTACCTCCCAAATAAGCTTCAAATCTGATGCCTTCTCCCCAACTCCACTGCCACCAGATGGTCCAAGATATTTTGTAGCTTTGCCTATTGTGATCACTCCCTAACATGTTTCTCTGCTTTTGCTCCTGCCCAACTAAAATCCCTTTTATGCGCACCTTCAAGGGTGACCTCTCCAGAAAAAGCAAAAAAGTTATCAAATCACATCAGTATTCTCCTTAAAATTCTTCAGTTACTTTCCTTGGCATATAGAATAACAGAAATATCTTACCAAGGCAAAAATCGGACTTGGCTGTATATTACTATCTTCCCCACAGTTGACTTAGGCTGTTCTAATTTAAATTCAAGCTAAATATAAAAAATGCACTCATATACCTTAGAGAAGAGGAATGAAGAAGATGAAACAACACTAGAACTGCTGCTCTAAACCTTTCTACTTTATCTAATAAATGTCAGAGAAGGTTTCATAGAGTAGGTGCTCCATTTTGGGGGGCACTTTCAAAAGGAGAGCTCATGTTAGGTCCGGGGTAGATTTCCAAGTGCATAGTAAATATAACATATTAAAAGAAGAGCAAACAGGTCCCCATCGTCCTCGTGTGTTAAGTGAAATATTTGGAACTGCTTGAACCTACTTCCTAGAAATCATCCAGTTACAGCTTTAACCTTAGCTCTCTAAATGACCACCATGAGTAAACAGAAGTGGGCATAGGTATCTGTTTTAAAAGCTATTTGTAGTAGTCAACCTTGAAACTCAGTAAGAGTAATCAAATACTTTCCCAGTAAAACTTTTGCTTGTGAATAATATTCTATGCATTGTTAGCTTAAAGAGTATCAGACCCAAAGTAACTGCAGCACAGAGAAATACCACTGTCTTTTTAAAGCCACGCAGCTGATAATGAGCAGAGACAAAACGAAGCACCAAGTCTCCTAGGATTTTGTGCACCTCCTCATTGCTTCTATCTCGTTAAGTCAACAAGGGCAGACTCCAGAGTGTGGTGGGCTTGGCTCAGCAGTGGGAATCTAGACCAGTGGTTATCAATATAGAAAGGGGAAGAAGAAAGCACTGACTGTATCAAAATAATTGATCTCACCTAGCACCAGAAGAATTCAACCCTAATTCTCAGAGCTATTCTCTGAGAGTAAAGAAAATGGCCATAAAATTTAAAAACACATGAAAGACACTGGTAAGAGGATGAGAAGATAAGCCACAGAAAGGGGAAAATATTTGCAAAACACATATCTGATAAAGGAACTGTAACTAAGGCCCATCTATGTAAGGATTTGATAAAGACTGAAAATATTTTTTTAAAACTCAACAATTTAAAAAAAATGATTTAAAAACGGGCAAAAGATCTGAACAGTCACTTCACTAAAGAAGGTACACAAGAATGCTTGTGATTTTTGTGCATTGATTTTGTATCCTGAGACTTTGCTGAAGTTGCTTATTAGCTTAAGGAGATTTTGGGCTGAGACAATGGGGTTTTCTAGATATACAATCATGTCATCTGCAAACAGGGACAATTTGACTTCTTTTTCCTAATTGAATACCCTTTATTTCCTTCTCCTGCCTAATCGCCCTGGCCAGAACTTCCAACACTATGTTGAATAGGAGTGGTGAGAGAGGGCATCCCTGTCTTGTGCCAGTTTTCAAAGGGAATGCTTCCAGTTTTTGCCCATTCAGTATGATATTGGCTGTGGGTTTGTCATAGATAGCTGTTATTATTTTGAGATACATCCCATCAATACCTAATTTATTGAGAGTTTTTAGCATGAAGGGTTGTTGAATTTTGTCAAAGGCCTTTTCTGCATCTATTGAGATAATCATGTGGTTTTTGTCTTTGGTTCTGTTTATATGCTGGATTACATTTATTGATTTGCATATATTGAACCAGTCTTGCATCCCAGGGATGAAGCCCACTTGATCATGGTGGATAAGCTTTTTGATGTGCTGCTGGATTCGGTTTGCCAGTATTTTATTGAGGATTTTTGCATCAATGTTCATCAAGGATATTGGTCTAAAATTCTCTTTTTTGGTTGTGTCTCTGCCCGGCTTTGGTATCAGGATGATGCTGGCCTCATAAAATGAGTTAGGGAGGATTCCCTCTTTTCTATTGATTGGAATAGTTTCAGAAGGAATGGTACCAGTTCCTCCTTGTATCTCTGGTAGAAATCGGCTGTGAATCCATCTGGTCCTGGACTCTTTTTGGTTGGTAAGATATTGATTATTGCCACAATTTCAGATCCTGTTATTGGTCTATTCAGAGATTCAACTTCTTCCTGGTTTAGTCTTGGGAGAGTGTATGTGTCGAGGAGTTTATCCATTTCTTCTAGATTTTCCAGTTTATTTGCGTAGAGGTGTTTGTAGTATTCTCTGATGGTAGTTTGTATTTCTGTGGGATCGGTGGTGAGATCCCCTTTATCATTTTTTATTGCATCTATTTGATTCTTCTCTCTTTTTTTCTTTATTAGTCTTGCTAGGGGTCTATCAATTTTGTTGATCCTTTCAAAAAACCAACTCCTGGATTCATTAATTTTTGAAGGGTTTTTTGTGTCTCTATTTCCTTCAGTTCTGCTCTGACTTTGGTTATTTCTTGCCTTCTGCTAGCTTTTGAATGTGTTTGCTCTTGCTTTTCTAGTTCTTTTAATTGTGATGTTAGGGTGTCAATTTTGGATCTTTCCTGCTTTCTCTTGTGGGCATTTAGTGCTATAAATTTCCCTCTACACACTGCTTTGAATGTGTCCCAGAGACTCTGGTATGTGGTGTCTTTGTTCTCGTTGGTTTCAAAGAACATCTTTATTTCTGCCTTCATTTCGTTATGTACCCAGTAGTCATTCAGGAGCAGGTTGTTCAGTTTCCATGTAGTTGAGTGGTTTTGAGTGAGTTTCTTAATCCTGAGTTCTAGTTTGATTGCACTGTGGTCTGAGAGATAGTTTGTTATAATTTCTGTTCTTTTACATTTGCTGAGGAGAGCTTTACTTCCAAGTATGTGGTCAATTTTGGAATAGGTGTGGTGTGGTGCTGAAAAAAATGTATATTCTGTTGATTTGGGGTGGAGAGTTCTGTAGATGTCTATTAGGTCCACTTGGTGCAGAGCTGAGTTCAATTCCTGGGTATCCTTGTTGACTTTCTGTCTCATTGATCTGTCTAATGTTGGCAGTGGGGTGTTAAAGCCTCCCATTATTAATGTGTGGGAGTCTAAGTCTCTTTGTAGGTCACTCAGGACTTGCTTTATGAATCTGGGTGCTCCTGTATTGGGTGCATATATATTTAGGAAAGTTAGCTCTTCTTGTTGAATTGATCCCTTTACCATTATGTAGCGGCAATTCCTCAGGGATCTAGAACTAAAAATACCATTTGACCCAGCCATCCCATCACTGGGTATATACCCAAAGGACTATAAATCATGCTGCTATAAAGACACATGCACACGTATGTTTATTGCAGCACTATTCACAATAGCAAAGACTTGGAACCAACCCAAATGTCCAACAATGATAGACTGGATTAAGAAAATGTGGCACATATACACCATGGAATACTATGCAGCCATAAAAAATGATAAGTTCATGTCCTTTGTAGGGACATGGATGAGATTGGAAATCATCAGTCTCAGTAAACTATCCCAAGAACAAAAAACCAAACACCGCATATTCTCACTCATAGGTGGGAATTGAACAATGAGAACACATGGACACAGGAAGGGGAACATCACACTCTGGGGACTGTTGTGGGGTGGGGGGAGGGGGGAGGGATAGCATTGGGAGATATACCTAATGCTAGATGACGAGTTAGTGGGTGCAGCGCACCAGCATGGCACATGTATACATATGTAACGAACCTGCACATTGTGCACATGTACCCTAAAACTCAAAGTATAATTAAAAAAAAAAAATCTGAAGAAAAAAAAAAGAAGGTACACAAATGGGAGGAAAAAAGCATATGAAAAGATGCTTGGCGTCATTCGTCATTAGGGAATTGCAAATTAAAACAATGAGATACCATTAAACATCTATTAGAATGGATAAATTCAGAAAACTGACATATTAAATGCTGGTAAGGATGGCAAGCAACAGGAACTCTCATTCATTGCTGGTGGGAACTCAAAATGGTGCAGCCACTTTGGAAGACAGTTTGGCAGTTTCTTATAAACTAAACCTGCTCTTACCATACATCTAGCATTCACGCTCCTAGGAATTTACCCAATTAGGCTGAAACCTTATGTCTACACAAAACGTGTATGTGAATCATTACTAGTAGCTTTAGTCATAATTCCCCAAAACTGGAAGCAATTAAAATGTACTTCTATAGGTAAACAGATAAACAAACTGTGGTACATCCACCCTGTAGAATATTATCTAGCAAAAAAAAAAAAAAAAAAAGGCACAAGCTATCAAGCCACAAAAAGATACAGAGGAACCTTAAGTGCATATTGCTAAGCAAAAGAAACCAGTCTGAAAAAGCTACCTACTGTATGATTCCAATTACATGACCTTTCGGAAATGGCAAACTATAGAGACAATGAAAATATCAGTGGCTGCCAGGGTGTCGGGGGGAGGAGAAAAAAATAAAACACAGGGGATTTTTAGGGTGATAAACTATTCTGTATTATGCTGCAATAGTGGATACATGACACGACACATCTGGCAAAACTCGCCAAACTTCACAGCACAGAGTGAAACTTAATGCATGCAATTTTTTTTTTTTAAATTAGGCCAGGCGCAGTGGCTCACGCCTGTAATCCCAGCACTTTGGGAGGCAGAGGTGGGCAGATCACTTGTGGTCAGGAGTTCAAGACCAGCCTGGCTAACATGCTGAAACCTTGTCTCTACTAAAAATACAAAATTAGCCCGGGCATGGTGGCGCACGCCTGTAGTCCCAGCTACTCAGGAAGCTGAGGCAGGAGAATAGCTTGAACCCGGGAGGCAAAGGTTGCAGTGAGCCAAGATCATGCCATTGCACTCCAGCCTGGGCAAAAAGAGTGAAACTCCATCTCAAAAATAAATAAATAAATAAAATAAAATCACTTAGGTCAGGAGACCTCAGGAAAGAATGAAGACAATGACAGGAGAATCTAACTGTATTACCATGTATGAAACAACCTCACTGAAGTGAGAGAGGAAAAGATGCCAACCTAAGTAACTCTGGAAATGAATGAAGTCTGTAAGACTACAGGCTATAGGAACTGCATGTAAACACTGTACTGCAGTGAAGTTGTTTCCCACAGGGGTTATGGGCTAACAATTTTGATACAGCTATCTATGTATACTAGAACTGAACAACTTAGTAAATGCAGGGCAGATGGTGTGAGACAGGTTTCTCACTGCGGGAGTAGAATTTATAGATAAGCAAAGGGAGAAGGCCAGAATAATCCATGTGATAATGTATAGAGTTGAAGATATCAATCAGCACTCATGTTTAGCTTACTAGAGACACAGATTGTTACATATAGGAATGTTTATAGATGTATGTATATACTACTCTTAATATACATACATATCTTTCTTTGCTCTGTCAGTTAAAAGTGCCAAAAAAAAAAAATGCCAGTAGCAACAAGGGTACATAGTACCTGGAAGTTGGTTTCTGATATCACTCTCCAATGAAAGGAACTAGGGTTCCTGGAAGAAATGGCTGATTCTAGGACTGGGGCAGAAAATATACAAGATGAGCCTGGAATACCTTCTAGTGTCAGAAAGTAAGGAAGTCCTAAAAGCAAATTTTGTTTAATTGATGGGCTATGACAAAGGGGCACAGGAGCCAATTCAAAGAGCTCCCACACTTTGGGAGGCTGAGGCGGGCGGATCACGAGGTCAGGAGATCAAGACCATCCTGGATAACACGGTGAAACCCCGTCTCTACTGAAAAATACAAAAAATTAGCCAGGCATGGTGGCGGGTGCCTGTAGTCCCAGCTACTCAGGAGGCTGAGGCAGGAGAATGGCATGACCCCGGGAGGCGGAGCTTGCAGTGAGCCGAGATAGCACCACTGCACTCCAGCCTGGGCGACAGAGCAAGACTCCGTCTCAAAAAAAAAAAAAAGCTCCCAATGTCCAAATCTGACACAACATGAGCAACAAGATGAAGTGATATTGGACTATAACTCAAGATACAGAATAAATATCCATGATTCCATTTATTTACATTCATGATATAAATCAATGATTGAATAAATTAATAGAACAGGAGAAAAGACATCCTCCATGCAGAAGACTTCCAAATCATTTATGCGGATTCTCTGCCCTTAAACAGGTGGAACATACCTCTTCACTCCTTAAGTGTAGGCTGTGCATGGTGACTTCCCTCTGAAGGGGACATTATGGGGGTAACTTTACTGTGGAGAAAGCCAACAAGTACTATGTCAGCCAGGTGATCAAGGTCAGCACCAACAGTCAACATATTGATAATATGGACCCATGATATGACATGATGAAAATGGCATTTTACATCTGTGATCTTCCTCCCCAAAACACATACTCCCAGCCTAATCATGAGAAAAACACCAGATGCATGTCTGTCCACCACCATGCCCAGCTATTTTTTTAAAATTTTTGTGGATACAGGGTCTTGCTATGTTGCCCAGGCTGGTCTCGAACTCCTGGCCTCAAGCAACCCTCCCACCTAAGCCTTCAATTTTTATTTTAATCTAAAATAAAGCCTAGTAATTTTAAAAATCAATAACACTAGTTTGGATTCTAACGTGCTTTTAGGGCCTTTACAAATAAAGCAAGCACGATTATGCTGGAGGCCCCCTTTTCTGGTGTACTTACTTATAAAGCAAAGTTCAGGGGAAAACCTTGCCTACCATTTTTTCTGATATCAAGAGGATTTCTAATTACTACAAGGTGCCCCCCGCACAACAGGGCATTTTGAAGAATTTTGAACTCCAACAGTAGATACAGAATACCAGTTCTTACATTTGGATATCAATATTTGAACTATTTCTCTGGATAATGCCCAGAATAAAAGATGAAGCCATACATAAACCACTGTGCTCTCCTTCCAAATGGTTCCAGGGTTCCTGCTCTTGCAGCTGCATGGGTTACTGCCACACTTTGGGTGCAAATTGTATTGGAGGATTCAGGTAAATAATAAGGAGAAGAGAATTTTCCTCCATTAATTTCAGTAGCACTGCTTTGAAACCACTGAGGTCAGTATGTAGACACAATAAAATGTCACAGTGTTCTCTTTAGAGAAATTACAATCTATTTTCGTTCAATACATTTTTGTGACCAACTCCCTCTCAGTTATGTCCTTCTCACTCCAACACATACACGCACACAGCCATCTAAAAATCTAGTGTTGTATTTCTCTAATTTCCAAGAATCACCTGTCACCTCTATTTTGCAACCACAAAGATCAATATCCTTTGGAAGTTGGTATAGTATTATTGTTTTAAAAATAGGAAAAAATATATATAATGATGGTTTAAAATGATACTTCCATTCAATGAAATGCTGTATAAGCCTTTTTCAAATAAATACAGTAACATCTAACATATCTAAGATAATTATGTAAAAACACAAAGTTACTAAATAGAACATAACTAGATTTTTATTAAGAAATGGCGCATGTTAATACATTCAAAAAAGCATTTAGAGAAATGTATGCCAAACCGCTTTACTGGGTGGATGGAATGATTAAGGATTTTCACTTTCATGTAGGGATTTCAGTAATGGTTAAACTTTTGTAAACAGAGCATATTCTTTTTGTAGTTTGGAAAATTTTCCATATTAAAAACTATGTATTTTCTCTTGAACACTGTGTAGCCTGATGCAATGAGGTGCTGGGAATTCAGTGGAGAGCGTCACACTCTTCTCCTTCTGCTCTGCTGGGACCCAGGCTGGACCCAGAATACAAAGTCTGTACTCTGCATGGCAGAGTACAAAGTCTGAGACCCTCTCCTTAGTCTTGTGGCTGGTCTAGAATGAACACTGTTACTCCTGTGCAGAATTTATATTTAAAACTCCATCGTGAAAACATTTATAGAAGCTTTTCCAGGAACATGGGCCTTTAGAGCGGTAAGGAACCTAAGAGGCCACCTAAGAGCCTGGGAGGTCAAGGCTGCAGTGAGCTGTGATTGCACCACTGCACTCTAGCCAGAGTGACAAAGGGAGAACCTGTTTCAAAATAATAATAATAATAGTAGCTGCTGAAAATTATAAAATAGCTGCTAGATGATATCTTATATAGTCCTTTGTAATGCTGTGAGCTAGGAGCTCCATGCCTGGCACATAGTGGCTACTCAATAAATATTTATTTAGTGCATAAGTTGATTGCTGAAGAGTAGGTAGGCTTATACTCTGTTCTATTCTTCTTTTTCCTGAGTTTGTAATATAGATTTTGGCAACTCTATCTCAGTTACTTCATACTGAACTTGCAAAAAAAAGAAAAAGAAAAGAAAAGAAAAAAAGCAGTGGACTAGAAACGAGACAACCTGAGTTCTCATTCTGGTTATGTTATTTATCAGCTGTGCAAACTTGGGGAAGTCAGTTCACATCTGTGCAAGCCTCCTTCCTACCTGCAAAATGTGGGAGAATTGGGAAAGTGGATTTCAGCAACAAAATTCTGAACATCAGCTATAGCATCAGAACTTCTGCTAACCCTCTGTCATGCTTAAGCTCAAGACTTTTCAATTATACTTATTAAATATAATCTTTTCAGTCTTGGCCTCTTAATTTTTATGTTAAGTCACCTCCCCTACTTTGAGCTTTGTAGTGGCTGAAGCAGTGATAACTCATTTTTACATGACCAGAAAGTAGGCCTTGTTTGTTTTAAGAAACCGTCTTCTCAATGGTTCTGTTATTATACTCATCAGGGGTTTTATGCCCAGAACCAGCCTCTGAAATTAAAGTCCAGTGGAAACACTTGAGAGATGTTTTGAACATGGTAGTCTTAAGAACCACCCAGAACAAAAACACTCCACCTGGGAAAATTAACACATTTTTTCTATATGAACTAGATGATTCCAAAATGTCTTCTGGAAAAATATATATATATTGTCCACTAAAAATGAACGTACAAAAACAAGCAAATGGGGAACCGAAAACTGTATTAGAAAACCACTTGTCAATGTGTATATATACCCATGGCAGGGTCTAATTTTCCAAATTTAGTTTTACATTGTCAAATAGACAGTACTAGCAAATATTGTCTAGGAAGAAATTACTTTTCATGACTCAACCCAATGTCAGCAAAACACATTTGTTCAACCATGAGGCAGATTTCAGTACAAGGTGCAAGCTCTTTAATGAAGTCAGCAAGAGAGTTTCCATTTTTGGTGCAGGTTTACATGGATGAATTGAAACCTCACCTTCAACCAGAGCAATGAGTTTTCATTTGCTTTGGCTAGTACAGACAGATTGCATCTCATTACTCTGCATTAATACTGCTTTGTAAAAAGCAACAACAACAATTCCAGCAAGTGAATGTACGTTTTTGAATTTAAGCTTGCGACAGCATTTCGGGACTATTTCTTTGGCAGAGATTTTTTTCTTAATCTTAAAATAAGATTGCTAGAAGCTGCCATCTTTCAAAATCTTCTTAACCTTTCTCCATTCCACTAATCACTACTCCAAAGCCAGAAGACATCAAGAATTACTACTGTATAGGAAAAATGCAAATGCCCAAGACATCTTTCTCAAGCTAGGAGCAACTCAGCAACTGGGCCAAATAAATAGGCCAAATAAGCAAAAGTCTGCTTCCGTTCCTGGGATGGGACACCTCGCACTTTGATCTTGACTCATCGGAAAAATTGAACCAAACAATAGGAACTGAAAATAAGAATAATTGGCAAAGTATTTTGAAAAAGATCAAGATGTGTAGACAAGAAATAATGCTGAAGGAAAAGAAGTGTTTTTCCACTGATAACAACAATTTCTTTTCATGACACAGTAAAAAATAGGCAAGGATGATCATAAATCACTCTGAAGATGGAAAGCGCAGGAAAATTCAAAAGACAGTAAAGTGAGAGCATCTGGGAAATCAAACTGCGGGGGATGGGAGGAGGCATAAAATAGTGACAAAATAACCCAAAATAGATTCTCTTGTGTGATTCAGCAGGAGGTGCCACAAAGAAGACAGTTCAGAGGAAAACACAAAGGGAGGTGTTCGTTAGACTGTAAAAGAGATAGGGAATAGAAGATGAAGGGTTTTTTTAAAATTTATTTATTTTTTTAACGTTGCATTTGACAATGAAGGGCCGCTTAGGGAAAGTGGGTGATTGTGTAAGGGCAAAGAGCTACACTCAGCTTTTAAAGAACTCAGAACTTCCAGAGAACTGGCAGAAACAGATTCTTTTACTTATTCCATGACGATGCTGTAAAGTACTGTACTCCTAGTAGAGAGAGTTCTGTGCACTTGCTCAATGGTTGCTTTTCCTTTTTTACAGTGGGGAGGTAAGAAGGTATGAAAATGGTACTCCCTAATTCCACTTTCTCATTTCCACTATCAAAAATAGCATTTTTAAGGATGTTCATTTCTGTCTTAATTAACTGCAGTGAGACAGAACATTTAAAACAATCGAGTTTTTTCAAAGCTCTATACTTCTGCCCTGTAGACCCCCATGGTATCTAGATACCTTATATGTCATATGTCGCTGTTTGTCCTCCAACACTGGGAAGGATCTAGGGGACACAGTTCGAATAAAACTTCTGGGCTGTGAGTTAATAAGAAATGTCTTTTTCTTTTGGAAATGGTTTTGAGATTGATTCTCTGAGTACAGCAGGGAAATTTACAGTCTAATGGCAAGAGCAGTGGGGACCAGAACTCATGCCATTTTGAAGAGAAGCATCTTGCTTCTGTTTTTGAATTTAGGAGAAGGGGGGAAGGATTTTGAGGTAGAAAACTGAATAATACAAATTGGCTTTAATTATAACAAACAAGATTGATTATTGGATAATATTATATACGTGAAACTAGAGACCCATTTTCCTTGAAAATGATTCTTAAAACTACTGCAGGTTATGGAAACCCTACCTATTAATATATTTTCAATACTTAGTCAATAGATATAAATGCATCAAACAGGTACATACAGGAAAACTGGCATCAAGGGCTGTGATCAGGAAACTAACATAATGCTAAATCCCAATTCATCTGAGAAGAATGAACATGGCTTAACTTTCAGTGGACATAAATTTCTTTTATGAGTACAACTTCTGTCATCTTGTATTTTATTCCTAATTTGTAAAAATTGAGCACTAAGGCAATGCAACAAATTTTCAGTTTTCTAAGCCCCACACTATGGAAATTTGCAGATGGCAGGGGCCAGAAGTCAGCAAAGGATCCCAGCAGGAGTGCTCATGTGACATCTGCCACCTTCCTAAGTGCCGAAGTAATACGCCCACTACAGCTGTGGGGGCAGGACTCACTGCTCCTGGTAGAAAGCAGAAATCCTGCCCACCCACTTCCATGTTGATTCTCTTACTTCCCTTGCTGCATCATTCGTTTCTCGAGCTAAGTAGGTATGAAGCACTGGTCTGGACAGGTGAATCACTAACCCTAAATTCCAGTTCAGGTCCTGACACTAATTTGCTTTGTGGCTTTGCATAGGTCACCCTCGAGCCTCAGTTTCCTCCTCTGAAAGTTTATACTTCTGGTCTAGAAATGACTTACAATCTCTTTGAGCTCTAATTTTTTTTTTTAATTTTTTCTACCTTTTTGGACAGAAAGAAGGGACATCTAAGAGAGGGGTTCTGCTCTCCTGCAAGCTGTGGACATCACCTTGAGGGAAGTAAAGTTCATAACTGGAGTCCTTTCAGCCTGACTGAGCCTCTAATATCAGCCTTTTTCAACAAGGGTTCCATGAGAGAATTAGCCTTTAACATCCTACAACACCCACTCTCTATGATGAATGAACAACCCCTCCCCTCCTGCTTCTAGATGGTAGATGGTACAATATATACTCCATTTTTGGAAGAATTCAGAAAACAGCCACTCAGATCTATTTCCAGGTTGTGGTTCAGATGAGGAACTCCAGTTGAGAAAGGATGCAAGATGTTACTTTCCAATAAATTTAATATTAGAATGATAAGGCTTAAAAGAACTATGTAGATCATTCTATTCCAGTGGTTCTCAAAGTGTGGTGTTTCCAGAGCAGCAGCAGCAGCAGCAGCATCTGAAAACATGTTCAAATGCAAAGTCCACTGAATCAGACCGGGCGCAGTGGCTCATGCCTGTAATCCCAGCACTTTGGGAGGCTGACGCGGGTGGGTCACTTGAGGTCAGAGGTTCGAGATCAGCCTGGCTAACATGGTGAAGCCCTGTCTCTACTAAAAATACAAAAATTAGCTGGGTGCAGTGGGGCGCACCTGTAGTCCCAGCTACTCGGGAGGCTGAGGCAGGAGAATCACTTGAACCCAGGAGGAGGAGGTTGCAGTGAGCTGAGATCACACCATTTCACTCCACCCTGAGTGACAGAGTGAGACTCTGTCTCAAAACAAAACAAAACAAAGTCCACTGAATCAGAAACTCTGGGGATGGGGCTTAGCAGTGTGTGGTTCAACAAGCCCTACAGGTACAGGTGATTCCAATGCACTCTAACATTTGAGAACCACCATTCTAGTCTCTAGATCTTTATTTTCAGATGAGAAACACAGGAGTACAGGAAAAGTCACTTGCCCAAGACTATACATCTAGGGTATAGGTGGGCCATGATTAGATTCCAAGTGTTATGGACTGAATTGTGTCTCCTGACAAAATTCATAAAGCCCTAACCCGAAATGTGACTCTATTTGGAGATAGGGCCTTTAAAGAGATAATTAAGGTTAAATAAGGTCATAGTCATAAGGGTGGAGCCCTAATCCAATAGGACTAGTGTCCCTGTAAGAAGAGGAAGGGACACCAAGGACCTGTGTGCAAGAGAAAAGGCCACATGAGGACACAGTGAGAAGGGGACCATCCACAAGCCAAAGAGAGAGGCCTCAGGAGAAACTAAACCTGCCGACACCTTGATCTTGGACATTCAGTCTCCAGAACTGTGAAAAATAAATTTCTGCTGTTTAAGCCACCCAGTCTATGGTGTTTTATAATGGCATCCCTAGCAGGCTAACACGCCATGTCTTCTGATTCTCTGGATAGGAATCTTTACATTTTAATTAAATGATTTTGGAATTCTGGATCAAGCCTCCAACATCAAAAGAAACAAATGCAACTCTAGGAAGGCTGCACTGTCAGCATGACAGACAGTAAGAAGAGCACATCCTGGAGCCCCTGACCCTCTGCACAGGTCTGGCACTGCTCAAAAGGTAAGTTCTCCTAACCTGCAATGTGTGCAATGGTTGTGTCATGGTGATGTGAGAGCTGTGGTCCTTCCTTAAAGCGTTCAAAGGGAGCCACTAAGTTGGAAGAAGCTAAGGAAGATTGAATAACACAAAGTACATGGCGTTTGTCCTTGGAGGAGAAGCAGGCAGTAGGATCAGGATGGGTCTGTAGGAAGGGCAGTGGCCAAACGCCCTTTGGACAGGCCACCCCTGGACAAAAGTGTCTCATATACACCTCAAGCTCAATCTGTCATCTTCCTTTCTTCTTCTCTTTTAAGCCACAAAAACATTCCTCCTTTGGTGTTCCACGACTAAGGTAATGGCAATTTTTTTTTTTTTTTTGAGACGGAGTCTTGCTCTGTCGCCCAGGCTGGAGTGCAGTGGTGCTATCTCGGCTCACTGCAAGCTCCGCCTCCCGGGTTCACGCCATTCTCCTGCCTCAGCCTCCCGAGTAGCTGGGACTACAGGCGCCCACCACTACACCCGACTAATTTTTTGTGTTTTTAGTAGAGACGGGGTTTCACCGTGTTAGCCAGGATGGTCTGGATCTCCTGACCTCGTGATCCGCCCGCCTCGGCCTCCCAAAGTGCTGGGATTACAGGCGTGAGCCACCGCGCCCGGCCGGTAATGGCAATTTTAACCTTCTAGTTATGCCAGCTGAAATCCTTGCCTTCTGAGGCTATCTTTGGCTTTTTGTGATTCCCTCCTCTTCCATATCCACTAGGCAGCACCCAATCCCGTTCATGTGAAATATCTTTCAAATCCTTCCCCTCTTCTTCATCCTGGCTACCATAACCTTGGAAGACACTTCTGTCATCTCTTGCCTGGACTAAACTTAAAGTCTTGTAACTCGTTCCCTGGTCACTGGCCTTAGTCTTTCATCCTCTCCAAAATACGGGCAGAAGTCTTCCTTCTAAAACGTAAATCTCAGAAAGAGCTCTCCGTGAGCCCATCAGCCCTTCCAGTCTGACCTGGGGCCACAGCCCTGCCACCTCAGCAGGCTGCAGTAGCAGCCACACCTCTCCAGTCCCACGGCCCAGCACGTAAGTGCCTTCGGTCCTGTGGGTCCGAGTGTGCAGTAGTCCTAATGTCTACTGGAAAAATGTCCGCTTTTTCCTTTGTGTGTGAAATGTCATACATGATATATTAACAGCCCTCATGTTCCAACCACCGATATAAGAAAGAGAATATGACCAGTCTTCGGAAGCCCTCTGACTCCCTGCCTCCCTTCCATCTGCCAGAAGCTGCAGCTATCCTTAATGTGCAGTTTTGTCAGTCTCTTGCTTTCCTTTATAGTTTTACAGTGTGTATGTACACATAAATAACATATTGTTTAGTTTTGCTTGTTTTTAAGAGGAAACGAAGTTTGTATTTTTCAAGGACTTTTTTTTGTCACCATTATGTTCATGAAATTTGCCCACATTGTTGCAGGTAACTAGCTATTTCATTTCACTGCTCCTTCTATAAATATATATGAATATATGTATGTGAAAGGAAATTAAATTTGGGGACCCTAAAGGCATTTAGCCAAAGGGAAAAGTCAAGCTGGGAACTGGGTCACGAAAACCTGCCTCCCCCTTTCGGTTCCTAAATAAGATGGCTACAAGATGAAAAGCTACATGCCTCCCCCATATTTTGCCCACAAGGAAATTCCTAGTGAGCTGTTAAAATTTCACCACGGCAATGGAAATTGATAACTTGTCTTTACAGGTGCAGTCACCCCAGCCCACCAGACACAAACGCACATCTGACTATTCCCCTACCCCGTTTTGTCTGTGTTCTCTTATGTAAAATGCAGATTCCCCGCATTTTTCCTCTGCCCCTTTTATGTCATCTTATGTAAAAATGCAGATTCACTTACATGAAAACTATGTACTTCTCAATATCCCGCCCTTTCCCCTTTAAATTTGGAGCCCCGAAAATCATCTTTGAGGAAAGCCATAGACCTGTCTCCCAGGTGCATCCTTAAATAAATCTCCTAAAATGGGCCGGGTGCGGTGGCTCACGCCTGTAATCCCAGCACTTTGGGAGGCCAAGACGGGCAGATCACAAGGTCAGAAGATCGAGATCATCCCGGCTAACACAGTGAAACCCCGACTCTACTAAAAATACAAGAAACTTAGCCGGGCGTGGTGGCGGGCGCCTGCAGTCCCAGCTACTCGGGAGGCTGAGGCAAGAGAATGGCGTGAACCCAAGAGGCGGAGCTTTCGGTGAGCCAAGATCGCGCCACTGCACTCTAGCCTGGGCGACAGAGTGAGACTCAGTCTCAAAAAAAAAAAAAAAAAAAAAAAAAAAATCTCCTAAAATGATTGAGACTTGTCTCATCATTTTCCTCTACTGACATATGTATAATGTACACACCTTCTCCATTCTATTGCTGATGGGCATGTGTGTTGTTCCCAGTTGTTCAGTACTATGAACATACTTGAACACATACCTGATGCACATGTGGATGAGTTTAGAGGCTCCACTGGGAGGAATTGCTGGGTCACAGGAAATGTGTATATTCAACTTCACCATGTTATCAGGTTATTTTCCAAAGTGACTGTACCAGTTGACAGTCATGATGAAATAGTTTTTCTTCATCTATTCATAAATTCCAACTGATGTTATTTTGTTTAGGACTTTAGCATCTATGTTCAAAAGTGAACACATGCAAAAAAAAATGGCACTTGGATTGTAATTTTCCTTTCTGAAAATTAATAATCTTTGATTTTGGCTTAAAGTTTGTACTGGCCTCATACATTAATTTGGGAGTGTTTCTTCTATATCCACTGTTTTAGAAGGTTTTTGCAAGCTTGGAATTATCAGTTGCTTGATTTTTGTTGTTGCTGTAGAATTTGCCTATAACATTACCTAGGCTCTGTGTTTCTGGAGAAAACTTTCTTGGTAATACATTTTTCATTTTATTTAATAATTTATAGGAGCATTCTAATTGTCTTCTTCTTTGTGAGTCAGTTTTGATAATTTACATTCCTCTAGGAATCTGACCTAACATCTAAGTTTTCAAAATTATTGGCACAAAGTAGTTCAAAATATTCTCCTATCTTTTAAATCTCTGCTCCATCAGTAATGTACTCTTTTTGTTCCTAATATGGATTACTCATGCCTTCTCTTTTTTTATCAGTCTCCTCAGAGTTTTATAAACTTTTTTTTTTTTTTTTTTTTTTTTTTGAGACGGAGTCCTGCTCTGTAACCCAGGCTGGAGTGCAGCGGCACTATCTCGGCTCATGCAAGCTCCACCTCCCAGGTTCACGCCATTCTCCTCCCTCAGCCTCCCCAGTAGCTGGGACTACAGGCACCCGCCACCACGCCCGGCTAATTTTTTTTTGTATTTTTAGTAGAGACGGGGTTTCACCGTGTTAGCCAGGACGGTCTCGATCTCCTGACCTCGTGATCCGCCCGCCTCAGCCTCCCAAGTGCTGGGATTACAGGCGTGAGCCACCACGCCCGGCCAGAGTTTTAGAAACTTTATAGTCCTTGTATTGCAATACAAACGTCACAGGCATTCTTAGATTCCCCTGCACAGCTTCTTCTTTCTCCTTTGCATGGAGCTCACCTGTGCTGGATCATACCTCTACTTTCAAACGCAGATGAAAGACCATGCTGCTGAGCCAATGTGCCTGCTGGGCAACATGTTGTGCCCTTGACAGCTCATGGTGCTTTTTTCTTCCTTCCTTCCCTCCTTCCCTCCTTCCCTCCTTCCCTCCTTCCCTCCTTCCCTCCTTCTTTCTTTCTTTCTTTCTCTCTCTCTCTCTCTCTCTCTCTCTCTCTCTCTCTCTCTCTCTCTTTCTTTCTTTCTTTCTTTCTTTCGTCTCGCTCTGTCGCCCAGGCTGGAGTGCAGTGGCACCATCTCAGCTCACTGCAGCCTCCCAGGTTGAAGTGATTCTCCTGCCTCAGCCTCCCGAGTAACTGGGATTACAAGCATGTGCCACCACGGGTGGCTAATTTTTGTATTTATAGTAGAGACAGCGTTTCACCATGTTGGCCAGGCTGGTCTCAAACTCCTGACCTCAAGTGATCTGCCTGCCTCAGCCTCCCAAAGTGCTGAGATTACAGGCTCATGGTGCTTTTTGCTGATCTTTTTATCTCACTTTCATAGACTTGGACTTGTGTCTCTTAAGTAAAAGTATTAGAAACTTTAATCTGTACTTAAGTTTCTACTTTTTGGAGGACCCAGGCTAAAAAGTCTTTTAAAATAACCAGAATTTGGCTTTGTTTTATGAAATCTTTTCTTTTATTTATTGCTGTTCTTGTCTTTATCATTTATTTCCTTTCTGTTCCTTTCTTTAGGTTTATTCTTTAGGTTTTAAATTAAGATCTTATGTTAGATGGTTAATTTATTCCAACCTTTCTCTTCTTCTAGTACCAGCCTTTAAAAGGCAAGAGTTTTGTTCTATGAAGGATGATTAAATGAAATAAATAAACAAATACATAAATAGCAGGTAGGGGTTGGCAAACCAAGAAGCTTGGGCCAAAACTGATCCACTGATCTTTTTTTTTTTTTTAATTATTCTTTATTTTTTCACTTTTATTTTAAGCTCAAGTGTACAGGTGCAGGAAGTGCAAGTTTGGTACATATGTAACATGTGTCATGGGGGTTTGCTGTACAGATTATTTCATGCTGTACAGATGATTTCATCACCTAGGTATTAAGCCTAGTATCCATTAGTTATTTTTCCTTCTTCCCACCCTCCACCCTCTGATAGGCCCCAACGTATGCTGTTCCCCTCTATGTGTCCATGTGTTCTCATCATATAGCTTCCACTTATAAGTGAGAACATGCAGTATTTGATTTTCTGTTCCTGTATTAGTTTGCTAAGGACAATGGCCTCCAGCTCCATCCATGTCCCTGCAAAGAACATGATCTCATTCTTTTCTATGGCTGCATAGTATTCCATGGTGTATATGTACTGCATTTTCTTTATCCAGTCTATCACTGATGGGCATTTAGGTTGATTCTATGTCTTTGCTATTGTGAATAGTGCTGCAATGAGCATACACATACATGTGTCTTTATAATAAAATGATTTATATTCCTTTGAGTATATGCCCAGTAATGGGATTGCTGAGTTGAATGGTATTTCTGTCTTTAGGTCTCTAAGGAATTGCCACACTGTCTTCCACAATGGTTGAACTAATTTACACTCCCAACAGCAATGTAAAAGTGTTCCTTTTTCTTCACAACCTCACTGACGTGTGTTATTTTTTGGCTTTTTAATAATAACCATTCTGACTGGTGTGAGATGGTATCTCATTGTGGTTTTGATTTGCATTTTTCTCTAATGATCAGTAATGTTGAGCATTTTTTCATGTTTGTTGACTGCATGTATGTCTTCTTTTGGAGAAGCGTCTGTTCATGTGCTTTGCCCACTGTTTAATGGGGTTTTTTTTTTTTCTTGTCAATTTGTTTAAGTTCCTTACAGAGGCTGGATATTAGACCTTTGTCAGAAGCATAGTTTGCAAAAATTTTCTCCCATTCTGTAGGTTGTCTGTTTACTCTGTTGATAGTTTTCTTTTGCTGTGCAGAAGCTCTTTAATTAGATCCCATTTGTCAATTTTTGCTTTTGTTGCAATTGCTTTTGGCATCTTCATTATGAAATTTTTGCCTATGCCTATTTCCTGAATCGTATTGCCTAGGTTATCTTCTGGGTTTTTATAGTTTTTGGGTTTTACATTTAAGTATTTAATCCATCTTGAGTTAATTTTTGTATAAGGTGTAAGGAAGGAGTCCAGGTTCAATTTTCTGCATATGACTAGCTAGTTATCCCAGCATCATTTATTGAATAGGGAATCCCTTCCCCATTGCTTATTTTTGTCAGGTTTGTGGAAGATCCAATAGTTGTAGGTGTGTGGTCTTATTTCTGCGTTCTCTATTCTGTTCCATCGGTCTATGTGTCTGTTCTTGTACCAGTATCATGTTGTTTCGGTTACTGTAGCCTTTTAGTATAGTTTGAAGTTGAGTAGCATGATGCCTTCAGCTTTGTTCCTTTTGCTTAGGATTGCCTTGGCTATTCAGGCTCTTTTTTGGCTCCATATGAATTTTAAAATAGTTTTGTCTAGTTCCGTGAAGAATGTCAATGGTAGTTTAATGAGGCTAGCATTTAATCTATAAATTGCTTTGGGCAGTATGGCCATTTTAACAACATTGATTCTTCCTATCCATGAGCATGGAATGTTTTTCCATTTGTTTGTGACATCTCTGATTTACTTGAGCAGTGGTTGTAGTTTTCCTTGCAGAGATCTTTCACTTCCCTTGTTAGCTATATTCCTAGGTATTTTATTCTTCTTGTGGCAATTGTGAATTGATTTGGCTCTTGGCTAGACTGTTGTTAGTGTAGAAGAATATTAGCAATTTTTGCACATTGATTTTTGTATCCTGAGACTTTACTGAAGCTGCTTATCAGCTTAAGAAGCTTTTAGGCTGAGATTATGGGGTTTTCTAGATATAGGAACATGTTGTCTGCAAACAGGGATAGTTTAACTTCCTTTCTTCCTATGTGAATGCCCTTTATTTCTTTCTCTTGCCTGATTGTCCCGGCCAGAACTTCCAATACTACGCTGAATAGGAGTGGTGAGAGAGGGCATCCATGTCTTGTGCTGGTTTCCAAGGGATATGCTTGAGCTTTTGCCCTTCAGTATGATGTTGGCTGTGGGTTTGTCATATGTGGCTCTTATTATTTTGAGGTATGTTCCTTCAATACCTAGTTTATTGAGAGCTTTTAACATGAAAGGATGTTGAATTTTACTGAAAGCCTTTTCTGCATCTATTGAGATAATCATGTGGTTTTTGTCTTTAGTGCTGTTTATGTGATGAATCACATTTATTGATTTGCATTGTTAAACCAACCTTGTATTCTGGAGATGATGCCTACCTGATTTTTGATGTGCTGCTAGATTTGGTTTGCCAGTATACTGTTGAGGATTTTTACATTGATGTTCATCAAGGATATTGGCCTGAAATTTTCCTTTTTTATTGTATCTCTGCCAGGTTTTGATATCAAGATGATGCTGGCCTCATAGAATGAGTTAGGGAAGAGTCCCTCCTTTTCCATTTTTCAGAATAGTTTCAGTAGGAATGGTACCATCTCTTCTTTGTACATCTGGCAGAATTCAGCTGTGAATCCATCTTGTCCTGGGCTTTTTTTTTTTTTTTTTTTTTTTGGTTGGTAGGCTATTTATTATTGCCTCAGTTTCAAAAATTGTTACTGGCACTGACTGTTTTCTTAAATAAAGTTTTATCAGAACACAGACAGACCCATTTACTTTCATATTTATTGGATATGATTGATTTCGTGCTACAAAAACAAAGTTGAGTAGTTGCAACAGAGTTCTGACAGTAAATAGTGAGATTTATTATCTGTTCTGCTACAGAAAATTTTGCCCACCCTGCTTTAAGAATACAGATTTTTTTCTAAGTATTGCTTGAGCTACAACACATATATTTTGCTATATGGTATTTTCATAACTCTTCTGAACTTAGTTATTTCTACCATCAGGTATAATTTATTTGACTAAAGGAAGTTATGTGGGTCATTTAGAAAGTGTAATTTTTAAATTTTCAAATGCAGGTTTTTTTCAAGGTATCTTTGTTGTAACTGATTTCTAATCTAAATTGTTCTGTAATGAGAGAATAAGATTTATATGATACTGATTGCCTAAAATTTTTAGAAATGTTATTCTTGGCCTGGTACATGATCACTTTTTATAATTTCTGTGTGTGTGCTTAAAAATAGTATGTATTCTATAACTGCTGAATGCAGTGTCTTATTAATTGTATCTTTCAACTCTTTTATATCCTTGTTGATTGCTTAACAGATCAATTATTGAGATAAGTGTTAACATTTCCCATTAAACAGTGGATTTAACAATTTCTTCTTGCAGCACTGACCATTTTTGCTCTATATTTTCAGACGCATGCCAATTAAACATTTTATAACTTCCTGATGAACTGGACTACTTACAAAGATAAGCACTGTCCCTATTCATTTCTAATTAATATTTATGAATTTGTTTATGTATCCATTCTGAGAATCTTTAGCTTTAATTGGAGGATAAGCCCATTAAGTTGTCATTATTGCTATATCTGGATATTTAACTCATTGATTTTGTACTTCCAATTTTGTTTTCTTTCAGATTGATTAAAATTTTCCTCACTTTAATTCCTGTACTTGCTTTAAAGTTATGTACTATTTCCTTCCTTCCTTTCTTCCTGGATAGTCTAGAAATTTTAATTTGCATATTATACTTAAAGTCTAAAATCACTGTCTTTACCCTCCTACAATGATAAAAGGATCTAAGAATTCTTTATCATCAATTACCTTCCACTTTTCATGCTATTTACATGCAATTATTATCCAAAATTTTGGATACATACTGGTTTTATTAACCCCACAACTTACACATATTGTTACTGTTTCCAGTAGACATATTTATCACTTTATTTTAATTTAATTTTGTTTTTCTTACCATTTCTTCTTTCTTCTTAAACCCTCTTTTTATGACCATTTTTATTCTTCTTGAAATACATCCTTTAGCTAAGTTCTGTCTGTGGTAATCCTTCTTAGGTTTGTTTTTTTTCTGAAAAATGTCTTAAGTCTTTATTCTTGAAAGATAATTTCACTGAATATCCTATTTTCTCTCAGCACTTAATGTATAAATATGTATTTCATGTATACATTTTTTAATCACAGAAGAAGAGCTAGAGGCACTGTCATTACCAAGTGAAGCAAGAAAAACTAAGAGTCTATTTCTAGTAAAACAATTAATTCGCTACCAAAAATTACTTAATTAAACCAAACTATGCTTCAGTGCATCCTTATAAAATGTGGAATTAGCTAGTGATCTACCTTATAAGAACATTAGTGAATTAAACAGCTATAAGATAATAGGTGGAATGGATTTAAGAACACATTTTTTTGCCTTCTTAACTATGTGACTACACCCTAAAGTACTGAGACATCAAGAACATTATAGAATTAATATTTGGAAGAGAATGAACTCGTTTTAAAAGATTACTCTTTCAAAAGGTCCAAAGTATATTTGTCGAGAAAAAAGTTAACTTTAGTATGTTTAAAAATATATAGTAGGATGAAGAGGCTCCGTTCTGAAAACCAGCCTTTAAAATATATTCTCTCAACTCTGTTCATAAAATTGCACAACAAAAACCAACCAACCAACCAACCAAACAAACAAACAAAGTTCTGTCACTGGAGCACACTGCTCCTGGGGAAAGCAGCTACAGGGGGAGATCCTCTGCATTTACAGAGCATTCATTTTAGAGATGAATGAGTAATAGACCAAGTTTGCAGAGCTAGTAGCAGAGATAATACTAAAACACAAATGCTAAATGGGTGGCTTAAGAGAATCCTGTGAAAACTAACATTTCACAGCTTTTAAGTTCTAAGTTTAATGCTATACACTCTATCTATAAGACTGACGAAGGGGATTGATAACCCTGGGACTAGAGTACCTCTGAGTAGCAGCTACAACCTATGGCATCCTGCTCCTAGCATGCCTAGAATTCCAGTTATTGTTCACTTACATGAATAACGACATTGAAGACTGATTTTAAAATACAACTATCTGGGAGCATAGTATTAGTCAATCTTTAATACTCTAATTCAAATCAACTCATAAAAGCAGTAGAGATACCAAAGAGAATCACGACGTGAAGGAACACTAGTCAGGTAAACTTTGGGGGAGAGGAAGAGTAGGGAGGGTTAGAGCACAGGAGAGAGAGCCTCCTGGGTTAACCAGCCTGTGGACAGTGCCTCCAGGCATATGTGTAGAAAGCTATGGTTGATTGGGAAAAGTTGGGAGGCAAAAAATGGCATGATGGCAACTGCTCCAATGAAGAGACTACTTCAGACAGGGGGATGCAAAGACAGAGAAAACAAAGAAACTCCTCTGTTTGTTTTACTTAGTATAAGTTCTGGGAATAAACAGAAGACATGAAGAAGGAATACAGGTGATTGCTGAATAGAAGACAGTGAAGCACATAAAGAGGTGTAGCCTGATGATTTTGGGACAAAGAACATGTACCCTAAAATTGAAGCCAACAAGCACCGCCACTTTGAGCTAAGTTACTCATGAGATTCATTGGTTAGGATGGTGCCTCCATAGAATGTAACCCAAGGAAAAACTGTCCAGTCTGACTTATGACTGTTCTTGGCCCAGAGTGCCCTAGGCCTGGGTAAGAAGACTGCCCTGAAGGACCTCAGGGTTTGTGCACTTATACACAAGATCACTCCCTTTCACCCATTCATACTGTCCTCTTGATTTACCAAATATTTCCTTCCCGACTCCCAACTTTTGCCTCCATTTCCTGTATTTTGATGACTATCTCCTTGGCATTACATTGCCACAGACAAATACAACAGTAACCATCTCCCCTTCGCACAAAGTCTGGAGTCTCCTATATTTGGGTACTACCTGTAGGCTGCTTATTTGGGCATAGACCAGTCCTATGTACAAGCATCAAATGAAAAATAGACTATCCTTTGTCAAATTTTAAGAACAGATAATGTTGTGATGGCCAAAGATTTTGATGTTAAGGAGTATTGAGAACATTGAGAACTGGTGAGTAAGCATTTTTACCAACATAGCTCCAGCTTCCAGTACATATTGTGTTCCAGTTCTTTCGACAAAGATGCTCAAAAGTGGAATCGCTCTACACACTGAAACGAGTGAGCCTGATGCTCCTTTCAGGAACATCAATTTCTTTTTGTCTCCATCAGTTCCACACTCATCAAACAACTTAATGAACTTTAAAACCCTACATAGATCATCGGTTTGAGCCAAGTATATTCTGGTAAATTTGAAGCCTGAGTTCCAGTTTTTATATTCATCTTTTGTAACTTTTATTAGCAGTATTCATGTTCCTTGGTAAGTGACTTCTCTGGGGACATGAAAATTTTCATATCTTAGATGACAAAATTAAATATTTCCTGCTGACCACTCGTAGAAACTCAGGTTAGCATTACATACGAGTTCTTACCCATATGTAAAATAGAGAAGAAAGAATCACCAGCCCATGTGCCTGAGGCATCCTCCAGAAACCTTCTGTAAGCCAGGGGAAGAAATGGGGATGGGAGAAGAAGAGGAAGCAGGAAACTGTCCCTCGGCTTGCAGACCAGACTTGATAGACAACTACAGAAGTTCACTAAGCAGGGAGTAACTGCCGTTACTCTAACCATAAATTTCCTTTAACTGGAGTACTTCAGCCTACATTAGTATTCCATAGCTAAACTTTACTTGTACTTACTGATATTTCCAGAGAAAGACTGAAAAAGGAAAGCAAGAAATGAAGAAGGAGAGATACATCTGAAAACAAGGGAAAAGGGGGAGAAAGAGGAAAATAAAACCACAAGCTAGAAAAAGTAAGCAAAGGATGAAGGAAGTAAGAATCAATAAGCATAAGAAGGAAGAGGAGAAAGTACTTTTACAAGTTTAGACATATTTGAATAAATGCGAGGTCTGGGCTTATTAAAAGGTTACAAAATGATTCAGGCATTCAAATGACCATATTAGATCTACAAACCAAAGTCTAAGACAACAATTACACCTCTGTAACATCTGAAAAGGAAGGTTACAAATCAGTCTTAACTAAAGCATAGGAAATATATGCACTTATAATTGCTTATATGTAATGTTCCCAAAAGCATAATGAAGCTCTTGATGAAAGCAAAGAGAATATTATCTGGGGCACTCACTTTAATGACCCCATGAAGATTAGTGATAGAGAAGGAACCCATCTGAAAATGTAGCAGGGGACATTAGACCTGAAGAAAGGAACCTGAGAAGGAATAACTGAAGATTAGGTGAAAGAAAGGAGCTATGATGGGTGGCCCACTTAGTTAAGCACACTTAAAAGGAACAATAGGAAGCTTGAAAAGGAACAGACGAAGCACTCCAGAAAGATAAGGACGGTGTGGGCAGAGCTGCCGTAACAGCCCACACAGGGAACTCATGATACTACATAGGTGGAAATAGGATGGATGTAGAGTTTAGTTGGAACATGAGATGTCAGATTTCAAATAAACTTATGTTTCTTCCCATTTTCTCCATTTCATTTTATTAGGTTGTTCTGCATATGTTTATTTGGCACATGCTATAGGTGAAATGCTGTGTTGGCCATTAGGGCTATATCAGAAAACACAGCAACAAAAACCCAGTCTTGGACTTAATTTCAGGCACACATACAGACACAACCCCCTTTTGAAATTTTATTGAAAACAAGTCATTCCCATTAGAGGTTCACATTGTCTAACTCAGAATATAACCTGCAATTTCTGAATGTGGATTTTCATAAGTAACTAGGTAAGAAAACACCACTTGGGGGGATCTGAAGTAATACTTGCAGAATATCTAGTCTAATCAATGAGACCATGCAGAAATGATGAATGAAAAATCATTCAAGTAATCACTGAGTCACTGTATACCCAAATATAAGCACTGATAAAGGAAAAGAAAGGAAGAGAGAGAGATAGAGATGGGGAGGAAGGAAGGAAGGAAGGCAGGCAGGCAGGCAGGCAGGCAACTTCCCCTCCAGGGAGCTATTCAGTCTAGTGGAGAAAAGGAGATTTTCATAACATGAAGTAAAATTTGCACAATATGATCAAGCACCTGATTGTTTAGTTCAGAAAACAGTAATTAACAATCACTTTCCAGTTATAGTCCTTACTAAACCTTTAGCAAAATTTTAAACAATCTGATTGTGTTGATTTGAATTCTCCAATTTTTCTTCACTATTAGATATAACCAAATGGTAGGTTCAAAGGGCCAGAGCGAGGGTAGCAAGGTCTATAAATGTGTATTCAAACAATGGTTGTACCACACTATCACCAGTGGCTTTAAGACAGCCCCTGTGTCCCATGGATTCGTGGCTTTCTGCCAGAAGTGGAGGATCCATACACACTTAACAGTGTGAGGTATGAGGGATGCTGCTGATACTCAACTTTCAACAACCAGAGTCCTCAGTAACACCTTTAATAAGACTATAGCCCTCCAGTGCTCATCAGCTTCTGTTTTCTACATGTTCTCAAAGTACTTACTTTTTTTTCTGTCACCTTTAATCCTTTGGCCTGAGAAGGTGAATCATCTTCTATAGCTGTATAACAGCTCTCATTCCATGAAGAAAATTACAGATGTAACATGCGTCTCGTCTTTCACTTCCATGCAAGGGGCAATGCCAGTTCTCTGTCAGTGGAGTTTTTTTTTTTTAAACTACACCCTAAGGCTTATCAAGTACAGTATTTACAGTTGCAATTGCACAAATGATTTAGTATCAGACATATAACAATAAGTTGAAGAAATTAATATAAAAAGCATCCTTCATAATCTATGTCTATATAGTCTACCTTATCAAAACCATGCTGTAGTAAATTATCATAAGTATGTTCAAAATTTTTAGACTTAATTGCACTTATGTTAGCTAGTTCTCCATTACCTAAAGAATTAAGGCCAGATTGTCTTGATTTGCTCCCCAGTTTTCCAGCCTTATCTCCCAACACAGTCAGTCTTCCATGTACCTCCCTACACTCCAGTCTTTATAGTTCCCTGAACATGTCACATACTTTTATACTGCTGAGTATTGCTTTACGATCATCCTTCTGTCTCAAGTGCCTCTTTCACTCCATTTGCAACCTATCAACAACCTATAGAAACCCCCAGTTCAAATGTTCCCTCTCTTTTCAAATCTTCCCTGACTCCCTAGTCAAAAGTATTCCTTCTAGGATGTATAACTTTTACCTTTATTTAACACATTTTTGTTCTGCTTTCTTGTTAGTTCCTTAGATATCTAACTCTCTGACCACACTTTAAGATCCTTGAAAATGGGATTATGTGTTTTGATCACCTTTAAATCTTCTCCAATCCCTAGCACATGCCTTTTACATAGTAAGTACTCAACAAATGCTTGCTGGATGAATGGGTGGATGGACGGATGAATAAGGGGATAGCATCTCAGTTCCCTAACACAATAGTTAACAGATGATTGCCAGGGGTCTTTTCCTATCTATAATGCCCTATGGTTCTTTTAGAAGATAGTAGCTTTGATTTAGTTCAGTAGACATTGGGGAAAACAAAAAACAAAGAACCTCAACAGACTCGTGTAAGAAAGAAATAGGCCGGGCATGGTTGCTCACACCTGTAATCCCAGCACTTTGGGAGGCCGAGGTGAGCAGGTTGCTTGAGCTTAGGAGTTCAAGAAAACAGCTTGGGCAAAATGGCAAAACCCCATCTCTACAAAAACTACAAAAATTAGCGAGGCATGGTGGCACATGCCTGTAGTCCTAGCTACTTGGGAGGCTGAGGTGGGAGGATTGCTTGAGATCGAGAGATGGAGGCTGCAGTGGGGCATGATTGTGCCACTGCACTCCAGCCTGGGTAACAGAGTGAGACCCTGTCTCAACAACAGGAAGAAAAGAAATGAAAAGAGAAAAGAAAAGAAAGAAGGAAGGAAGGAAGGAAGGAAGGAAGGAAGGAAGGAAGGAAGGAAGGAAGAGGGGGAGGGGGAAGGCAGAGAGGGGAAGGGGGAAGGGGGAAGGTGGAAAGCGGCAGGAAAGGAAAAGAAAAGAAAAGGAAAGAGAGGAAAAGAAAAGAAAAGGAAAGAAAGGAAAAGAAAAGAAACCTCATCATAATCCTATGGGAATTCAGGACCCTAAAGGAGAAATATCAGAAGGCTCAGAAGAAGCTGTAGATTCTAAAGGAAGATGAGGACTAGAAGGAAACAGGAGTAATATAAAAGTAGAAACAAGCTAAGCAACATGAAAGTAGTAAAGTACATTTCAAAGCCAAACAAAAATTAATCTTGGACCATTCAATAACTTCAACTGTCAATAAAATGTCTTCCCTTCATCTTTAGATATGAGTGATGGCTGGGTTTATGCTCCTAATCGGCAAGTACACATGCCAGTGGAGGGGGCTGGTATCTGCTGTTGATGGTGCTCCAGAATCTCATGGGAGTAAAGGGGTCCTATAGAGTGGTTACTGGTTTGTATCTGGTACAGACTATAGGATTTAAAAGCACACAGAAATGTTGTCCAAGGTACACTGACATCAAATAACCTTCAGTTTCTCAAACAAGCATCAGTTTGCAAGCACAAAGAAATACAAAAATATGAACAGTCATCAAACTGGTATCAATAATATGTAGAGCAGACGTATGTCCCATAAATATAGAATTGTCCTATATCTATTTTCCATTTTTAGAAGAATCTAGAAATATCCCATATGTGTGTTTAGTCCTGAGAATCAGGCAAATGCATATGTGATGTCCATGCCATCCTGATTTCTCAGTCTTCACAAGCTGGCATCCTATAAGCCACTGAGATCAGAAACTGAGACATTAGTCCCCAGATCCCCAGTGGATCATTCCATAATGCGGTTGGGTTTTTAACTTTGTGTCAACACATACTTCAGTCTCACCAACCATGAGTGCACAGAGAGGGGAACTTAGCAGAGAGTTGAGTGAGGTGAGCACCTGGGCTGGAGGGGCAGCAGATGAGGATTTACTAACTCTTTCAACAACTCTTTACAGAGACCTACTATATGCTAAGCACCATCCTTAGTAGCAAGAACACAGCAAAGAAAAGAACAAAACTTCTGGCCCCTGAACGCTTGCAAAGTAGGAGAGAGACAAACAGGATAAATCAGTGTCATACACAGCTTGCTAGATGTTGACAAGCACCAAAGATGAAGAAAGGTAGGCGGTAAAGAAAGAAACATTTAACATTAGAACCCCTCCTCTATTGATAGAAAGCACTGAGTTTTATCTAAGATATTAGCATCTACAAAATAAGATTGGGATAAAAATGGCGACATTAGTGATGTTTGGACTCTGTGCTCCTACTCCTTATCCTTAAGATGCCACTTTTTTAGAGTACCCTTCCTTCCCCCATTTCCCCAGAAGATACAGGGTAACCTACTGTGAGTGGAATCTGCCAGTGCCTTAGTGGTAATTCTTTATATCCCAAATGCCATATTACCAGACCAAAGTTTCATCCATAGAGAATGTCATAATCCAAGAGGATGTATAGTAACATCTAAATTCACTCCTCCCACCCCCAGACAATATCCAAGGCAAATGCCTTGGAGATAAAACCTTAATCCAAAAGAGTATCTTGAATGTCAGGAATTCCATGTACCATGTCATATGGTGATAAAGAAGTCTGGGCAAAGGGTCACATCCTGCCCAGTGACATATTATACCTAACCTGTGGGCTAGATAAAGGTTAACCCTAACTCTCCTTTACTTCAAAACCTCAATAAACCTGCCTTCTAATCTGCATTTAATTGGGCAGTTCAGACTAGATCCGGGAGCCTCTTCCAGCTTTGTGAGTTATTTGCCCTCTTATGTGTATTCCACAGGCCTCACCAGGATATGAACAAGTGGCATGCACTTAGCACAGCCAGAGACCAGAGCAAAGCCCAGGGGACAGTCAAAGTTACCACCTCCCAAACAGCTGGGAGTCAAGCACAGGATGTGGTTGAGTTAAAAGCATGACTTGGACTGCAACCTTCACATATTTAGAAAATCAAGTACAAATGCATGCACACCCACAGGTTTTCACTTGGCTAAGGCTTCCAGGGCGCAGGTGGGAGAGCTATTTAGATTTTTTTTCTCAATTAATTGACTTAGAAATTGTAGTAAATAAACAGTTTAAGTACATCTTCCACCCCCTCCCCATATCATTGAAGAGCAGCTGCTTCAGGATCCCAGGTGGCTCATCAAAGTATAGTCTGAGCATGGGTGCTGGGGCTCTGGCAGAAAGAATCCTCAGCCACTGGGGAGTAGGCTCTGCCATTAAAATATGTATTAAGGCCGGGCGCGGTGGCTCACGCCTGTAATCCCAGCACTTTGGGAGGCCGGGGCAGGCGGATCATGAGGTCAGGAGATCGAGACCATCCTGGCCAACATGGTGAAACCCCGTCTCTACTAAAAATACAAAAAAGCTGGGCATGGTGGCGGGTGCCTGTAGTCCCAGCTACTCGGGAGGCTGAGGCAGGAGGATGGCGTGAACCTGGGAGGCGGAGCTTGCAGTGAGCAGAGATCGTGCCACTGCACTCCAGCCTGGGAGACAGAGTGAGACTCTGTCTCAAAGAAAAAAATATATATGTATTAAATATCATATCATATATTATAGCACGGAAGAGAAAATATGCCTGGTACAAGCCAGGCATTGTGCTTATTGCAGCTCTACAAACATAAATGACAAATTCAGAATTCACACTCTTGTCTACCTTACTGTAAGCTCTTAACCACTCTCTTGTCAGAGACTGTACATGATAGTGGTGCTGATACAGATGATACATTGTTTGACAACAGAGTGGTTAAGAGCTTACAATAAGGTAGACAAGAGTGTGAATTCTGAATTTGTCATTTATGTTTGTAGAGCTGCAATAAGCACAGTGACAATGGTGACCTGAAAATGATGTGGTTCCAGAGAAACCATCGACTTTAAGATCGACAATAAGAGAGAACTAGGACATTCAGTGGAAAAAAAGTTGTTCTGGATAGACAAAACTTACATAGATTGTAGTCATTTATGTGAATTGTGTACCATCATGCCTAATTATGAGCCAATATAATAAAATGTATGTACAAAAATAAATAAGTCAGAGCAACTTTGATCTAAAATGTATTTAATTAGAATAGTGGGCTCTCTATATATGGGATATAATTTGATTATATGTCCCCACCAAATCTCTTGTTGAATTGTAATCCCCAGTGTTGGAGGTGGGCCCTTGTGGGAGGTGTTTGGGTCATGGTTGTGGATTTCTCATGTCTTGGTGCTGTCCTCATGATAAAGGGGATTCTTGTGAAATCTAGTCGTTTAAAAGTGTGTGGCACCTCCCCCTGCCGCTCCCTCTCTTGCTCCTTCTCTGGCCATGTGACATGCTCGCTCTTGCTTTGCTTTTCACTATGCCGAAAAGCTCCTGGAGGCCTCCCCAGAAGCCGAGCAGATGCCAGTGTCATGCTTGGGCAGCCCGCAGAGCCATGTGCCAATTAAACCCTTTCCTTTATAAATTGCCCAGTCTCAGACATAGCTTTCTTTATGGCAACCCAAGAATGGCCTAACATAAAATGTAATCAGATGCCAATGTTGTCCAAGTTCTAAGATGCATGTGTGACATCTTCATAGCATTTTATACTCTATAAAGTGTACTTTCTGAGGGCAGTCTCAAGTGCTGGGCATAGTTAAACGTTGGGGAGAAGGAAGCAGCAAATGGTGATAAAATAGAGCCTTGCTCTGGAGAATCTCAGGTCTGATCATTTCACCCTGACCCCTTCTCTGTGAATTAGTTATAATTTTCACCTTTCTATAGATTAGGAAACTGAGGCTGGCATTAATGAAATAACTCATCCATAGAGTTCACTTTTCTATTTACAACTTAAAATGTTAAATGTATTGCTAGTTAGTGAAACACTCAGATTCAGCACCGGAACTCTCCTTTCTTTAAGGAGACCAAAAGCCCACCCATTCTCTATTATTTGAAGAAATCTTGCTTTAGTTTTTTTGTATTATTATTAAATTTCCCGTCTATTAAGTCCAATTAAGTTTTCAGTCATTGGGACCAGATTTCTGAGTGAAATGAAGAACCAATTAGGGTGATCCAAACTAATCAAAAACAAGGTGCCATCAGCCTGTCCATGGGCCCTTCTACACACCTGTCACTTAAGGAGCAGAGCATTTTAGCTTCACACACACCTACTCTCAACCAGGGAAGGACAATTCTTAACAGGGTTAAATAACCAATATGATCCAGTTTAATTCCATGGAAAGCAGAGGGAAAAAGGATGGGAATAAGGTTTGATAGAGAGGAGGGAGTAAGAATCAGAGGCTTGGACAACTGCCCCAGCAGGACCTCTCAGGGGAGAGGGCAGTGAAGTATGTAGCAAGGATCAAGCTTTACTTTAGGTCCATGCTTTGTATCCTTGGATATGAAAAGCCAGATCCTTACAGCAGGATGACCTTGTGTTATTAGAAATACAGTAAATTCCCAGAGAGGTTAATTTCTACACTTAAGACATAAGTTGTAAAAAATGTCTCCCCAAAGCAAAGATGATGAATTTTTGTGTAGCTGTGGATTCTCCAAATCATGTTGCCCATCTATTGACGTGAGGAATTTAAAATTGCCCAGGGAGAAGTCAATCAGCATTTGCATCAAGAGGCTTTGCAAAGTAGACGCTCAGAGAACTGACCTCCCAATCTGTACTCCCAAGGCCATGAACATTGCAGGCTCATTTCCATTCACAAAGCCTGC
The DNA here is from genome assembly GCF_000001405.40 of Homo sapiens. Taxonomy (NCBI): domain Eukaryota; kingdom Metazoa; phylum Chordata; class Mammalia; order Primates; family Hominidae; genus Homo; species Homo sapiens. The sequence continues at coordinate 33,320,961 of NC_000015.10, read as the reverse complement.
TCATATTTAGAGTGAAGCAGAATGCCAGGAATCAAGACTATGGAATAATCCCAGGGGATTGTCCCTTTGTACTTTCCAATAATAAAATGACTGTGCAATGACATTTGGAATAGCTAGTGTGACTAATGTCAATGTTTACACTGTTTTGTTGAGACAATAATAAATAATATTTATTGAGGATTTACTATATGTTGAGCACTGTTCCAAGTACCTCACATGGATGAACTCATTTAATCCTTGCAACAATCCTCTCAGATAGGCACTATTATGACCCTCATTTAACATGAGAAAACAAGAACAGAAGTAAGGAAACTTCCCCAAGGTCATACCTTTCAACAGGAAAATTTTTGTACCATAGAAACATGGAAAAGTTAAATTAATTGTTATAAAGTCATCTGAAGTGACTGATATCCTTGCTACCTCAAAGTAAGTCTGAGCTCCCTCTTGACCCTGAGCTGTCAAAAACAACAAACATTAAGATGTCTTTTTCATCTATGTAACTTCCAGTAACTTGTTTAAGGCTGGGTGGAGAGTAATTGGTCAATACATGTTGAATGCACACCCTGCTTTCTTTAGATTTCATGATGTCTACATCCATATGATGATTTTAAAGGGTGTTTTAAAGACTAGCAAGATCTGAATTCATTTTGATGATAAAGCCTATCATTTATTAAGCCCATTAATCTGTCTGCCTGCCAATCTCTCTTTTATACCCTGTGATAAATGATACACTGTCTTTAAGGTTGACATTTTTATCCAAGGACCATGATGTGTATTGTGAGCCTGATCCTATCATGAAAATATTCATGCATTCTAGGGAGTGCTTTCATTCAAACAGATTTGGAGTGCTTATTTGCAGCTGCACAATGGTAGGCAGCTCAGAATCTTGCTGCAGATGTGTTTTGCTTGACTGGCAGTGTTGAGAATTTTTTTATTTGAACGTACAGATCAGGCCCGCCTCTATTTGCAAATAAAGCCTGATTTACACATTTAGCTACCTGCTTGACCCCAAAGTGTTTAGATTTGTGAACTTTCCAATCTGTAGGTACCTGAGAACTTGGCGTAAACCAAATTTAAGACCCCTGTGTTCCTGGAGTTCCTAATGTATGGCTCATACTTTAGGCTGACGGAAACATTTTCAGGGAATAGGGCAACTATTATTCCAAGCTACTCTCTCCAGATTTACATATCTAGTTCTCCTGGAGGAAATGTGGAGTTTCTTCAGGACATCTCTGAGATGTAATCATTAATTATTACCATGCCTTTACAAATGGTTGAACTAGGACCTGGGAAGGGCAGGCAATCTCACAGGCATCTGGCAATAGAAATGCTGCCAAATATAGCAAACGCTTTACCTCTGACTTTACCCATCATTTGACTAGTATGTTCTTTGCTATATTTTTCTCCTAAAATGCCTCTTGCAAAGAGATGAGATCTGTTCAAGACCTCACTATAGTTTATTCTTGAACTGTTCTCTTCTAGCCAGCCTGGACAGAAGAGAGGATTACTTGGAGGAAAACCACTGTCCTAAATTGGAACAATAGCCAAGTGTCCTGGGTGACTGAGAAGGGACTTAGGAGGGGCTTATGCTACTCCAAGACCAGCTGTCCTATTTTGATCTGATCTCTTGGATTCGGCTTCTGGTCGATATGATGTGGTAGCCAACGGGATCTCTCCTTCTGCCCCGGTATTATTTACAGTCTGGATCTGGTCCATGGTATAGAGCAACACGATTCAAATCAATACTTCTCTTCTCACACTGTGGACATTTATGTGCCATTGATGGAGAACTTTCCATTCCTTCCTGTAGTCCCGCTGACTAGCTCTCTCTGCCCAGCCCCATTAGAGAACTCAACTGTGAAATTTTCAGAGTTGATGCCAGTACCTGTCACTGGTCGGGTGCAATGCCTTTACCTTCCAGTAAGAGCTTTTTCTATTTGCTCTGTTAGGGGATAAGCAGCTCCCCTTAGCACTTTCCCTTTTTTGCTATAGGAATTGCTTTGAAATGGTTTCAGGGGCTCTGGAGCATTTGCTTGGGATTAGTATGAGTGACGTGTTAATGAATACAATAACTGATAATGAGGTTTTGTCTCTCAAACACTTTTCTACTTCAGGAAGGAGGCACCTTAGTTCTCGTTTTGATGTAGAGTCACCTTATCTTACTGTTTTCTCTGATTATGAATTATTTAAAACAAAGTATGTATTAGCACCAGTCTTGATGGTGAATAATGCTCTTCTGAATGCCTGAAGGTTGGCCACTTTCTCCCAGGTAACTCAAGCCTTCTTCTCCTCTGCTCAAAGGTCTAAATAAAGATGGAGTCTGAACCGCCATCTCCAGAACCTAGATTCCTGTGCTTTGATGTATATTTCCTACTCAAGGTTCCCCAAGCACCAATGCGGTGCCCTACTCAGGCTTGCCCCTCTCAGCAATGCCCTCATGTGCTCTCACCTTTCTCCAACCCAATTCCTGTTCCTTCAGTAATAGGCTCTGCTCAGCTGTTAATGATGTTAATCATCAGTGGTACCTGCTGAGCTAACAACTTTGCATTTCAGCATTTTAATAGGGGGAATTTCTTGAGACAGTGCTTTATCCCAAAGACAGACCAAGGAGAAAGACATCCTTCTGGGTATCTGCAAGGGTCACAGTGACACTGACACCAACCCAGACTTTCATCTCTACACTTTTATAACAGGTGTGCTGCCTTGCTCATAATACTGGCTGGTTCCTATAGCATAAAACCACTTACAAACTCAACTCAGTAGAAAAACTGTTGATGGCCTGTACAATTCTGCACAGGCAGCAGCAGCTCTGTCTCCAGAGCTCTCTCTGCCTCCTTTGCACTCTGAAATAAGCAGCAGCAAGCAGCTGTCACCCCAGAGGGAAGAGCTCATGTTGAGTGTAATTTCTGAATCTCTTTGTAATCTGATTTTAGGATAGAGTGTTTGCTTTCCTTCTTCTTGGGCATTGAATCCAATAATAGTAAGATTCCTCAAGTATTGACAAGACTGCACAGGAGCAGAGAGACCTGAAATCAATGAGGAGTTCACTGTATAGGGAGGTGGAAGGTGAAAAAAGAAGGCCCTGGTGTCTCCATGCCTCCTCCTTGTAAAGCTATGTCCCACCTCAAAGGACAATAGCCCAGAGTATGACTGTAGAGTCAGCAATGTACTCTAAGCCAGAGGAGGGGAAAAGTGCATGTGAGGAGAGGAGGTATAGCTCTTTTATTCTGGAATACTGCATCATCAGTCTCAGAGATGATCTGAACTTTGTTTTCTAACAACCGGGAATCAGAAATGACATAAACAGAAAAAAAATAATCTTGGCATCTCAAGAGGCTCATCCCTGTAGCAGGATCAGGGCTGAGGTGCCAGCACTTTTTCTTCCCTCTCTCTGAATTGAAGAGGTGCTATGATGGCAAAATTCACTGAACCAAAGGAAACTGCAGTGACTGGAAATGTCTTTGTCCCTAAAACACCCCCCCTGACTTCCAAACAAGAAGATGGCTGAGAGGACACCAGCCTGGGGCCTGGAGGACCCAGTGTGGCTCCCCAAGGAGAACTGTGGCCCTACAGCCTCACCACTGGCTGGGCTCTCCACCCTAGAAGCATCTGCTTCATCCGGGTGCAGCCAAAAGGAACTCTTCAAAGGCCCCAACACCCTGAGCAGACATGACTAAAGCAGCAGAATCCCTGGGAGAAAAACCCGCTCTGGTTTTACAGGAAAGCAGGTCCCCAGTGCTTTGAGCGAAAGAAAAAATGGGCTCATAAAAGAAACAGGAAGGGGAATAGGAAGGATAGCTATGAAAGGAAGAGCTACGGGATTCAATAAGAAAAGGCGGTCCTATGGGAAACGGTAGCTTTGGTAATTTTCTGAGATGACAAAAAATAACTCTGAATGTTCTGTTTGGTGGCTGGGATCCTGGGAGGAGCCTACCTGGCCTTTTGAAGATTATCACACCCACTGCCTTGACTTCTCAAGTCTTTTAATCAAATAGCTTAAGAATAGTTGCAGTTGGCTTTAGAGAAGTAATTGCCCAGAGATCCTGGGGTGAGCCCAACACTAGAGGCTGTCCAACAGCTCTGGGATGGAGGGAAGGACCCGCAACAAAGACCATGTTAGAGATGGCGGCAACTGGGCTGGTTTTCCAACAAGATCTGATGATAAGAAAGGTCGACTTCCTAGTGCAGAAGAGACACAATGATAATATCCTATGAAACACAACTTATTGACTCATTTGGGGTAATATGTCTCTCATTTGGAATGACTATTGCCTCTCTCAACACTTCTGTTAACGCAGGTTCTATCTCCATACAGTGGGAAAAATGAAACCTCAATTTTCTTATGTGACTCCTTGAAGGTGATAGTGATCTAGACCTAAAAATAGGAATTCTTGCCTCTAAGCTCATTTTTTTTTATTATTACAGCATCCCACTCCTACTGGATAAATCTTGTATTAAGGGTAGCTTAAAGAACATATCTAATTTAGAAAGGTTTATACTGATATGAACTTGTGGGAAATTAACTAAAGTATTGGGTTCCTAAGACCTAGGACCGCCTGGGTCTGCACTTGAGATTGGTAAAGATCATTCAGAATAATGCCAAGTCAATTAGAAGATGATGGAGTTGATGGCTTCTAAGTTAAAAATTCTTTAAGCAGTAAGGTAAAGAAAAAGTCGAATTATAAAATAAAGATTCCTTTCTATGAAGGTGTAAAAATAACACAAAGCAAAGAGGCAAATAAGCACAGATAGCTATGCCTTATTTAAATACAAATCCTTCAAAAATAATTATCAGAGTATTTTTCTCTCCAGATAAATTCCTCCCACTCTTTTCTTTTTCACCATTTTTTTTGCCCTCAGATCAACCCTAAGGAGCTGGAGAAACCAATATTAGAAATTAAAATTTTCACTTGTGAAATATGTTATTTAACATATTTAATAATTATTCCTTGCTTAATAATCATAGTAGCATAAGAAAAAAAAACATGCACAGATGTCAGACACACATTCTTCAACTGCAAACCTATCCCTTGACCTCAGTCCTTATACAGTGGGCCGCATTGCATTCCAAATATTTCCAAGTTTGCAGTCATCACCACCTCCTTCCCAGGAGATCAGCAGCTTAAAATCCTTAGGACAACCCTGGACATGGCAATCTTGCCTTGGCAGAGAAGATATGTGCCACCACCCCCCTACTGCTGATGCGGCCTTTCTGATTCAAGTTAATTGCTTTGGAAAAAAGGATCCAGCCTCCTTCTCACCTCACCGGGAACGTTTCCCTGGAAAGGAGGGGATATTGTGTGTCCAGCTCGGCTGATATGGGTCTTTAATCAGATCAGCTCTGAGAAGCGAAGGAAGCAGAGACTGAGAAGATGGGAAGCCCTGAAGTGACCTTGGGAGGCCCAGAGTGTGGGAATATTCCGAGTTTTGTCATTTTAATCCTCAAACATAACTCAGCAGGAGAGCTTACAGTTCAGCTCTGCAGCAACTCACACTGCATGTCTGGGTATCTGAGGTCTGAATTTTAGCACTACCTCCATTGCTACTCACTAGCACCCAGAGCCTGGAGGAAGGTGTCCACCTCCTTTCCCTTATCTCCTTAAAGAAAATCTACCAAAACACAGGCTTCATGCAGCTGTTATGTAAATGGGCCCTGCCGCAGAGAGAAGAAAGCAGGCATCCATAAACCACCAGGTACAAGTTCACTGTCATTCCAACACAAGACAGCGCGCTCTGGGGAGGGACGAGAGACATGAGCTCACGTGAGCGCTGCAGCTCAAATTCAGGAATTTGTCCTGGGCACCCTGTAGGCAGGAACCCAAGACAAGGGACCAATCCTTGATTTTCAGCCCAAGTGCCTTTTCTCATCCCTCGAGAGCTGCAAATTTAGATGAAGGAGGACAACTTTCTATGGGGAGGTCTAAATTAGGCTGTCTATGACCAACCTTTAATTGAAACTAATGCAAACAAATGTCTATCTCACTCTGAGTTCCGTTTTTTGTTGTTGTTGTTTTTTTTTGGTTTTTTTTTTTGTTGTTTGTTTTCTTTGAGACTGAGTCTTGCTCTGCCGCCCAGGCTAGAGTCCAGTGGCGCAATCTCGGCTCACTGCAGGCTCCGCCTCCCGGGCTCACGCCGTTCTCCCGCCTCTGCCTCCCGAGCAGCTGGGACTACAGGCACCCACCACCACGCCCGGCTAATTTTTTGTATTTTTAGTAGAGACGGGGTTTCACCGTGTTAGCCAGGATGGTCTCGATCTCCTGACCTCGTGATCCACCCGCCTCGGCCTCCCAAAGTGCTGGGATTACAGGCGTGAGCCACCGCGCCTGGCTCTGAGTTCTGTTTCAATTAACATTGTGGTGGAAAGGCAGTTGGCAAGGAGAAGACTGTGATATTTTAAAAACAATAAGCTAAGGATTAGAGTTTTGTTTCGTTTTGTGTTTTTTAAATGGATACTGTAGTCTAAAGGAAAAAGTAGGAGAGAAAAGTTTTCTCCTAGCACTCTCAAAGCAGAATGTGGTGCCAGCTGCTCCACCGACTGTCTGAAGATGGGGTAATTGCCACTCTTCTCACCATAACTTCTTGCTTTCAGATCAGCGGCTGGCAGGTTTATCTGCTTCTGAGCAGCTTCAGAGCCACGTCAATGACACTGGCTACGTCAGCAAGAGCAATCGGAAGAGAGGAGGATGCCACTGCCAACAGCAGTGGGAGGGAAAATTTTAGCCTTAAAGATTCTGTCTATCTGCCTGATTCTAACTGGCATACATGACTGTCAGTGATTTCAGAAGGCCAGAAGAGGGTATATAGTTTTAGACTGCCTCCTTAAGGCTTGGGGTACAGTAGCATTTAGTTCACATGTGTTTAAGCTTCCAAAGCCCTTGTTTAGGTCTTGTTCCCTACTTAGGAGAGGGTGGGCTTCCAAATGTATCAGAGGACATAACCAAAATAAACACTACCACAAATAAGTGTCTAAAGCCACACCACACACACCTACAGTGGTTACTGCAGTAATTCTGGCTCATTTCACACTATCAATAGTTCTAGCTGCTTTCATTTTTGGCACTATTATAACAAACCTGACACTACAACCACTAACAATTTGATTAGGATCCTTGGCATAATGCTATTGTATGGTCTTTTTTTGTAAATAGGTTAAAAGCTTCTGCTCTCTGGGATGGCAATCCTTTAAAGTTCATGGTTACAAAGATATGATTCTATTCCATGGTCCAGTATGAGTCACCTTCTCATCCAGGACCATGTCGATGTGAGGAAGCATTATATATGACTAATACACTGCCAAAATGCTTTTAAAGGTGTTGTCTGGGGAGGAGAAAGAAAGCCTAAGGCAAAGGTAACTGAGTGAGTTCAAAGTGAAATAGCTTCCCTAACCCAGACATACCCAGAGGAGAGAAAAATCCCACTGCTAGCACAAGCCTGGTGTTCCCAACTACCCTAAAGTCAAAATTTTGTGCAGAGATCAAAAGCTTATGGCTATTGGATTCCAAAAAATCATTTTGTCGAATTCACAGATGAAGAAGGAGGATGCCAAGCTCAGAAAGCTGCAGTACTCCTCTTATGTTCTTAGGTATATTCTTAAGACTATATATAACATCTGGCGTAACGCTCAATGCCAGGCTCTAGCGGGAATGTAATTGAACATTGTATAATGAAAATTACCAATAACTTGTCAACAGCTATGTTCAAGTCACTCGATTTCCTGTGCTTCAGTTTCATCACCTATTTCCTTCCCAGTGAGCTAAAAACAAAGATGTTAAGGTGCCTCATAGGGTGAAGAAATGAGGAACACACCTTAAAAAATACATAAGGTGATAACTAGAAGGAAAAGAACCAATAACGCCACATTTGGAGTCACTGCCCCCATGGTTACCACCATCACTCGCTCTAAGCCATAACCGGTATGCAGTTCTCTGCAACAGGGGCTCTGAACCTGGGTCCTTGAACCCCACAGGCTGTCATGGGTGTACTTTAAAAGAGGTCTGCCAGCTCTGATCTCTAGGGCAGGAAGCCCAGGACACAAAACTTAAGAACCACTACTATAGTAAACCTTGGCTACAGGTGTACCAAAAACAAACAAAAACAAAAAACACTTACAATGCCAGATGGAGAGGAAAAGTCAGGGAAGATGGCTCAGAAGCCAAGAGAAAAGCATAAGGATCTCACAACAACTACCACCTTCCTAAGCCTCAACTCCCTGGGACATCTATTCAACACTGACCCTGTCTGAAGATAATTTTTTCAAGCAATAACGCCTAGAAGATCATTAATAATAAGGAGAAGAAATGACTGATCATGGAGGACACAAGGCAGAAAAAACCTGAGCTGCCACCCATCCACTACTAAAGACACCTGTCAGAGGGACAACCAAAGGATTTGATGGAGCTTTGAGGGGAGCAGGCAGCTTTATAACAATAGGGTTGTCATGAGTTGCAACTGTGGGGCCATCTTGTGTGCAGTGTGAGAGATGAGAATGGAGTCTGGGTCTGCAGGTCAGACGAAGGATGAAGAGATGAATACTCTAGCCTCTCAGTAGTACCAGCAGGGCGATAGGTACTTCCATACCCCCCCCAAATAAGACCCAAGTCCCAGCTTTGACAAAAGAACCATGTTTGGAAGAGAAACTGAAGTAAATTGGAAGGAAGCGCTTCAACAGGAGGAGAGTGGTTCAAAAGATGGACAAGAGGTAAGTTGTGATCTTCGAAGACCAGGTCATGGAGAAGGGGGCACCCTTAAAGGGAAGTGAGAGAGGGAAAGAAAGAATTTCATTCTAATTCCTGAGAGCAAGGCAGCGCATATAAAATTACCTAAGATTTACAGAGCGATTTGCCGTTTACAAAACATTATGACATTCACGATAACGTTTAATCCTTATCACCCTGAAACGCTGGTTACATTTTATTTTACACATGAGGAAACTGAGGCTGAGTAGGGCGGATTATGCGACTTGCTCAAGGTCACTTGGCTGAAGTCAGCGCTAGGATGCATCCCCAATGCCCCCACCCCTCCGGGTGGCCGTCCACCCTGAAAGTCTTTGTATTATCTCCTACAGGGCAAGGCTGGTGTGGCTGCAACAGACTTCGCCCCCTCACCCCCAAATCTGGGACGGAGCAGCGCCCTCAGGTGTCAAGGAGGGGACCTGAGTGACGCGGAGCCACTGACTGGGGTTTCCCTGTCCTGCGGGGCTCGCGGGAGCCAGGAGCAGAAGCCACAGCTCTCGAACACACGACAGGCAGTCAGTCAAGTCAGGCTCCAGCAGCAGTTGCCGGCGTGGGGCTTAACACGAGAGGGGCAGCGCTGGGTGAATTCCCCTCCGAGCGATCCCAGGGCTAGGACCAAGCGCCTGCGCCCGCTTCTCCGACCCGGCTCCCCACACTCCCCCCTGCCCCGCTGGCTCCTTCCCGGAGGTTCCCCTGTGCGTGGGGGCGCCCTGGAAGAGGAATGGGGCTGGGGTGGAGTATGGAGGTGTCAGAGGGCCGACCCCGGGGCGAGGGCTTCCAACGCCGATCTTATGGGTCAGGACAACCGCGAACAAACCCCGGCTGAAGTTTGGGCATCAAGGGTTTCAGACCAAGTAGCAAGTTGCCTGGAGAGCGAGCGGTCCTAGGTGGAGGGCCTGGGGCAGGGGTGGCGGTAGGGGAACAAGGGAGAGGCAGGAGATGGTGCCCCTTCCCACGCAGCCCCTCGCGGCCCCGCGGGTAGGTGGCCGGTCCGCCTCTGCAGCCCGCGGGTGCGGAGAAAGCGCCCGGCACCGGGCACCCGGCACCGCGGCGCAGCGCAGCCAGCCCCTCCTCGCCGCGCTCCGCGCTCCTCCCCACCTGCCCACGGCCTCGCCCCCGCCGCGGAGACTCACAGTCCTCAGAAACTGGATCTCGTCCTCGCCTCCTTCTCCCCCTTCGGCCATGGCTCCCGAGGCGTCGGCGGTGCCCCAGCCTCCGGCGCCTCTGCTTCCCCCGGCAGCCGCTCGGCGTGCGCTGACTGCTGCTGCGCTCTTTCTCCTCCTCCTTTTCGTCCTCGTCCTCCACCTCCTCCTCCAGCTCCTGGCTCAGCCTCAGCCTCAGCAGCGCCAAGCTAATCCCCGACCATATAGGGAGCTGGGCTAACACTCCACTGCACTGCAGAGCGCCAACGCCAACCAAGCAGTCCGCCCACCCCTCTCGCCTCTCGCCCCAGCCAAGTGCGCTGCGGCCGCCCGCTCCGTGGAGAGCGCAACGCTGGGCGCGTCGAGCTGGCGGGGGCGGTGCGGGGGCCCTGGGCTGGCGCGGTGGAGCCTCCCCCGCACCGCTGGGTACCGCACCGCACACTCAGCGGAGGCGCGCGCCCCGCGGCGACCGGAGGATGTCCCCTAAACTGCTCCAATTCACAAACAAAGGCCAGTTGCTTAGCTCCAGCGCGCCCAGACTGGGTACCAACCCTCTCGCTTTGCTCGCTTTGCCCGCTTTGCCCACTTTGCCTGTGTGTGTGTGTGTGTGTGTGTGTGTGTGTGTGTGTGTGTGACAGAGATAGAGAGAGAGAGAGAGGAAAGAGAGAGACAGAGACAGAGAGAGAGAGAGAGGAAAGAGAGAGACAGAGACAGAGAGACAGAGAGAGGAAAGAGAGAGAGACAGAGACAGAGAGAGAGAGAGAGAGAGAGAGAGAGATCTGGACTCGAATACCTTGCTAGGACCCGCGTGCATTGTTGGGCAAGGAGAAGACGGTGCAGTGAGGAGCGAGGGTGATTGTCCACTTACAACAAAGTTTGCAACTCCCTGGATAGTCCTTTCTACACCTTAAGAGAACCCCTTCCCCTCTTCAAAATTGGTAAGTACACTTTACCAAACCCCTGGATTGTCCAGGGTTGCTGTGACTTCTGTACCCCAGGGAGCTTCTGGGGGATCCTGTGCCACCCTCAATTTGGAAGTCAGGTGGCATCACAACCCTTCCTCTCTGCCCACCCCTAACCTTATTCTGCATTTAGAGTTCCAGCCCTGTGGACTCTAAAGGGAGTAGAGAGTAGTTACAGGAGGCTCCCTTCCAGGTCCTGGAAGGCTCCTACATCCCACCCAGCCTTAGGTCCTTTTCCATGGTTGGGGATTGCCAGATTGGTCCTTGCCTTGACTGACGGTGCAGGGTGCCCCCTTCTGTTTGATGGCCGAGAAGCTCCAAGGCAAGAGACTGTTCAAGGCAAAAGGCACCAGAGATGTAGATTTAGGAGGAAGTGCAACTGGGAAGGTGGTAATTCTGGGCTGATGATGGTGGAAGACACTGGAAACCCCAAGCCATTTCACAGCTTCATATACCGCCTCCTTGTGGACGACATCTATCTCTTGATGCTACCTTAAGATCTCTTTCCTGAGCTTCCGTCCCATATGTTCTGATGAACATCAGAAATGCAAAGAAAAATGTTTTTTTCTTGTATTGTACTCAAACTGCTACCTTCTAGGCTTCAGCTTGGGCCTTGTGCCTCTTCTGAAACCCGCCTAGAATAAGTCAAACCATCTGTACATTGTGGCCCTTCACCTCTTAGAAGGCATCTGCCATGCTTGCCTCTATGGCCCACCATCCACTCTTTTCTTCTCCTGGCTCAAGGTTCTTCTTAGCCCCAACTTTCCCTGTAGTATAGTTTCCAGAGCCTATGTCATCTTTGATGGCCATATGAGCATTCCAGGTGGTCTTCTTCCTGAATTGTTGTGCTCTCCGTCCTTGTTTTGGACAGTCTTTATGTGCAGCCTAATATTGGATTGGCTTCTGGAGAAACACTAATGACACTCACTGTGTTTGGAGTTAACTAGAATTTCTAGATTTACTTTTTTCCTCCCACGTGAACTGCAAAAGTCAGCTCTTCTCCATCTTGATCACATGCAAGTGCTTGAGTACCTGTGGGCACGGTGGCTCACGCCTATAATCTCAACACTTTGGGAGGCCAAGGCGGGTGGATCACCTGAGGTCGGCAGTTCGAGACCAGCCTGACCAACATGGAGAAACCCCATTTCTACTAAAAAAAAAAAAAAAATACAAAATTAGCCGGTCGTGGTGGTGCATGCCTGTAATCCCAGCTACTTGGGAGGCTGAGGCAGGAGAATCGCTTGAACCCGGGAGGTGAAGATTGCCGTGAGCCGAGATCATGCCATTGCACTCCAGCCTGGGCAACAAGAGCGAGACTCTGTCTCAAAAATATGTGTGTGTGTGTGTGTGTGTGTGGGTGGGTGTGTGTGTGTTCCTTCCAATTGTAATACCCAATCATGTATTGATGTCTCTATATGTGAACCTTTAAGGTATTTTTAAAGCTAGAGTATGCCAGGCAAGGTGCTAATTATTACTAACCTGTGATATGGCATACCTTCAGAATACTAATAGAGGCCCTCTTGGATTAACTTTCATACTTTTGATTATGCTTAATATGGCATACCTTCAGAATACTAATAGAGGCCCTGTTGGATTAACTTTCATACTTTTGATTATGCTTATTTAATGATCAAGAACTTACCTAAGTCAGAAAAATAATACCTATTGAGTACTATGCTTATTACCTGCGTGACAAAATAATCTGTACACCAAACCTCCATGACATGCAGTTTACTTATGTAACAAACCTACATATGTACCCTTGAACCTAAAATAAAAGTTATAATTAAAAAATAACCTACATAAATATATTATTTTGCAGCCCAAATTTCTTCTTGTTCATAGGGCTACTATAAATGCCTTTCTTACATACTTTACTGAAATACAGATATGTAATCTGGGACACCACCTCCCGCATCAGTCAAATAACCCTACCACAAAAGAAGTAAGAATGGAGTTCTGTAACACCATTGGTGCATCCACTTGGATTCCTGATGGTCTTTGTGTTCCTTTAGAGTTCCCAAAAGTAAGCTGTTTAATTATCAAAATCTAAGATTGTTCTGGAGCTCAGCGTATAAAAGAGTCTCAGGCTGTTGTTTCAGACTGTAAACTGGGGAAGGTGGACATTTACTTCTATTTGAAATCTATTGGTACTTCTTCCATTCTCTAAGATTTCCCAAAGATGCACCAATAATGATGCTGTAGTCATACAGGTACAGATAAATAGTAGTTCAGACACTGTGCTTTGATACTTGTTTTGCTATTAGTTCACCCATTAAGACCGGGAGAGAATAAACTAATAGTAAGTTACTTGTCTAAATTCATACATCTAGTAAAAGGAGTCACACAATCTCCTCTTACTTGGAGTAAAACAATCTCAATACTTTTCAGTACTTTCTCCACTATAGTGCCTTGCTTCTAGAACAGCAAAGTGGAAAACATCAGGTTCATACACCACCTCCATGCCCCCATACCCCATACACATTGGGTTTGCTTCCACACAGCCTATATTTTAAACTGAGTCTCTCTCAAGACCAGTTACTCTTAGTAGAGAGCCGGAGGACTTGGACCTTAGGTCTTAGAGGGTACTGTAGCTACTACATTTTGAAAGAAAAACCCAAAGCCTCCCAGGTTTCTAAACCTCTGGAGAAAGCTATCAGCCATTATTATGACTTCAATTAGGTGCACACAACAGGGAAATCAAATACCTTTGGGATACTGGCATGGTTCAAAGTCAGACCTCAAAGCCTGCTGTATTTGAATGTTGGGGCACTCTGCAGCCAATATCAACAGCAGGTGGAGAGCCTGTAGTGGGGGCCAAATCAGAAATTTTTCATTTTTATCATTATAGCACTTTTATACCTTTTACATATACAATTTTAAAGGCCTGACATTGAAATATTGTTATTCAATATTGACTATTGAAATAAAATTCATGTATTTATTTTCTCCTCTGGAGGTTCTCAAAGTATTGGTCCTAAGGATTTTCTCACATAAGAGGGCCTCTTATTTGTGTTTTAACAGTAATATTGCTATAGTTTTAAAATGCTAATGAAAATGTCCACACTCATATAAGTCAGTATCTCATTTGCTATGTTGTATTATTCATGGTAGCCAGTTGCCCAAGTGGTCTCAATGAGGCCAAGGATATGGATTCAGTTCTAGGAGGGCCAGTTAGCTTCACTCCATTTGCTGTCCAAAGACTCTGGCCCCTTCATTCTGGTTAAAAGTCTCATACATCTTTGTTCATTTAGCCATAGGGGAGGCAGGCTTAAGCTTTAACAAGCTAGGACTTCCCATGCTTGGAGACACAGAAGCTAAGAGGTCACACTTGATAAAGATAGCCTTCACCCATGTTACTAGCAATATATTAAATTCTACACAACACTAAATCTTTCTCCAATATCCATTTCAGCCTCACTTCCTAACTATAGCAGCCATCCATTTGCTGAAAATGCATTTCTTCCATTAATTGCGCTCATGGCTTTGGTCTGCATTGACTCAGGATTTGCCTAAGGAACATATAAAAGGGAATGATGCAAAGAACTGTAGAGTTGAGGGAACTGACTCTGCTAGCTACCATCTTTTAAAATATCTCACCATATACACAAGTACTATTATATACTGACTGAAGATTTATTTGTTTTTCATTAGCAAAAAGAAAAAAAAACACTTTTCTCTGCTTTTTGTTCAGGTGTTCCAAGGCAAGAAGTTATTTTCACCAGGGAAGCCTGTGAACAGAAAGAGCTCCTGAGACTACACCTGCTTTTAATTTGGTGTCAGTAGGAACGATGGTATACACATTTTACAAAAGTCATTTTTTAATGTTAAGAAAAAATTATCAATTGTTTCCAAGATCTTTATAATAAGCTACTAAATTGGTATACTAATATAGCTTTGTCCTAAAACTTGGAAGCCATACCAAAAATCCTTGATTCAGATTCCTTTCTAAAATAGACAGGAAACAGGTACAAAAAAAAATCTTTCTTTTTCTGATGATATGTGCATTATCTTGTTTATAAAAGCCACGGACATCGCAACTGCTTAACACAGGCAAGGATCCACTTACTGATACCTTCCTGAAGCTGAACACATGGAAATGTCGTCGTTGCCACTGCCTCCTCCTTCTCCGCCTCTTCCTCTTCTTCTTCCTCCTTTCTTTTTCCTCTTTTTCTCCTTCCTCTACTCCTTCTTTTTCACCTTCTCCTTCTTTTTCCTTTTGATGTTTTAAGATTGGAGGATTACATTATAAGGCAAAAGTTAATATGCCATTCTGGCGAAAGGCTCCGGAAACTAAATAAAGAGGGGGCTTTCTCCCAGCGGGGCTGGGGCAGCCTCTGAGGCACAGCAGAGATAGAGGCAAGCTGAGCACACTTGCAGAAGCCTAGGAGGCAGATCTTTTGCAAGGTGCCGTCCATTGAACTAATTCATCTTCAAGGAGTCTCCAGTTGGAAAGGGTTGTTAAAGCAATAGATTAAGCCACCAGCATTATAGTAGTTTATTTGCATTTCCCTGCAGGTCAGCCTCTGTTTAACAGTAAATTTATACTGTAATCATTGTGTATTAGACATTAGAAATTAGACATTTGACATTAGAAACACTAGAGTTTGAGTCCTGGGCAAAAGTCTACCATTTGTATGATTCTGAGCAAATAATTTAAACTCTCAAAGCCTGTTTTCATTTTATGAAAATACCCACTTTTGTGTGTATTTTAAAGATTAAATGACTGGGTGATTAGAATGTTTAGCAGAATGTCTGGTAAAACTGCTCAGCACAAAACACCTAGATATTCCTTGCAGATCAGTCCCTGTCCTCCTTTGTGTTGGTTTCCAACGCCTGCCTTTCCGGTCTATTTGTATTCTTGCCTCTCTTAAAGTTCTATTCTTATTCGACTTTTATGAGGCCTTTACTCACACAAAAAGAGACACAATGTTTCTGATTTCAGCAAACGATTTCCTGCCCCAATAAGCAAAACATTCCGGGCAGATCTCATGTGTTGCAAGTTAATGGTGAACACCAACACTGCTTTTCTGTGTTTGTTTCCTAGGGAGTTTGTTCTGAGCTGTATTGTGTTTGCATCTTTAATGAGAGATGTATTCTGTTGCTATGGCATATTGAAATTTGTGACTTCCTCTGGAAGGTGGAATTGTCACCTTCCACCCCCCTCAGGTTTTCCCTTGGGCTTTATGAGATTGAGATCTAGTGGCTTATGAAACTATACTTAATCAGATAAGTCTCACACTAAACTCAGTGCCTTTGACTTCTAATTTCTGCATTTTAATTCTTCCTGTAATTCAGTGGCACAGATTTATTGAAGCTGCTGCCAGCAACAATTTGCTCTGATTCGCTGCAGTTTTAATAGTTCCTGCTGAAATAGGTGGGCACACAGTGGGAAAGGAGATGAACACAGTTGTTTGTCATTTATTTCAGGTGCCAGGGTAAGACCCACATTTCAGTAGGCAAAAATGTAGGTAAATGACTTTTATGCTGGTTCTAGGGTAACTATATGTAACTATATGGCCAACTCCCAGGTTCAACTTGTCCCTACAGCCTGTTCTGAGCAGATCTCATTTCCAGTATCTTTGAGCTGGTGAAATTTCCTTTAAAATAATTCAAGGAATCTAACAAAGCAAATCCTTGTTCTCTCTGCACTAAAGGACACACAATTTCTCTTAGTATCAGAGCTCCAGTGTCCTAGGATGTTAGCTCTGCCTTGCAATTCATTGTCAGAATGTTGCTGTTGTCGCCAACATGCATGGCAGAATGCTGTGGACTCTAAGTTCAGGAGGCCTGCAGTGCTGCTGGGTGGCTCCCGTTGCTCTCATCTGAGGTCCAAACAGAAGTCAGAGACCTTAAACTACCACATTTGTACCTTATCATACAATCTAGAATTGAGAATGTAGAACCTAAGTTCAATGAGTGCATAGACCAGTAAAAATGTACAATTTTCAGCTGTATCATGGGGTTGCCATGTTTTTATGTTGCTATTAAGCACATTGATAATCAAACTGCTAATTAATGGCTATTACCATTGTATAAAAGAAAGGACTTTTTAACATAAGACAGTAAAAAGGACAAATCTTAGAATTAAGAATAAATTTGACTTTATGAATAACTCACTACATAATCTCTTTCTTTCTCTGCCTCTCTCTCTTTATCACTCACTCTCTCTCCTTTTCCCGCAAAGGAGATGAAAACCTCATCAAGACCAGCACGGATTTGGGAATCACCAATAGAGTCAACCCCTCACTCTAAGATGAGGAAACTAAGGCCCCCTAAGGTGAACTGTGAACTGAATTGATGAAAGCTGGGATCAAAGCCCAGATCTCTGGGCTCCTTGTCTGGTATTTATCTTCCCTGCTTTCTTCATAATTAAATTCAGTGTAATGACGCAGACGTAGAGCAAGATCCTGGAGTGTCTTCTTAATCATCAAATATTGTCCTCTATAAAGTTATAATGTTTAGTGAATTTGCTGTAGTCTCATTCTTTTAAAAATGGCTAACACATGTGTGAGAATTCGCTAGTGACCACCTAGAGTGCTTGTTCCCTAAGGGATTATTGACTATTCTTTAAAACTATAACAACAGACAACAACAACAACAAAAAGGAAAATAAAATTAAGGTTGAGCTTAATCACTTCACTCACTTAAGTACTTATTACACGTAAAAGCAGTGTGTTGAGGAGGTTTTGGGATTGGTGAATCTCATGTTGAGGTGGTTTTAGGATAGCCCTTTACAAACATAAAATATTAAATTACTAAATTGCATGACTGTACTAGTCCATTTTCACGCTGCTGATAAAGACATACCTGAGACTGGTCAATTTACAAAAAAAAGGAAAAAAAAGGTTTAATGGACTTACAGTTCCAGGTGGCTGGGGAGGCCTCACAATCATAACAGAAGGCAAGGAGAAGCAAGTCACGTCTTACATGGATGGCAGCAGGCAAAGAGAGAGAGTTGTGCAGGGAAATTCTCGTTTTTAAAACCATCAGATCTCGTGAGATTCATTCACTATCATGAGAACAGCACAGGAAAGACCTGCCCCCACAATTCAATCCCCTCCCACCAGGTTCCTCCCATGACACGTGGGGATTGTGGGAGTTGCAATTCAAGATGAGATTTAGGTGAGGACACAGCCAAACCATTTCAATGACTTACACATTACTTCACATTTTTCATATCCTTCCACTTCTTAGTTTCTACCACAACATTATAGTCTATGGCCTCAAACGCTGAGACACCTTAAGCACTCTTTAATTGTGATTCTTGTTCTTCTCAACCCTTTCAGTATTTGGCCCTGTTGGTTCATTACTATTTATTGAAACTACTCCCCATCCTTGGGGTCCAGGTCCTAGCACTATCCAGACTCTTCTACCTCTCTGACCCTTCCTTCTTGATTTCATTTGATGAACTCTCTTTCTCATCCTGATATCAGAAATGGACATTCCCTAAGATTCCAAATTTGAACCTCCTTCATTTTCTGCAAACTCATCTTATCCTCTTTCATGACTTTAGCCACCACAGTCTCTATGCTCAGATCTTTATTGCCAGGTCTTCCAAGTTATAGATTTACTTTTCTAACTGTACGATGGAGACTTCCAACTGTGTGTATCACCATTTCTTCAAATGCAACATGACTAAAACAGAATTTATCCTGTAAGTAAGTACCCTCCCCATGAGCTCCCCTTTTCCAGACCTACTGGCTTCTCCTTCCTCCCAGCCTTTCTATCTCTATTATTGCTACCACCATCCTTGGAGGAACAATGACTGACACTGGCAAAGGAACCAGCAGAAATAATGAGTCACTCAGTCAAGACATCAGGACACACACTTCTCCCTGCCGCATTGCCCCTCTACTGGCTTCCACAACTGAGTTTGGTGTGTGAAAAACAAAACAAAACAAAGCAAAAAAAACTAACACTTCTGATAAAGAGATGCCTTCAAACAACAGACAAAGGTTATCTAGACCTAAAACACTTCAACACAAAGACAGGATTCAGGAGTTAATGAGAGAAATTGAGCTTTGCCAAGGACTTCTGCAAGGAAGCTAAGATTCTCATCCAATGGGCAGAGTACCTACCTGGATCAGCACATTTCAGAGTCTCTTCAATTTGGAACCCTTTGCTTTGAATCCTGGCACCAACACTGTTTAGCTTTGTGAACCTGAGTAAGATACCTAACCTTGCCTTGTCTCAATTTTCTTATTTAAAAAAGGAAAGTAAAATTTAAAAACAAATTTAAGAGGATGATTGAAGAATTGAAAAGTCAGTATCTCTATAAAGTTTTGGGTTTTGTGTTTTGTTTTTTTTTTTTTGACGGAGTCTCGCTCTGTTGCCAGGCTGGAGTGCAGTGGTGTGATCTCGGCTCACTGCAATCTCCGCCTCCCAGGTTCAAGTGACTCCCCTGCATCAGCCTCCCAAATAACTGGGACTACAGACATGCACCACCACACCCAGCTAATTTTTTGTATTTTAGTAGAGACAGGCTTTCACCATGTTGGCCAGGATGGTCTCTATCTCCTGACCTCTCGACCCGTCAGCCTCACCCTCGCAATGTGCGGGGATTACAGGCGTGAGCCACCACACCCGGCCATCTATAAAGTTTTTAGAACAGTGACTGGCAATGAGCAGATGGATGCTGATTTACTGTCTGGTTTCTCCAAAAGCAGACCCTGATTTCGGAGATGATCCCAGAAAGTACCAGTAAGAGTGAGAAAGTGAGACAGGAAAGGGAAGGAAGCCAGTAAGGAGCAAGTTATCAAGCAGGTTACCACTGTGCATGAGGAGCCCAGTCTCACTGGGGAACTCTGGGAACTAGTGAGGAACATGCACTTCAGAGTCACCCTCAGAAAAACAAGGAAGCTGGGGTATTTACACGCTAACTCCGGTCAGTCACTGGGTGAAGGCTGCTCCCAGGGTGTTAATTCTCTGGCACCTTCAGCCTGCTCCAGCTGCCAGAGAAAGCCCTTGGGCAGTTGGAAATTGGGCTGCCAAATACCCAACAATGGGAGGAAACCCAATGTTCAATAAATATGCCATCGTCATCATCACCACTGACAACCAAAGGCAAAACCTATGAAAACAGGCTATTCCGGCTGAAGCTGCAGGGAGAGATGTGGATGGGGGTCCCAGGATTTGGCACTGGGTGCCCAGTGATCTCATAGTAGGTGAGGTACCTGACTCAGCTCTACAGAACCCTAGGGATTCGCAGACCAATTTGGGGAGCACAGTTCTTAGCATTTGTGAATACTGGGAGTGATTCAAAGAACATAAAAATGGTATATTTAACACACCTGTTATAAGGAAAGGAAGCTTCAGGTAATGAGTATACTATCACTGGCAGTGATTCAAATAAGATAAAAATCTACCTCTCTCAAGGAACTGCAGCTTAGTTTCAAAGACAAAATATGAACATAGTACAGTAAAGTAAGCAGCAATGCAAGTTGAGTGTCCAGGGAGTGGAGTAGAAGTTGAGTGTCCAGGGAGACTACCACTGGCTGAGGTGGTCAGAAGGAGCTCCCATGAGTAAACAAGATTAAGCTTAGCCCTATGGGATGATTTCTTTTTAGGCTCGCAGAACAGAGGCAAAGATACAATGATTGGGCCCGAGAGCTCCCCTGATTGAGATGCTGGTTGTCATGTGGAAGGCCTGGGGCCGGGACTGCTGCTTCATGCAACCCCTCAGTTATGCTGGACTAGGCAAAGTGCTTTACTGAGTGGCAATGCCGTTCTTCAAAAATCATCACTTCCAGAGGTAGATCCAGCTTTCATCCTCTCTCTATCCCTGCCCTGCCCTTCCATGTTAAATATTCTCTCTCATGTCATGATAATAGCTATCAACAACCCTGTGAAGTAGGCATTTTTACTGCCATTTTACAGATGAGGAGACTGAGAGTAAGGGTTAAGAAATCTCCCTAAGGGTTCTCGGCCAGGCGCGGTGGCTCACGCCTGTAATCTCAGCACTTTGGGAGGCTGAGGCGGGCGGATCACGAGGTCAGGAGATCGAGACCATCCTGGCTAACACGGTGAAACCCCATCTCTACTAAAACTACAAAAAATTAGCCGGGCGTGGTGGCAGGCACCTGTAGTCCCAGCTACTCGGGAGGCTAAGGCAGGAGAATGGTGTGAACCCGGGAGGCGGAGCTTGCAGTGGGCCGAGGTTGCACCACTGCACTCCAGCCTGGGCGACAGAGCGAGACTCTGTCTCAAAAAACAAACAAACAAAAAAGAAATCTCCCTAAGGGTTCTCAGCTAAACTGGGATTTAAACCCTAGTCTATCTAATTTTAAAGCCAAACCAAATCACTATGCTTTAATGTCTCCAGTTCAAGCAGAGAAGAAAAAAACACTCTTTTAATTACTTTAGATTTGAGATAGTCAAATTAGATCCTACAGATTGATCCAAAGCACTTGTATTTAGAGGTTGATTATTCTTCCTCATTATCAACACAGCTATGGATACTACTTCTAAGGCTACACAGCAACTGCTGCAAGCTTATGGAGAGCAGTTTGGGAAGGGACAAATGAGAATAGATTGAAATCCACTTGAGTGACGGCTTCCCTGCCTTGGTCAACAGACGGTACATTTATGGCATTCTTGGATCTCTAGAAGTAGAAGAATTCCTTGAACTCTGAGTTCAGGCCCATTTCTGCCAAATTGCAAGGCTTATTTAGCTATTACTTAACATTCCATCTGTTACCTTTTGGCAGGTTTTTAAAAAATCAAATATACTCATTACCTGAAGCTTCCTCTCGTCATAACAGATGTGTTAATGATATCATTGAGGCATTCATTCATTCATTCATTCATTCCTAAAAAGACAGCTTAGAAAGTAGAGAGGGTAAGCCGGGCGCGGTGGCTCACGCCTGTAGTCCCAGCACTTTGGGAGGCAGAGGCGGGCGGATCACGAGGTCAAGAGATCGAGACCATCCTGGCTAACATGGTGAAACCCCGTCTCTACTAAAAATACAAAAAATTAGCCAGGTGTGGTGGCGGGCGCCTGTAGTCCCAGCTACTCGGGATGCTGAGGCAGGAGAATGGCGTGAACCCCGGAGGCGGAGCTTGCAGTGAGCCAAGATCGCGCCACTGCACTCCTGCCTGGGCGACAGAGGGAGACTCCGTCTCAAAAAAGAAAGAAAGAAAGAAAAGTAGAGAGGGTGAAATATTAGCCTTGATGTACAGTTAAGGGAAGAGACATGACCAATAATGACCCTTCAGTTTGGTCTGACACCTCCATTCCCTGCAGCCCAGTCAGAATCCCTTGAGGCAAAAGCACTGCAAGATTCTGGAGTAGATCAATGACAGGGCAGGTGCAGTCTCTGCTCAGCATTCCATTTAAGTGATTCCTCGCCAGTCTCTGAGGCCAGACGTCCTGTCTATTTTTTTTAGTAGGTAACTCCCTGACCAGGCACTGAAAATCCTTGGGTAAAAATCACAAAGTGATAAAAAGAACAAATGGGAAAAGATATCTGTGGAAGATATTTTCCAAATACTTTGGAAATCTTTTTGAATATTCTGGGCTCAGCAAGGCACTGGGCTCTCAGGGGCCATCTATGTACGAGGACATTGCCATTCCAAGATTAGAATTGCATGAAGCTAGCAGAAGCTTGGGAAGCTGATGTTGAAAATTTAAGACTAAATCCCTAAGAGGCAGCATTTATTCTTAATTGCCCAGCAGTAACATTGTGCTTTTCTCTAGAAGGATATACACGGTGATCTTTCTCTGAACTTTGAATGATAATAGTAGAGCAGTATCTGTAGTAGTAGTAGTATTAAGTTAACATTTCCTGTGTGCCAGGCACTATTCTGGTTACATGTATTAAGTCATTTAGTCCAATAGCCCTATGCGGTCAGTATTATTATTACTGTCCACGTTTTACAAATGAGTTAACTGAGGCACAGAACTCAAGTCATTTGCCATCCTTGGTTCCTTATCACATGGGCCGCTCCATAAGGTGACTTACAACATAGCAGCTTGCTTCACTAAAACAAGTACATGGGAAGATTCAGACAGACAGAGAGTGAAAGCAAGATGCAAACCTAATTGCAGAAGTGATATCACATCACTCTGCCATATTGTATTCATAAGAAGCAAATCATTAGCCTCAGCCCACACTAACAGTGATGAGATAACACAAAGGGCATGAATATCAAGAGGTGGAGTTCACTGGGACCATCCTAAAGGATTCCTTCCGCACGGTCTGACGACAGAGCTCGAGACCTTGACCAAAAGAAGAGACAGGTCACATTTTCCCTAGGCAAACTTGCAAGAACCAAACCTGTCTCAACAGAGAGTGCAGGAATGGGGAAGCTGTATCCCAGAGGCCAGCTCCAGCTAGGATTTAAAGTTAGTAAGTTTCCAGTCACTTGAGCTCCAAGAGTTATATTTTCCTACCTGGCAAACTCAGACAGCGATTCCATTCAGCACCAAGAATAAGGAAAATGAAGAGTTATGAATAATGATTATTTCTCGAATTCCTAATTTAAAGTTAGTGATAAGAGCAGTTAGACTCCGGAACAGTCACCCTTTCCTCTCTGTTCCTGTCCCTGGGCCTCACCCCTCTCTAATTTTGCATGTCTCTCTGTGGCAGTTTCCAGGCTTTCCTTGTCTCTCTTCCTTCCATTCCCCACCTCTTGACCAGCTTTCTCTTTCTATCTTACTGCTCTGTATTTTTCTTTTCATTTTTTAGTCCCTAGGTGTTGAATTTTTTTAATTTATAAAACATTTTAGGGAAGGAGAAGTTGAAAAATTTACAATAAAGTAATGCACTCGTCAGTTTTATGTCTCATCTTGGCTAAGCTATGATCTCCAGTTATTCAACCAAGCACTAATCCAGGCATGTCGTGAAAGCATCTTGTAGATGTGATTAATATCTACTATCAGTCAATTTAAGGTAAAGGAGATTATCCTGGATAATCTGGGTGGGCCTGATCTAATTAGTTGAAACTGAGGTTTCTCTGCAGAAGCAGATATTTTGCCTGAAGGCTGCAACATCGTCTCCTGCCCAGGAGTTTCCAGCTTGCCCTTCTTGACAGCTAACTGGCCCTACAGATTTGTACATGCCTAGCCTCCCTGTTGCATAATTTCTTGCAGTAAATCGGTATGTGTGTGTGGGGTGTGTGTGTGTGTGTGTATTCTGTTGAGTCCTGAATGACACAGCAGGCAGGAATATCCAATAGTTCTGATAGTGGTCTTTATACTGATAGGGAGAAGGAGGCATATTTTCATTTTAAAAGAATTGAATAACTAGAAGAAGTGAATTTTCTCATTTGAGTTTTCAAAGATACTATTTTTCCCCAGATGAGAATTCCAGATATCCCTCAAGTCATTCCACGCTGGCCACCTCTAGTTTGGCCTGAATTAGGCCTTGATAATATCCTCTTTAGACTTTTTCTGCCACTCCATACAATCAACACTTGCTTATCCTATTTTCCATTCTCTCAGGAAACTACTGACTAATCAATTGTTCTATTATTCTCTCTTATTCACAGTTATGTTCCTAGCTCCAAGTCTTGCACATTTATGTCACTTAATACAAGTTTATTTAAAGGATGATCAATAAATCTGAATTTAAATTGGAGCATTCAGTGTCTTCATCCAAAGATTAAACTAATCATCAGGCTCTTGCACCGTGAGGAGCCAGTGAAAGGGAGATAATTTGGGGCAGGAGGACCTCATCATGCTTCTCAAATCCTGCCATTCAGGTAGCTGCCTTGTAGGGCACCCAGAGTCATACCACATCTCTATATTTTTACCAATACATGGTCATAGGCTGATGTTAAGCCATGCAAGCTGCCTGTGCCCACACCCTACATAATGATAACTGGTCTCAAAGTGTGGCCTGAGGACCTCTAGGGGTCTCTGTGACACTTCCAGGAAGTTGGCTAGATCCTCCTTTTCCAACTACATACCCAGGTGAAGCATATTTTCTTTATATACTTGAATCAAAACAACATGTCACAACAGATTATAATTGAAGAAGAAGATAGAGTTGTGCTGTCTTTTATTAGGCCATTCAATACAATATTTTTTAAAAATCTAAAACAATGACATTTTTCTCACTAATCTGGGGGAACAATGCAGTCATTTTTCATAAAATACATGTGGATGTATTATCATTATTTTAAAATAACTTATAAGTAAATATTTTAAGTGATCTGTTTTAATCTTTCTTTTTTTTTTTTTTTTTTTTTTTTTTTTTGAGACGGAGTCTCGCTCTGTCACCCAGGCTGGAGTGCAGTGGTGCGATCTCGGCTCACTGCAAGCTCCACCTCCTGGGTTCATGCCATTCTCCTGCCTCAGCCTCCCGAGTAGCTGGGACTACAGGTGCCCGCCACCACGCCCGGCTAATTCTTTGTATTTTTAGTACAGACGGGTTTCACCGTGTTGGCCAGGATGGTCTCAATCTCCTGACCTCATGATCCACCCGCCTCGGCCTCCCAAAGTGTTGGGATTACAGGCGTGAGCCACCGCGCCCGGCCTGTTTTAATCTTTAATGTGGTAAATATTATTAGATGTAATCCACATAAACAAAAGCTCTTTGGGTTCTCAACAATTTTTAAGAGTCCAAGGAATCCTAAGAGCAAAAAGCTTGTTGAGTAACCACTGTTGTATACCATTGATTATGGTCTTGCTGAAACAAAAAGCAAAATGTGCCTTTATGGGTGACTGGCCCCAGGAATTGGGAACAGCTTAGAGTGGCCATGGAACCTCGAGTCCTCTCCTTCTTGCTAATGGCTAAATTCACACCAGAAGCCATGTTGTGTATATATTTTTTTATCTTCTACAGAATCCAGCAAGACTTTGAATGCCGGATACATACTCTGTAGGTATGGATTGATTGATATCTATTAATCTTCAATTGTATAAAATGTATTAATTTAGAATAAGGGGGCATCTGTCTTACAGCTCAAGAAGATTAATGTCCACCTCAAGGCTAAAACCTGAGCAGTTTGGAATACCCACCCTCCCACAGCCATTGCAGCTGTCATGTGAGTTCACTTGGTGAGAGATACAGACAGGAGAAACGTCCATGCACCATTCAAGCTGGAACCTGTTCTCTGCAGCCTGGTGCCTTTCATTGGTCCATAGAACCACAAAGCCCATCAGATTCTGGAATTTTCCTTCAGTTAGAGAAACTGGCAGGATATGAAACCTATTTTTACAGCATAAGTTCTTCAGTGAAGATTTATGACTGGTGAATAGAACCCAATGTGTCCTATCTGTGTACATGCTCTATTCTAGTACACTGTTCAAGTCCTGACTAGAGTATGGTTACAAATGCTGATTCAAAGCTCATCTCTATAGCTTACCAGCTGTGAGAACTTGAGCAAATTTCCTATACTCGACCGGCCTCAACTTCCCTATCTGTAAAATGGGAATAACAGTAATACTACCTGAAAAGGTTGTGGTGAAAATTAAATGATATAATGTATACCAAGTACTTATTTAGCGTGGGTGCCTGACACAGCAAAAGATCTGAAAAAATGTTAACTACTTTTTTGTGTTAGGCAGAATCATGGGGCTGGAAAGAGACTTTCTGTTCTTATTTGGTAGTTAATATTTAATATGCTACGCTCTAGAGAGACCAATTATTTGCCACTGCCCTTGCTAAGAATGGGAATGGAAAAAGCAGATCATGTCTTGCTTCTTTTTCATCCTCATCGACAGCCCAAAGAATGAAAATAGAAGGAGGAAAAGAATCTCTTATTCACTAAAGAAAATATGCCTCCACTTTGACCGTCTGCTGTGTGTGAGTTTGCGACAATCCCCTACTATCCAACAAGATTGTGTTTGTGTTTTAACAGGAGCTTCTCTCGCTAGAGCAGAAAGGACACAGCATTGGCCGGGCAGCATGTTTGTTTGTTTGCCCTGAGTCCTGGGGCAGCTAGTTATCTTGGGCAGAGTTAGTTTTCGGGTCTGGAGCCAGGAAAACACACTCCTTAATGCCCACATATTTGCAGTGCGACACATAGCTTGGAAGCTTGTCACACCTATTGCAACCGCTGCGTGACCTGTCTCCCAGGAAAGATTGTCTCCATGAGATATTCTTAGGGATGAATGCGGTGAGAAACGTGTACACCACTCGGGACAGCAGCCACATAACTTCAGAGGTTCGTCCGCTCACAGGCCCCTGCGGTCTGGGCTGTGCCGGTGGTCTGCCTAGGAAACTGCCTTCAGTACGCAGGGGACTGTGAGTTGCCCAGTAGCTGCATTTGAGAATCAAAGCACCGATTTCAGGCAGCGATAGGCTGTTTGTCTGGAGACGGGCGTGGAGACTCTGCTTTCATGTTCGCCTGCTGAAGGAATAGAAGGCAGGATGAACTCAGACTGAATGGCTGGCTCTGATATGTGTTTGAATGAAAACCAAAGTAAACACCACCATTTCACCAATGGCACACAGATGGACTCCTGCTTGACGCCACGAGAGGAAAACTAAAAATGAAATCAGCCAGAATAACTATTTTTGTTATTAGTTATAATGATTTTAAAACAAGCAATTCTATTGTTTTAAAAGAGAGCATCAAAATAACAGGAAAATTGGAAAGAAAGTAGCAATGTTATATAATGTCTGAAAATAAGCTAAAAAGAATGCACATGATTTCAGTGGAAGAATAAAAGTCCAAGGAAAGGATATAACAAAACTTTTTGTATGTGTCACAAGCTGCTCCCATCACTACTGAAGACAAAAGAGGAGAAAGTGGGTTTGTACTATACTGCTAGGAATTTGGGTTAGACCATGAGAGCACAGTTGCTATAATAACAGTGGGGAAGCGAACAGGGACAGTAATGGGATGATGCCTCATGAGGGTCCCTGTGTGTTTGGAGTGGCTCAGGGCCTCCTTTCCATCTTAGGCAGTGAGTTACAAATATTGCAGTGCGTTACTTTCTACATAATTATTTAACCTAAAGAAACACTTAAATGATGACCACCGCCTGCAATGAGGCAATAGCAAGGATTAAAAATAGCCAAGGCAAGGCATTAAAATATCAGGTAGCAAACAGTTAATATATGTCCTTAATGAATGAAACAAGTTTTTCGGAAGCAAGAAACTATGACTAGGAAGACTTGGAAAATTGTAGGCTTGTGTGTGCTGATTCTAATTTTCCATTGTATATGTTCTTGTTTGTAATTCCTTTCCCGCCCCTCAACCATTTAGGGCTCACTCTAGATTTTAACCCCTCCGGAGTCTCACACTTCCACATAATTAGGTTAGGTCGCCCTCTGGTGGCACAGAGCTAATCTATCTTCTGATAAAGCCTGTGTATCCTCTGCAATGCCTTAGATTTGAGCTAATTAAATATTCTGTTGGCGCTATCATATGTTGCAAATACAAACTGATACTTTTTAATGGAATGAAGAAACACTAAAGACCTAATTACAGTTTCTGTTTCATTTCTTGTAAAGACTTCAGGAAGCAATTTGGGATCTTGAAGAACCTAAGTAATATTCACTGTACTGTTCTATCAGAAATATGTCATTAATAGGGATTCTGTGTTACTGAGATTGATAGCATGTTTGATAAATACGCTTTCATTGTTAATGGCAAATAAAACACTCTGGCTTATAAAAAGATGACCTCAGCCAGGACAATCTTCATAAACCTACTTGAAATGGACTTGAAAAATAAAAAGGGCCAATAATCACTGCAAATATACAGGAGGTGAGAAAAAATTTTAATAAGTGAATAATTGAATTTTGAAAATTGTCCAAGCAACAGGCTTAATCAGCAGGCAGGGTGCTAGTGCTGATACCGTCTATCTAGCTCTGTGGTCTTGGATTCCATTAGATGTACCAATAGCCTTAAGCTAGATTTACGATTTTTTCTTAAACTACCTACAATGTTACTTGTAACCCAAAGAATCTCAATTAATAAATGCTCTCCAGAAGACTACAATCAGCAGAGACCCAATAATATATACATATACATTATAAAGGCAATTTAAACAACAAATAGCCAGGAAGACTTCCTCAATTATTCGGAATACATTGGGAAACATGGCAGAAGTGAGCATCAGATTTAACATGTAATAGGCACAGCTATGAGGAGAGAGGCTGATATTTAATCTCAAGCTCAGATTTTGAGGAAAAGGGCTGTGATGGATCTGGCTTTGGTCAGGAGCTCACCCTGCTATTACTGTAGCTGTGAATAGGGTAAATCAGGTGGGATTTGGGGCTGCAGCACGTAACCCAACAGATGTGAACTGCGAGGACAAATTCATATCAATCCTAGGGGGAATAAAGGAATAGTATCTTGCTTTAAGCCCTGACAAACATGTGTTTATGCTACTTCTGCTACTGTTAATAATTAATAGTGAAGTTGGTATTTTTTCTCACATTGAAATTAGGCAGTATAACTAAAGCCATATTATTGAGTTAATGTATTCTAACCCATGCCACAAAAAGATTTTATGGCCCTGTGAAGATTTCTTACAAAGAATATGGCATAGTAAAAAAAATTAATCTCAGATAAAAATGCATCTGAGCCTTCAATGTCAGCTATAAAATTCCATAATTTGAAAAAAAGTTAAATTTTAATAGAAGGATTTGAGACAGGAACAAATATCATTAACAAAATACTGTTTTACTGTTTTTGCCTAACATTTGTACGTTTCCAGCGTCTTTAAATTACACATTTACTATTTCCTCTAACACTGCAGGTAGTCGGATCCTTAGTTAATGTTCGTTTCATTAATTGGAGAAAGAAATTGAAGGATTTCTCAAGATCACATAAAATCTCTTAGAGAAGTCCACATGGTTTTTGTTTGATCCATCTATTCATCTATCCATCCATCCATTCATCCATCCATCCATACATTCATACATTTATTCATCAGATGCCTATTGAGCAAGTCTGTATAATATGTATGTACTGTTACAAGGGTAGCAAAGGTGAATTAGATATAATATCCCTGTATTCAAGGAGCTTGCAATATAGTAGGACCAATAAGACATGTATAAATTTAGAAAATAGGCTGACATGGGTGCTTTATACATTAACAGGATTGGAATTTCAGAAGCTAAAGGGATCTTACAGATTATGTAGTCCAATCTATCTCAAGAGTACATAAATATTCTGTAGAATATCTAGTATCCAAGAATTGTTCCTAACACTCTTAAAAAATATAGCATATATATAATCTGTATGATATAAATATAAAAGTATATATTATAAATTATATATAATTACATATTATATTTTTTAATTATACATATAAAATGATGGACTATTATCTATAAAAACAGTCATTTGCATTTGAATAGTTCTTATTGAGAGGAAATTTCTCTTATACTAAGCAAAAATCTTTACTTAATTTAATCTCTACTTAGAAAGCTATGCTATTTCTAACATTTTTTTCTATAACAGGTATTCACATATTGAACTCGTGTAGCCCTGGGTTATCCATTTTCCAGAAGAGGGCCTGAAAATCTTTCTGCATTCTGGTTTGCTTTCTGTAGAGGAACTAAATTTGTATGATTCTTAAATGTGATGCCTGAATTGGATCTATCTATTTAGAGTGTAATGGAGTCGCTTCCTCTCATGATATTTATTATACTGTACTCGTGAATTATGCAAAAGCATGTGCTTTTCTTGCAGCTATAACACGCTGATAGCTTGTCTTATACTTGAAGTCAACTAAAGCCTCAGGCCCTGCTGCTGCAGCCATCATCCTAGCCAAAGAGAGCATGGTGTGTGGTGGGAGGAGAGAGGGGGCAGGACAGGGCTAGTCGAGGAAATGCCTTTCGTCCTTGCTGGGTCTCAGGAACAGAAGCTGGGCATGTGGGCAGAGGAGTAAACAGGCCAGTCCTTGTCCTGGGTTTGGGGGCCCAGGCTAAGGAGAAAATAAAGAAGGAACTCCAATTTGAGGGTAGGCCCAAAAGCAACCGAGAACTAAAAACTTATTATCTGAGGAGCAAGTCAAGATAAATATTAACAGCCAAAGTGAAATGGCTTCAATAAGGGATAGACAAGGATAAAAAAGCAGGTTTCAGAGGTGGAATTCAGAAAAGTAACTTGAAGCAATTTTAGATCTTGTATGGGCTCACTCCTAGAGGAGGACCAAGCCTGTTCCAGCATCTTCAGACACTTAATCAACATTCACTATGTGCCACGGCCTGGCTAAGCACTGGATATAAAAGATGAAGAAGAACTGGCCCCAGTTGTTAGAGATCTCACAGCCTCCTCTGGGAGACGGATACAGGCCATATACCTATTCCGTAATGTGTTCACTACAAGGAGGAGGAACACATTGAGCTACAGAAGAAAAGCAAATAGCACAGGCTGGGTTGTCAAATTAGGCTCTGGGGAGGAGACTGAGTCTTACAGCATGGGGAGGAGTTAGGCAGATGAAAGCAGTGGGGAAGGAATATCTTCGTGGAAGAGAAAAGTCAAGTCAAAGCCAGAGAATGAGAAGCAGCATGATGTAAAAAGGAGTTACTTATAGTTCAGTGCTGCTGGATTGCCAAGTGTTGATCACTATGGTAATATATTTTTTCTTTTCCTGTACTTGAGAAGTTACCTTTAGAAACTAAGTAAAGGTCTTTACATTTATTGATTGTAATATGTATATTACTTGTCTTGCCCTTTCATAGTAGTCTTAGAATATTCTCAAAGTATTAAAGGATTATATTTACTACTTCCCAAGAGCTACAGATCATCTGAAAACCTGATAAACATTCTTTCTCTAGCTTTCTTCTAGCCCTTGAAACAAAAAAGTTGAACAGCACAGCAGCACCAAATCCAGAGCCCTTCAGTATCCTCTAAAGATATTCTGCAAAACTGACATTGACCCCACAGTCAACTGCCCACATACGTGGATGTTTAATTAGCTGACACTCTGCAGTAATGAGAGACAGTTTGGCTATCTATGGTCAGGAATGGCAGGTTAGGACAACTTAGAAAGGATCCTACATAAAAGTATACCTGCCAAAGGAGAGGTCAGGCATCAGAAGACCAATCCACATGTCAGAGCTGAAGGGAACTCAGTTCCAGATACAGGCAGCAGCAATATCTAGAAATTATGGGAACAGACAACAAGCAAGTAGTCAACTGGGCAAGGCAGAGAATGAGGATCACATACCGTAATGGGCTTATTCTAAAAAGTGAAGGGAGCGGAGTGATAGGGATTACAGAGGCAGATATTTAGAAATCCAAGAAACATTTAGCATCAAGGAAACAATCTAGAATCTAAAGCCCCAGCTATGAGTCAAGGGCAGGACTTCAGTTTCTAGGAGAAGCTATAATTAAGATAAAAACATGGGGCTGGAGGTAACAGATGAACACTGAGGCATAGAAGACAAATAAGAACTACACGTAGTCACTAGAACTTGGACACCAAGTGGGGACTTGGTTTCAGGAGCAAGAAAGCCGACTAAAAATACCACACAGAGTCTAAGTTAGACTGGCCACTGTTGTGACCTGGGCTACACCACCTAATAGCCTCTTTCCTTGAGACAGGGCGAGGCTGAGCCTCAGGTTGGGGATCGGGGGCCCCAATGTTGGGAGAGGAGGGTTCCAGGGGCTAGGAATCTGTGCAGCTCACCATTTCTGTACCTGGTCCACACTTTAGGATTTGGTCACATGCCTTGCTCAGATGGAGATGCCTCTGTTCTTTTCCTGAGCCTTCAGTGTCACAATCTTATCACAAAAGGAAATGACATTATGCTGGTGTACCTGGCCCTGACTGTAGGATGCTGGCTACTAACAATTACTGCTTCCTTTTTTTAAGTGCTCATAGGCTTATATTTCATAATTCCATTTTAATTTTGATGGTGATCAATATAAAACTCTAAATAAAGGCAAGAGAGGATCAGTAAAGTGAAAGGATGATTCCATGACTGGGGAGAAAATATGGATATTTTCAGATGGGGTATTAGTCCATTCTCACGCTGCTATGAAGAAATATTCAAGACTGGGTAATTTATAAAGGAAAGAGGTTTAATTGACTCACAGTTCTGTAGGGCTGGGAAGACCTCAGGAAACTTACAATCATGGCAGAAAGGGAAACAAGTCCTTTTTTCACATGGCAGCAGCAAGAAGAAGTGCATAGGAAAGCAGGGGAAAGTCCCTTATAAAAACCATCAGATCTCGTGAGAACTCACTATCACAAGAACAGGATGAAGGTAACTGCCTCCATGATTCAGTTACCTCCCACTGGGTCCCTCCCATGACACACGGGGATTATGGGAACTACAGATCAAGATGAGATCTGGGTGGAGACACAGCGAAATCGTATCAGGTGGCATTTGCATTTGTCTTTAAAAGACGAAGAGTAGAGGTCAATCGGTGGAATGAGAATGAGGAAAATGATCCAGGGTGAAGGCACATCTTAAGAACAGTCAGAGATAACTGTCAACTGTGTAGTCCAGTCTGGCTGGGGTATAAAAACTTAGGCTGGAAAGAGTAGTAAGGTCAGATTCTTAAGGCCAGAACAAAGGAACTTTGCTGGGGATATATTAGGCAGTAACTGAAGCTATTTCTCTGGCCAGAGTAGAACTTTTAAAAAAGTGATGTTAATCATAAAAAACCATCAGACAGGCCCAGCTCAGTGGCTCACGCTTGTAATCCCAGCACTTTGGGAGGCCGAGGCGGGAGGATCATGAGGTCAGGAGATGGAGACCATTCTGGCCAACATGGTGAAAGCCCGTCTCTACTAAAAATACAAAAATTAGCTGGACGTGGTGGCACGTGCCTGTAATCCCAGCTACTCGGGAAGCCAAGGCAGGAGAATCGTTTGAACCAGGGAGTCAGAGGTTGTAGTGAGCTGAGATCGCGCAAAAAGAAAAATCATACAAACTCCAAATGAGCACTACTCTATAAAACAACTGGCTTGTACTCTTTAAAGTTATCAGTGCCATGAAGTATAAAGAAAAACTGAGAAATTACTTCGAAGTAAACTCAACACACATGACAACTGAATGCAATGTGTCATCTGGGTTTTTTTTTAATTTTTATTTTTATTTTAAGTTCTGGGATACATGTGCAGGATGTGCAGGTTTGTTACACTGGTAGATGTGTGCCATGGTGGTTTGCTGAACCTGTGAATCCACCCCCTAAATAATAAGCCCAGCATACATTAGCTACTTTTCCTACTGTTCTTCCTCCCCCAACTCAAACCCCCAACAGGCCTCAAAGTGTATTGTTTCCCTCCCTGTGTTCACGTGTTCCCATTGTTCAGCTCCCACTTATAAGTAAGAACATGCAGTGTTTGATTTTCTGTTCCTGCATTAGTTTGCTGAGGATAATGATTTCCAGCTCCATCCATGTCTCTGCAAAAGACATGATCTCGTTTTTTTATTTTTATTTTTTTATGACTGCATAGTATTCCACAGTGTATATGTACCACATTTTCTTTATCCAGTGTATTGTTGATGGGCATTTGAGTTGATTCGTTGATTCTATGTCCTTGCTATTGTGAACATGCTGCAATGAACATATGCGTACATGTGTATTTGTAATAGAATGATTTCTATTCCTTTGGGTATATACCCAGTAATGGGATTGCTGGGTTAAATGGTATTTCTGGTTCTAGATCTTTGAGGAATCATCACACTGTCCTCCACAGTCATTAAACTAATTTAAATTCCCACCAACATTGTAAAAGCGTTCCTATTTCTCCGCAAGCTCACCGGCATCTGTTGTTGGAATCTTTTTTTTAAGCTAAGGGTATTATTGGCATAATCAGCCAAATCTGAATATGGTCTGTAGATTAGAAAATAGTATTGTGTCAGTGTAATTCCTGATTTGATAACTGTATTGAGCTTATGTTCTTGTTTTGGGGAAATGTACACCGAAGCATTTACGGGTAAAGAAACATAATGTCTGCAACTATCAAATTGTTCAGAAATAAAGATATATATATATATATATGTACACACACACACATATATGTATGTGTATAAAAGTGAGAGACAGAGAATGAAAAAAGCAAATGTTATAAAGTGTTAATATATGGGGAATCTAGATGTAGGGTATTCTGGAATTCTTTGTACTTTTCTCAAAACTTCTGTACATCTAAAATTATGTAAAAATAAAAATTAAGAGAAAAAATACATAATATGGCGGTTGAACATGATGTAGTGACTGATTAAGAGGCTCCCAAGAGGCTAATGCAATTATCCAGGTGAGAGGTAATTACTGCCAGGTTGTGGCAGAGGAATAGACAGGAGAAGGAAGTGAGGGACATTCCACAAATAAAGCCACCTATACTTGGCAACTTAAAAGATATGATACAGGAATTGGATGACTCGGAGTTTTTAAGTCAAGGTGTCCAAGAGAATGGCATCACCTTCACAGCTGGGAACATTTATTTAATGATCATGCTAAAGCATTCCTGATGAGATTTCAAAATAAAAACTATAATTTTAGGAAACAGGAG
This sequence comes from Homo sapiens, assembly GCF_000001405.40. Taxonomy (NCBI): domain Eukaryota; kingdom Metazoa; phylum Chordata; class Mammalia; order Primates; family Hominidae; genus Homo; species Homo sapiens. The sequence goes on along the minus strand of NC_000015.10, from coordinate 33,285,746 downwards.
TGACAAAATAACACAGGCCAAGGCTAGAATTACTGAACACTCAAAAGGTAAGTTGAATATTTCGTTGTTGTTAAAGTATTCAATTAAACATAATTGTGGTCTAGCTGGTAAATTTTTATTTGTGCAACCAGCCAGAAAAGAATTACATCAATCTTCAATAAGATGAAAAGAGTGCTGGGGCCGGGCACGGTGGCTCACGCCTGTAATCCCAGCACTTTGGGAGGCTGAGGCGGGCGGATCATGAGGTCAGGAGATCGAGACAATCCTGGCTAACACGGTGAAACCTCGTCTCTACTAAAAATACAAAAAATCAGCCGGGCGTGGTGGCGGGCGCCTGTAGTCCCAGCTACTCACAAGGCTGAGGCAGGAGAATGGCGTGAACCCGGGAGGCGGAGCTTGCCGTGAGCCAAGATCGTGCCACTGCACTCCAGCCTGGGCGACATAGTGAGACTCTGTCTCAAAAAAGTAAAAATTAAAAAAAAGAGGAAAAGGGTGCTGAATGCTAAAAGGTAAATTAAAAAAACAAAAACAAAAACAGGAAACAAACAAGCCCAATATTCAATACTTAGGTGATGGGTACACTAGAAGCCCAACTTCCACCACTGAGCATGTAACACCTATGTAACAAACAAGCACATGTACCCCCTGAATCTAAAATAAAAAACATCACTATAAGGTAAGCCTTCCAAAGAGTGCAGATGCTGGGCCTGACTGACCATCACTCTCAGATACACAGCCCCTCTCTTTAGAGCCTGCTGTCCATCCCAGCTCTGTCTTTCTCAGACCACTCATGTGACCTGGGCCCAATAAAAGAGGTCTCTGTCAACCAGAGCTTTCTGGTGCCCTCTTGTTTGCATTTTGGTATCCTGAAATGTTAACCTTCCACCCTCTTTGCTTTTTCCAACAAACTATTCTCTTATCAACTATTGGGGTGGAATGTATTATTTATTCACAATTTTCCCTCCCTGCCCTTGTTCACCAATACTTCCCCACCCCATTGACTATAGACTGGGCCATGTAGAGGAAATGGCAGGTGCAAGTTCTGAGCAGAGGCATCACTTGCTGCTTCCACTATTGTCCCTCCTGTCCTCTGCCAGGAGAGCCACATGTCCTAGGTAATGGCTGTTCCTTCTGCCTGGTCCGTGTGGCTCCAACCCCTAGAGCCAGTCTAGACAAACCCAGCCAATCTCAGCCAAGCCAAGCCAAAACTGACCTAATAGGTATATGATGACAAAATAAATGTTTACTGTTGTAACCACTGAGTGTGGGAGTGGTTTGTTACACAATATTATAACAACTAAAAAAAAAAAAAAAAAAAGACAGTTCACCAATCTCTTGCCTATTTGGTTTTGGTTTTCAGGTTTTGATTCACCCCTTGAGTCTGAGGCTTATAAAGCCTTCTTTGGAACTGAACTTTGGCTTTTCTGGCCTCTAAGGCCTCCCTTGTAAGCTACTCTTATTCTGCGAATAATATGGTTTCTGGCCACCTTGCCTACAACCATGACCCATCATGGGTATAACCTGCTGCTTACATCCCCACTAATGTTTACAGGCCTGCAAAACAGGAAATAGACATGAGATTTTATATTCTGTATTCAGAGCATAAAGGTCCTCATCTACATGAAATTCAGTTATTCAGAAAGCTTTCCTCTTTAGAACACAACTGAAAAGAAAGAAGGGGAAATGATTGAGAATAGTGAAAATCATGAAGGCCCCCAACGTTGATGCCCATGAACAGAAATGTATTACTCAGAGAAGAGCTCCTCACTCAAAATCAATGTGATTTTATATCATATGCACTTCTAACACACATGATAATATGGTTTGCAAAGCCCACATCTGATTGGAGGAGAAGAGATGGAGTGCTATGGTCAGGAACACCAATATCAGTCAGATGGGAAAGCTGACTTTCTGACAGGAAGAGAGGAGACAAAAGTCTATTATAATGGCACACAATAAAAACAAAAAGCCCAGTGGTAAATATCCCTAATACAATAGGACCTCTCTGTAGTATAATAGATCACAGTAATTGCTGCGACTTTCTTTTTAAATCAGCATTTAGCAATTTGAATATAATTGTCTTATGGGGAAAAAAGCTCTCAAGTTAGTAATATCTAAAAGTCGATGTACAGCTGAGCTTATTAGAAATGCTATTAGTAACATCAGAAATGAAATTCTGCTTAATTGCATGCCCACGAAGTGACAAATGCTACATATTTTATTTCTGGGTTTCAGTTGTGGGGATCAGGATAGGCTGCAGTGTACCTCTGTAAACATTTGTAAAAAAACAAGCAATACTCTGTGGTTTCATTAAGTAAAAGAAACTCTGGGCCGGGTGCGGTGGGTCACGCCTGTAATCCCAGCACCTTAGGAGGTTGAGGCAGGCAGATCACTTGAGGTCAGGAGTTTGAGGCCAGCCTGGCCAACATGGTGAAACCCCGTCTCTACTAAAAATACAAAAATTAGCCGGGCGTGGTGGCGGGTGCCTATAATCCCAGCTACTTGGGAGAATGAGTTAGGAGAATCACTTGAACCCAGGGGGTGGAGGTTGCAGTGAGCCGAAATCGCACGGCTTCACTCCAGCCTGGGCAAAAAAGTGAAACTCCATCTCAAAAAAAAAAAAAAGAAAAGAAAAAGAAAGAAAGAGAAAAGAAACCCTGGGTTATTACCAACTTCCATGACTTTCCATGTGCCATTCCCTCTTTTGTAATAAATCTCCTCACACCTCCAAACCCTGTGGTCTTCACGGGCCAACTGCTTCTCATCCTTCCATTCACATCCTCTGGGAAGCTCTCCCCAACGACTTCCCCCTCCTAGCTGGAGTTATGTATCCCCTAGTACTGCCACAGTGCCCTCTTCCTCTCTCTGCTGCCTACCACATGGCCTGCTACACTCACCTGTCCAGGGGTGGGCACCCTCACTGCCCTCTAACTCCCCAAAGGCAGGTAGCACGTCAGTTGAATGCATCATTGGTCCCTTCGTTCCTGGTAACTAGCCAACTCCCAGTATACATTCGTTAAGTGGATAATGTTCCCATCCAGGTAGCTTTCCACATGAGGGAATCTGCATTACAACTGTGGCAGCAAGAAGAAAATACTCTAACAGAAGGAACACTGAGCTACACTAGGCCAGAGGGTTGGTAGCTTTTGAGGGTGAAATTCAAGTTTTTGTCCAAATTCCAGTGTGCAGCTCTATTCTATTCCAAGGCCACAGATTTCACTGCAGGCTTAACAAAGGCGTCCTTCTCACTCATGTCACTGGTCACAGGAGGACTCTTCACATATACTTGTGCTTCCCATCTAGTGCTAGAGGCAACAGGGTGAGACTGGGCAGAAAGGGGCCTGTGGGCCCACAGAATTTACAACCCTAGAGGGATTAAAAAAAATGCTCCTTCAAAGAAAGCCTTGTGAAGAGGAATTCTCTTTCAGACTGTGATCAAAAGACATTTTTTGAGCAATCAAAATGAACCATTGCTCTATACAACCACTGAGCTTATAACCATTGTTAATGACAGGTCAGTGGCTCCAATTTCATATAAAAGGTCAGAAAATTTGAGATGAGAAGTATCTGGTATAACTGTCTGTTAGACTGGGAACTAGGAGCCTACAGATCTGGGTTCTAGTCTGGTTTTTTCACTAATTATTTGGCAGACTACAAGTCATAGAATCTGCCTGGGTCGCTGTTTTCTCACCTGCAAGCAAGAGAGGTGAGTAAGAGGGTCTCTAATCTTCTATCATCAGCCAGCTTCAGTCAAGCTGGTAAGGGAAAATTGAAACCTACAACTAGATTGAGCAAGGGCAACTGCAGCTCATAGGAGACAACTCGGTACTGTCAATCCAGATAAGGAGGCAGATAACTTTTTGGCACAATAAGCTTCCAAAGCTAGGTGAAAGATTAGCTCTTACACTGAGAGATGTTTCTTTTTTCACTTAAAAAATAAAAAAGGGAGGCCAGGCATGGTGGCTCACGACTGCAATCCCAGCACTTTGGGAGGCCAAGGCAGGCAGATCATTTGAGGTCTGGCATTCAAGACCAGCCTGGCCAACATGGTGAAACCCCACCTCTAACAAAAAAAAAAATACAAAAATTAGCCTGGCATGGTGGCGTGCCCCTGTAGTCCCAGCTACCGAGGAGGCTGAGGTGGGAGAATCACTTGAACCTAGGAGGACAGAGGTTGAAGTGAGCCAAGAGTGCACGACTGCACTCCAGCCTTGGCCACAGAGCGAGACCCTGTCTCAAATAAATAAATAAAAATTAAAAAGTTTTAAAAAGTGACATTAAGAGAAAAAGAGAAATATGGTGAGACATATTCTCACAGTAGTCTGCAATTCAGACCTACTCATGAGTTTTTACCTGGCTCTACCCTCAACAGTATCTAAAGTGCCTCCATCCTCCCCACTCAGCACTGGTCACTTCAACACAGGGAATGAATAGGATGCTAACAGCTCAAAGGTTTTGAAAGAGGTTGAAGAACATGCCACACACACTGCCCCCCGCTGCCCCAAGAATAACCCAAGACTTCAAGGGGGAGGAATAAATTAATCACCCATTACTGGAGCAGGAATATGGGGAAGGGGCAATGGATATTTCTTGTTGATGTCATAATACCAGTTTTATTGAAGATAGTTTAATTTTATCTTTGTAATCCTATTACCCTTGCTGGCATTTGGCTTAGAAAAGGCTAGTGACAAAATTCTGCTGATGAGACTCGGAAGAAGTCTGATGAGAGCTTTGGGGACACACAGGAGGAGATGGTCTAGCTTCCTTAAGACGGTGTCTGCATGAAAAAATGCTCATCATCACTGGCCATCAGAGAAATGCAAATCAAAACCACAATAAGATACCATCTCACACCGGTTAGAATGACGATCATTAAAAAGTCAGGAAACAGGTGCTGGAGAGGATGTGGAGAAATAGAAACACTTTTACACCGTTGGTGGGACTGTAAACTAGTTCAACCATTGTGGAAGACAGTGTGGCAATTCCTCAGGGATCTAGAACTAGAAATACCATTTGACGCAGCCATCCCATTACTGGGTATATACCCAAAGGATTATAAGTCATGCTGCTATAAAGACACGTGAACACGTATGTTTATTGCGGCACTACTCACAATAGCAAAGACTTGGAACCAACCCAAATGTCCATCAATGATAGACTGGATTAAGAAAATGTGGCACATATACACCATGGAATACTATGCAGCCATAAAAAATGATGAGTTCATGTCGTCTGTAGGGACATGGATGAAGCTGGAGACCATCATTCTCAGCAAACTATCACAAGGACAAAAAACCAACCACTGCATGTTCTCACTCATAGGTGGGAATTAAACAATGAGAACACTTGGACACAGGAAGGGGAACATCACAGACCGGGGCCTGTTGTGGGGTGGGGGGAGAGGGGAGGGATAGCATTAGGAGATATACCTAGTGTAAATGACGAGTTAATGAGTGCAGCACACCAACATGGCACATGCATACATATGTAACCAACCTGCATGTTGTGCACATGTACCCTAGAACTTAAAGTATAATTTAAAAAAAATTAAAAAAGAAAGACAGTGTCTGCACGCGACTCTTAGAACCGCTGCAGCCAACTTCCACCAGGCTGAGAGCTGAGACAGCACTAATAATAACAGACTCGAGAGATGGAACAAAATCAGGGCCTTGGTAGCATTGCTGAGCCACTGAATCAATTTAGCCTGAAGCCTCTGGACTTTCAGTTAGGGAAGGTAATACATTTCCTGATTGTTTTAGCCACTGTGAGTTGGGGAAAAGGAAGCGGTCTAGGGGAATGATTCACTGTGGGGTGAGGGGAATATTCACAGGCACAACCTAAAAGGGTGGACAGTGACGGAGGTCATGGACATGGGGTAGGGTAAGTTAGGTAGACTGGGTCCACCCAGCCCTTTGTCTCCCTTACTAAGCAAGCACACTTTGCAATCAAAGCAAAGCTAAGAGAAAGAACTTTCCTTGGGGTTTCATGTGTTTTACTTAGCCAATGTAGCAGGGTTACAAATAACTCAGACTATATACTCACATGTACAAAGAAGTTGTAGTTAATTTCCTGTAAGCCTCCACCCCCTCTAGGTACTTGCTAATTAACTTGCTAATTAGAGTTTCTGTCTCTTAGGGTTTAAACAGTCTCCTTTTGGTTAAGTAATCATATTATTCAAAGTTCAATTTCCTACGGGGCCTGGCATGATTCATACATTTTGGATGACACAGTCTCTGGGTAAATCCTCAGCCTTCAAGAGTGCTGCTTTACTATCTTTCTCCTTCCTAAGAGATGGATCAGACACCTTACAGTGTTCCTGCGGTGGGTATCCTTTGGGGGCTTGCTGCTGTAGGATGGCTCATCTGATCTATACACTTAACTGGTAACCACTGTGTTATGGCCCATCCCCTATAACCTTCTCAGATCTTGCACTGGTACTCATCTCTGGAGTCTGGGTCCCAGCTACCTGCACCTTTATAAAGACCCCTCTCATGGGAGCCTCTTCATCCTGCTGGTGCTCTGGCTCTCCCAGCACTTCCCATCACTTGAACAGGGCACATAGGCATCCTTGCAGGCAGGCTGAGGCTTTGGGGGAGCCAGGAGCACTGCCCCAGCCTCACCTGTCCCGTCAGCTCCCCCTGCTCCATGACTCTGATGCCATGTTGGACATGGAGCCAAGCAGAGTGCCACACTCCCCAGGGGGTTTCTGCCTCCTCCGGCTTCTCTTGGGAAAGCAGCCCTGAGCCTGAGGGTTGTGGATGACTCAGTGGTGACTCACTTTTATGTTCCTATGTTCCCATTAGCTCAAGGCTTGGGCTTCAGAAGGGAAGAAAATGAAGACCTTAGCCTCTAGAACTTACCTTTGGTTCCCTTGTCCTTTTCATAAACTTGAAAGTGTTGAAAATTTTAGGCTTCTCATTTTCCCATCTTTTTTCACAGGCCTCCTCCCACCTAAGACTCTAAGGTCAGTACCATCAAGCATTAATCTGTTAAAGAAAAGAGCTTTAGAATTTAGAAATACCATCTCCATCTCCATAAAGTTTGCCTTTAAAAGCTTTTAAACTTACAAAACTGGTTAAGCAAAAACCCTTAAGAATAGAAATTTAAATGACTTTTTAAGGCAGGACTACCTTTTTCTTGTGTGGTACAATGAACCTCATTTTCAACACTGTCAAGTTTGTGAAAAGGACAAGAGAACCAAAGGTAAGTTCTAGAAGCTAAGATCTTCATTTTCTTCCCTTCTGAAGCCCAAGCCTTGAGCTAATGGGAACATAGGAACATAAAACTGAGTATCAGACTATAGGAAAAAGTGACAACAAATCAACTCCATCTATCTATATCTAATATATATATATAACAATATAATATACAATTTTATGTATATATAAAAATCTATTTAATTAGTCACACTACAGAAAAATGGGGTTAGAGCAGTGGTCATAATTAATGATGGGGAATGAATGGAGACACATGGAGTTATCCCACCACCTACCGAGTTAGACAGGGTACAGTGCCTGTTCTGTCTTCTCCTCTGCAGCCCTATTGCCAGGATAGGAAATACAGGTTACATGAGCTTTTTGATCAGCTATATATCCTTCTTGAATGCTTTGATGAACTGTTATAATTGGTTTTGCAAGTTTCTATTTCTCTCCACTGTTATGCTAAGGAATTAAATTCAAAATGCTACAGATAATCTTTGAATAAATATGATTTCAATGAAAAGGGGTCCATAACCCTGTCTAATTAAACCTTTCTATTCTCTGACATCGTTTCAATAAAATATCTGATCTTCTGCAATGACTCCAATAATTGGTTACAGTTGTTCACTGAAATTCAAATTCCCTTCCCACTATCAGAGGAGAAGCAGAGCCTGCATCTGCCCCAGGACACACCAGGGCAAACACAATAGCTAGACAGAGAGAGGATTGTTGTTCTCAGCTGGGATCTGAAAAAAAAAATCCATCATCTCAAAAACCAAATACAGAAAGTGAATGTATTAATTTTTAATGAAGAAAATGTAACTAACAGGAGGGTGGATGCTTGTGTTCAGTGAGTGCAGCTTCTCCCTGAAGACAATTTTCCTGGGATACTAAATTATTATCAGAATGTTGTTTGGTGAGCATGGCATTACAGCAAGTGGAACTAGTTGGGTAAATTCTGATGCACATTGACGTTGGGGTGGATCCACTGCAGCCCCTCTAGGGCCACAGCTACCCCTGGGGTGGGCTACTTTCTCTCCTGGACATTTTGGAGATACACTGCTGTCATAAGAGTCTCTGAATCTAACTTTTCTTTCCTGTATACATTAAAACAAACATTTCCAACCTTTTCCTCCTATTTGTTTATTTCAGAAAACTTAGACAAGCAAAATACAACAAAATAAATAATACTCTCCCAGAGACAACCACTATTAAGATCCTGGACATTCTTTCAGACTTCTGTTTTCATCAGTTGTCGTTCTGACTTTTTCTGCGCTCAGTCATCCCAATCTCCATCCCCAATCAAGTGTGGGTCCCAGCCCTGGGTGAGGGCCTGGGGAAAGGGTAGAGGAGGCACTCAGAGCACACAGTTCAGCACCTTCTCAGAGGTATAATTCACATGTGCTAAAGACCATGGCAGCAGTTTGAGCAGCCAGCAGAGTGCTCCACCAGAACACGACAAACACCCTGGGAGTTTGCTTTGCCCATGTTCCCTCATAAATGAAATTTCCATCCCATATTCATGGACAGAAGAATCAATATTGTTAAAATGCCCATACTACCCAAAATGATCTACAGATTCAATGCAATTTGTAGTAAAATTTCAACATTTTTCAGAAAATACAAGAAACCCTAAAATTTGTATAGAATCACAAAAGACACCAAAACCAATG